>NC_000024.10:21805281-22413772 GCF_000001405.40 Homo sapiens
AAGCTTTGGCTAATATATCTCTCCCTAATAAGGGTGTGGGACTTTCAGGCATAACAAGAGAGTCATGTGAAAAGAATAAAGTCTCCCAATTACAACTGAGGAGGTGGGAGAAATACCTGGTTACAGGCTGTCCCAGGATTCCTTGGATGGTAACAGACCTTGAGGACAGTCATCTCTGACAGGAGGTTAACACTGAGAAGGCTGCACCAGTGTCTAGGAGGAAGTCAATTTCCTGGCCCTTAATGGTTAAATGTAGCTGGGGCTCAGTGAGGGAGATGACATGAGCTGGTGCTTGCCTGAGGCAACCTCAGTCCTGTTGTTGGTTCATCTGGTTGTGGGCTCCTGGGCCAGAGAACCTTTGCCCTCTGAGGCAGTGGGCCTTTCAGTGATTGCCTCAGCATTGTGCATATGGATGAGGGGGTGGCTTTTTTCTCATTGGACAATCTTTTTTAAAATATCCTTATAAACCACACTTGTAAAACGCCCTATCAGGTGATTGGCCTGCTCCGTTTTCTGTCCTCTCTGAACCACCAAGATTTCTTTGTCTGAGGCCATGACTAAGGTTGTGGCCTTTCTCTGATCTCTCTTTTCCTTTTGGGCCTGTTCCTCTCAGTCCCTATTGTACAATACCGAGGTTGCCAGGTTTAATAATGCCTCCAGATGGCAGAGCTTGCAGTGAGCTGAGATGGTGACACTGCACTCCAGCCTGGGCAACAAGAGAAAAACTTTGTCTCAAAATAATAATAATAATAATAATAATAACAATAATAATAACAATAATGCCTCCAGATTTTGTTCAGGGCCCAGGGCTTGCTTTTGGAGCTTTCTCCTGATATCTGTGGCTGATTGGGTAATAAATTTATCTTTTAGAATCAACTGAAACTTGAGTCAGTCAGGTGACAGGGGTGTATATTTTCTTAAGTCCTCCCATAGCTTCTCAAGGAAGGCAGAAGGATTTTCTTCTTTTCCCTGAGTTAAGCTGGACATCGTTGACTAATTCATGGTTTTTTTTCCTAATTCTCCTTAGTCCTTCTAGAACACAGTTCAATAGATATTTATGACTCCCAGTCCCCATGATCTGAGTCAAGGTCCCAGTGGGGATCCATACAAGGGATGGCTTGCTTGACCGGTAGGGAATTTGTGCCTTTCTTCGGCTGTCATTCTATTATTTACTTGACTAAGACACCAGGTATCTCCAAACTCTCAGGCTGCAGTTAAAGCCACAATCTTTTCATTAAAGGCCAGGGTTTGATCTAAGAATAGCATGACATCTCTCCAAGTGAGATTGAAGGTTTGCTCTATACCCTTGTAGGACATCTATGTACCTATCAGGATCATCTGAAAACCTCCCCAGGTTTGCCTTGATCTGCTTTAAATCAGAGAGGGAGAAGGGGACATGTACCCAGGTTAGGCCAATTTCCCCTCCCCCTACAGCTTGAAGGGGACATAACTGATAGCCTGGGGGTTTTTGTGGTCCTTTGGAGATTTCTTTTGCTTGTTTCCCTCTGGGCAGAGGAGTTTAGTGGAGGCTGGGTATGAAGGTAAGCTGAGAGGTCCTCCTCTAGGATGTAAATTGCAAGCTTTGCATAGTTGTGTATTCTCCTTCAATGAAAAGAAAGCTTGGACACAAGGTATTTCACTAAATTTGCTTCCCTCTTACAGAAAAGGTCAAGCTGTAGGAAAGTATTGTAATTTTTACTTCCCTCAGGTGGCCATTTTTCCCCATCAGGGAGAGAATATTGGGGTCAGGCCATAGTGCAGAAAAAAATAAGCCACCTCTTTTTCAGGGTTTGTGGGTCAAACTGGTCCCAGTGGCTTAGGATGCATTCCAAGGGTGAACCTGTTGATGCCTGAGTGTTTCCCATCTGAAAGACAAAACCACCAGCAGTTTTGATTTGTTTGTTTCTGCCCCTGCCCAAGAATCCACAATTGTCCCTGGACCCTGCTGATCAGAATAGTTGTGCTCACCAATGCAACAGCAGAAACACCTCTTGCCCAAGAACCCACAACAGTCACTGGACCCTGCTGATCACAATAGTTGATTCACTGATGCAGCAGCAGAATCACCTCTTTACCAGAAACCCACAATGGTCCCTGGACCCCGCTGATTAGAAAAGTTGCACTCACTGATGCAGCAGCAGAAACATTAGTTTTCCTCCTAGACCACAAAGAGGACTGAGGGAGGTTGGATTTAGTGGCCCTTGCTGACACATTCTCAAAAACCTGCACCCTTTCCTGTCCTCCTTGACCACAAAGGGGACCAAGAAAAATTGGATTTAGTGGCTCCTACTGACAGATTCTTGAAAACTTTGTAGAGTCCTAAGCATTCTCCTGTTAGTATTGGGACTTTACAACTGTCCTACAATGATGTTACACCCCAAATATGAAGTGGAGGACCATACCCTGAGTAAGGGAAGGGATCTCAAGAGTTGGAAGATTGATGCTTTTTGTCCTCATATGAATAGGAAAGATACCATTTCTGAAGCTCCCCATATCCTAGCTTCAGGCATTGCTTTTTTTAGACCTGCTAGTCTAAGGAAGGATCCTAAAATTCCAGATAGTAACCCCAACCCATGATGGGGCTTTGGGCAAAAATTATGTCTTTGTGATTGGTGAGCCTGGAGAGCTAAAGAAGGTAAAAGCACCCTGAAGTTTATACTAGAAATCATTCTTATAGGATGAACTAGAAAACTCCAGTGACAAGGAGTGGTTTTTAGAAGCAGGACTAACCTAGGAGAAGAAAGGCAAGAGGAAGTTTGTCTGACAAGCATTAGGACCCAGGAGGCAAGCATCATGATAGATAGGATAGACGGGTGAGTCTCGCTTGGGCGACATGACTTTGAGAGTTCTGCTCATGGCTGCTGGGTCAATCAACTTGTTGGGACCCCACAACTGAATGGCTTTCCTCTCTGGTGACCCGCGGCTCATCCCAGAAGTACAGGAAAAGCAGAAGCTGGTTCCAGGCAAATCAACACTCCCAACTCCGAAGAGTCTGAGTTTGTTAGAGCGCCTTTTCCCAGAAAGCCTGACACCCAAGTCTTTAGTGTGGTGGCCATGCTAGTTGCTCTTAACAGGCCAACAGGTACCCAGCATTTAGTCTCTGAATTCTAAGGAAAAATAAGACAAAATAGCAAGTGAAAGGGGTCCCATGATACTCACTGCTTAGTGAGTGTCCCTTCAGGGTCGCCAAAACATGTCCAGAATTGGTTGCTTCTGGTGAGTTCTTGGTTTCACTGACTACAAGAATGAAGCCTTGGACCCTCGCAGTGAGTATTACAGTTCTTAAAGATGGTGTGCCCAGAGTTTGTTCTTTCAAATGTTCAGATGTGTCTGGAGTTTATTCCTTCCAGTCAGTTTGTTATCTTGCTGACTTTACGAGTTAAGCCACAGACCTGGGCAGTGAGTTTTACAGCTCTTAAACGTGGCATGTCCAGAGTTGTTTGTTCCTCCTGGTGGGTTTGTGGTCTTGCTGACTTCAGGAATGAAGCCACAGAGCTTCATGGTGAGTGTTACAGCTCACAAAGGTAATGCAGACCCAAAGAGTGAGCAGCAGCAAGACTTATTATGAAGAGCAAAAGAACAAAGCTTTCACAGAGTGGAAAGGGACCCAAGCAGGTTGCTGCTGCTGGCTGGGGTGGCCAGCCTTTATTGTTTTGTTTGTTCTCACCCACATTCTGTTGGTTGGTCCATTTTATAGAGTGCTGATTGGTGTGTTTACAAACCTTTAGCTAGACACAGAGCACTGATTGGTGCATGTTTATGGAGTGCTGATTGGGGCATTTACAAACCTTCAGCTAGACACAGAGTGCTGATTAGTGTGTTTCTACAGAGTGCTGATTAGTGCACTTACAATCTTTTAGCTAGACAGAAAACTTCTCTGAGTCCCCACTCAACCCAGGAAGTTCAGGTGGCTTCACCTCTCAAAACCATTAGCAAAATTAAATCAGGAAAGTGACAGGATTAAATTTGTGCTTGTAAATAAATATTTTGCCATTACAATTACCAATACTAACCCTGTATTTCCTGATTTGGTAGTTACATGATGGTAATTTGGGAGAGTGTTTCTACTTTTTGTAAAACACAGTGGGATATTTTGAATGAAGCTGCAAATATGGCACAGCAACAACCAGTCGGGAATCTGGGAGAAAGGATAAAGTATACTAACTGCTATTTCAAGTTTCCTAGAGGTATAAAACTATTGGGAAGTAAACTCCTTTTCAATGAAAACAACCATGTCAATACCATGTCACTAAAGCAGAGACAACGACATCAAACTTCATTATAGGAGCGAAATCCAGCTCAGTGGAAGCTGTGAAACCAACTGCCTTTGTAAGTGTAGGAATGTTATGTCAGTATTACAGGTCTTACATCTGTATGACAGGTGTCACATCAGTATTTACGGGTGTTACATCAGTGTTATTGTTGTTCTATTTGTATTACAAATGTTACAGTGGTATTAGGAGTGCTATATTAGTATTATATGTGTTAGATCAATATGAAAGTTGTTACATCAGTATGAAAGTTGTTATATTTGTATTGCAGATGCCATATTGGTATTATGAGTTGTATGTTGGTATTGTGAGTGTTACAGTTGTATTACAGGTGTCAAGAGAGCACTATAGATGTTACATCAGTGTTATGGATGTTTCATTTGTATTGTGAATCGACATTGGTGTTATGAGAGTTAGAGTTCTATTAAGGGTGTTTGATCAGTATTAGGGTGATTATATTTGTATTTCAGATGCTATATTGGTATTCTGAGTGTTTTATTGCTGTTATGAGTCTTACAGTTGTATTACAGGTGTCAGATCAATATTACAGTTGTTACATTAGTATTACAAGTGTCACAACTGTATTATGGGTGATATATTTGTTTACAGATGTATCTCCATTGTAGGTGTTATAATTGTGTGACAAATGCTATATTTGTGTCACGAGGTCATGGCGTGCACCTGGCATTGTGGTCACCACACTTGGGTGTGGGGAAAGTCCTTGGGGTGCACTAGAGCCATAGGAATATTTTTTTGTTTCTAATTTTCCACACAAAACCCTTCTAGTGGGTCCCTGATCCTCAGCAGTTAGAGGAAGGTTTTTACTTATCTCTGCCTCCAACTGGAGTGAGGCAGTGTGGCTGGAGTCTGTGCTGAGGAGAATGGAGCTCTCATCCTCAGGTGGCATGTGCTGAACACGCGGGTCCTCCAAGGGTCAGAAAAGGCAGGCTCATGTGTCCCGTACTGGCTGCTGGCAGAACTGCAGGACCCAGGTGGTCATGGTGAGGCAGCTGTGCATTCTTTTCTGACTGGCCAGGGGCACTAAATAAAAGCAGACTTCAGATTGTTCAGTGCCATCATTTTGGAAATTCCAACTGAAATGCTGCCTGTTATCCTGGGTTTTCTTGTTGTTGTTTGTTTTTTGCTGAAAATGATGAAGGGACCATTAACCGGAAACCACAGACAATGAAATGAACAGAGATGGCACATTTTACAACTTACAGAAAATTTTTCTCAACATAGTCCTGAGACTTACAGTGTAAAACTATTCAACTTGTAGAAGAAAGCACAGAAAGAGACCTATGTGACCTTGGGTTTGGTCATGAGTTTTAACATAAGACACTAAAGCTTATCCATAACAGAAAAAAATAATTAACAATGTAGGCCTTCTCATATTAAAAGTTTACACTCTGCATAAAATCTTCTTCAGGAAACAGAAAGATAAGCCACAGTCTGAGAAGAGATATCTGCAAAATACAGATCTAAGCAAGAACTTGCCCTGAAAATACACAAAGAAATATTGAAACTCAACAATAAGACAGACTATCCAATTAAAAATGGGTAAAGAGCTGAGCAGCTACCTCATCAATGAAGATACACAGATGGTAAGCAAACAAAAAGATGCTCAATCTTGTATATCATTAAGGGAGTGACAGTCACAACAGTGAGATAGCATGGCCCATCTATATTTGCTAGAACTGTGAAACTCTGTTCAAAACATGACAAATGATTTGCTGAAGGAAAGACAGGTGACTTGGGATAAATTATGTATGACTAAAATTTCACATACTGCTTAAAATCTATTTCAAAAAACAATATGCTTAACAATTACCTTAAGTTCTTTCATACAATTTACAGATTGATTGAGTTCCTCCTTTTTTGCATTAATAACTAGGAGCTCCCCTTGCAAACAAACAGCTTTTCCTGAAATAAACAGCCCATTAAACACCACAATATTTTCCTAGTGAATATAAAAGCTGTTTAACATTCATGGCCAGTATGCCAGACCTAATGATCATTATTTTAAAATATGAAATAGCATATGTAGGGGTTAAAACTTTCATGGGCAAGTGAGAAATAACACTGTATCTGCCATGTATGTCATGAAATTCCACCTGCTAAACATGTTAAGCAGAGTTACACCATCTGCTCAGAGCATAAGGCCCTAATACTCATAGTTCTTAACTTCCTTGAAGACAAAGATCTGTCTGTTATTACATTGTAACAGTCAATAATGTTACTGTACCAAAGTTATTATGTTGTCATTTTCATTTCATCTGTCATGAATCTCTGTAGCTATATCACCAAAGTATAATTTATTACCTAGCTGATGGTACTAACCCATAAAAGAAGAGTTAGTCTCCACAAGATAGTAGTAAAAGGTGAAGTCACTTATAGGGTGTCTGGTCAACATCGAGTACCCATCCTTGGTTTACTTCCAAGAATCTATTTGAAATTTCTACCAAAAATTTACTTCTCATTATAGGCAATTTCCTAGAGACACATTGAAATGTAGAATGTCAGAAGATTGAAAAGTTACTCATCTTCCAGTCTCAGGCCAATACATACAAGAATACAGGAAGTTATATATCAAGTAAAATATTATAAATAAAAAATACATTAGAAGCCAATGAAATAAGAAACTATGCCACATGGGACAGAGAAGTTAAACTTTTTTGTAAGTGTAAAATAAAGTATCTCATGGTTAGGAGTAATATGTACCACAGGCAATAAGTTGCTGCCAACTTCTGGACACTTACACATTTATCAAAATATCTTGAAATCAAGTTGAGTAAAATATCCAGGATAAATCACAGGCCTTTCTGAATGCATATAATATTAAACATGAGGGTTTCTCAAAACTCAGTGAAGACAATGTTTTTAATTTTTTATAATTAGAATTACAAAAAAATGTGTAATTTTGTAGGAACAATGGAGTATAAGCTATATTTTTTCAGAATACAGGACAGGAACAGACCCAACTTGGGAAGCTAATCAACTTTATCAGAACTGAAAAATACGCTTCTTTCCCCACCCAAACATCACCTTTATTCTTCCTTTCATCTTCAATCAGTACATTAGTTCTAGTGATGTGGTCCTCCTTTAGTTGAAGTTGATACATGCGAATCAGAACGACTAAATATGAGTTCCTCGGTTATCTTTATGGAAAGACCATTATCAATGCAGATAATCTACGTCAGAGCTGCAACTGAGGGCACTGAACACGACATTTTGTAAACTTCAAAGTCCCTCAGTGCTAAATCCAGGGATCTAACTTCCGAACATAAAATGTCCAGTAAAATGTTGCCTTGATGCTATAAAGCTTACTCACACAAAATGGAGGGTTGTGTTGTTATGAGGTTACTGAAAGCATCACTTTTCAGTTGGTCTCAGCTGACCCAAAGAGCACAGAAGAAAATTAAATTTACAGAGCACACAACAGACTCAATCCCAAATGATAATTAGACAGTCACTTCCAATCCACTTGTCGTATCTGCCAACCCCAAACCAATGTAACAAATTTTGTGCCCAGGGACCAAGCACAGTCCTGGGAAACATGTGCCAAGGGCATTATATCTGAATTAGCAATACCCAAAGGCACATTTTCAAATTTTCACTTTTCTTTCCAAGCGGTTACAAGCTGCCCTTTTGGTTCCAAAAGGACAAAGAAACACTCCTGTGGTGAACAGTTTCCAAACTCCAACACTCGCCAAAGTTGTATGAGAATCGCCAAAGCCAGACAGACCCCATGCAGACGGTAGAAGCTGTAACTATGATACCAAATAGTTCACTAGCTCCACAACAGTATAAATTAACACACATACTTTAATTCATTTATTCCTAAAATTTCAGTAAAGAACTTTCCAGGTTCCTTATTTTAGTATAGAAACAGACACAGAGAATGTGGGTAAAATACATCATTTCAGAATTGATTAAAAAAAACTGTCCAATAAAAAACATAGAATTTGTTTGAAGAATAACTTCAACAAGTGTTTGCAAGTATTATGTAATGGAATATTGATGGTAAATTATGAGGAAGGTGATAAAAATAGGCCACATAAATGCCCAGAGCACGTGAGTCCTTTCCTCATGACACATTTATGACAAATATTAACTGAGCACTTTTTATGTGTCAGATGCTTTCACACCCACTGAAAATTACCACAAGTACATAGTATCTTAGCACTGAGATATTACTCACTGATACAAAAGTTCAGAGTAAAGAAAAGCCAAAATAACAAAAGTAGTCTATTTTTTCCTTTCCCTATATCACATTTTCCTCACATAGTTAATTTTAGCTCTTTTGATTCTGACTTTGCAGAATCATAAAGGAATACAAGGCCCATGGACACTGACAAATACTATGACAGCTATGTATAATTTATATATTGTTAGATATTCCCATCTTTGTGGCAGTATGAGTGGGGTAGAGGAAAAGGTGACTAAAAGTGATTATAATTCAACTTTTGCAGCTTATCTACTATGCAACCTGAGCAAGTCACAAGGTGCCCTGAAAGTTAAAGCAAATTACAGCCCTCAACAAATGTTAGAGATGCCATGAGTAACAAGAAAAGAGGGTGTGTTTCTCTATAGCTTATCTTTTAAAAACTACCTTAACTCAAATGCAGGAAAGTATTGGCTATTGATAGACATATATATTTTTTCAAACACTAAAGTTTGCATAAGATATTAATCATAGACTACTTCCTCAGTTTTTGTTATACTTCTACCAACTTAATTTATACATACTACTTCTTTAAAAGTGCCAAACAATTACTTTAGAATTTTGCTCCTGAGCTTTCTGTCATAGCTCTCCTCAAGAGACTTTGTATTCTGCTCTCATCTTCTAAGTCCTCACTCATGCTGTTATGTTTTTCTGGAGCTTCTGGGTCCAGAAATTAGCAATAAATAAATAAATAAACAAATACATGAATAAAGTAAATGAACCATAATAACTGAGTTAACAAATTTAGGAAAAACATCATGTGACATGCTTTTAGTTTAACAGATGAAAACTGCTAATGACCATTACTGCTGGGAAATAGAAGAAAAGAGCCAGAAGTCCTCAGCGTATTTTATGAACTGGCCTGGTTACAGGGTATTAAAACCAGCAGAACCAGGGGGCTGTGGCATCTGACTGAGAAGAGTGGGAGAGTCTCTGACTAAGGGAAGTGGGAGAGCCTCAAGAGGGAAGTGGTTTCTCATGGTAGATAATTAACACTTAAACAATAGTTACAGTGATAAATGGCCAAAATCAATTCTGGGATGAAAGAATGATACTATTAGTTACAAACTAATAAAGGTGTACTTATGGGCTGGACACTTTCGCTCATGTCTGTAGTCCCAGCAGTTTTGGAGGCCAAGGTGGGTGGATCACCTGAGTTCAGGAGTTTCAGATCAGCCTGGACAACATGGTGAAACCCTGTCTCTACTAAAAATACAAAATTAACTGGGAATGGTGGTGCATGCCTGTAATCCCAGGTACTCAGGAGGCTGAGGCAGGAGAATCACCTGAACCCAGAGGCGGTGGTTGCAGTGAGCCAAGATTGTACCATTGCACTCCAGCCTGGGTGACAAGAGTGAAACACCATCTCAGAAAAAAAAAAAAGAAAAGAAAAGAAAAGAAATAAAAGAAAGTATATTTATGTACCCGAATCTTCTATAATGCTATTTCTAACTGTGGGGTTCAGTTAATTAGTCCATATATATTTACATTACAATATTTGCTTTTGTCGCTTAATAATGTATCAGCTTTAGCCAAGTGTGGTCACCTGCACCTGTAATTAGAGCTTTTCAGAAGGCTGAGGTAGGAGGATCACTTGAGCCCAAGAGTTTGAGATCAGCCTGGGCAACATAGGAAGACCCTGTCTCTTAACCCAATACCAAAACAAAACCAAAATAAAACAAAACAAGAAAACCATGAAAAACAAGGACCATTGATTGAATATTGAAGTATTCAAAGAGAGAGCAAAAGATAGATATATCATTCAGGACTTCCAAATACTTAAGAATAGAATGGTCTTCATAGTGAGACTTCAAATCAATTATAATTTATTCTTAACCATACTTATTCTTAACTATTCCAAATACTTAAAAACAGAATAGTCTTTATAGTGTCCATAGTGAGACTTCAAATCAACCATAGTATCAATTCCATATGTGTGTATATATATATGTATATCAATTCCATATGTGTGTATATATATGTATATCAATTACATATGTGTGCATATGTATATATATATATACAGAGAGAGAGACGAGAGACAGGGTCCTGCAGTGTTATCCATGACTGTATATATATGTATGTATGTGTGTATATATTTATGATATATATATGATATATTTTATATATATATATTTGATATATATTTGGATAAGGGACTGAGATGTTAAACAACTAAGTAGTATACATTCCAGAAGGCATGTTAGGAATATATGGAAATGTAGTTTAACAGGATTTGGAGGAGTAAATACTATGAAGCTAGAATAACTAGTTGAATAAGGCTGAAACCTTGCATTCCAACAAGGAAGACGTATATTCGTTTAAACCTGTTGTGTTTTCACTAGCTTTGAATGACACTATGCTTTTATCAGGGAGAGAAGGGGGTTGATATTCCAGGTGAGGAAATACAGACATGGTGCTTTTTATGAGGCTGGCAGTCTTCCTCAAAGCTTTCAGATACTTGCAGTTAAATACACAGGAATCTAGTCAGTCAACTGTCTTGAAGATGAAGTTATTAGTCTAAAAACATTTCAATCACCTTGAAGATCTGTGCTTCCAAAACTCATTTTTATAGCTGAAGCAAGCCCAATTCACAGAAGTGCTATATAAAATTTTAGAGGGGTGCCCCTCAC
This sequence comes from Homo sapiens, assembly GCF_000001405.40. NCBI lineage: Eukaryota > Metazoa > Chordata > Mammalia > Primates > Hominidae > Homo > Homo sapiens. The sequence continues at coordinate 21,816,411 of NC_000024.10, forward strand.
ATTACATAACTAGGTCTCAATGAGAAGTCCTAAGCAAGAGTGGACCCTAGGGGGACGCCTTCCTACTGTTAATGTCTGGAAGCAGCCATTCTGTATGTATGCTGGAAATACTGCAGTAAATCCAGTCTGGTCTGAGACATACCCTTGGAAAAGGAGTAAGATTTCTTAAAGGAGTAGATCTAATCCCACTTGCCAACTTGGGACTCCCTGCCACTTCTCATCGTCTTCGTGTCCTATCCAGTTACTTTCCTGCTGATGATATCAAATGGCCACATGGATGACCCTTGTGGCTCTGGTGACTCCTTTACCCCAGGGATCTTCACTCTTGCTCGTTTCCATGGCTGCCTCCAATGGCAGCATACTGTCTTTGATTTCCAGTCTCCACCTGAATGCTCATTCTGCAGTTCTGTACTCTTGGGCCATCCTTATTCTTCCACCTGCCAGTCTTTCCAGATCTGGTCCTTGATCACTGAGACTGCCACTGAACCCTCCCTTTCTCCCATGTTAGCAGCCACCTGCCGTCTCCTCTGCTTCCCTTCACTACCCAAGAGAGCCCCAGAATCCTCAATTAAATAGGCTGCCTTTCTCAATTAAAACAAATTAGGCTCTGCAAGCCTCCATTTCTGAAGCATCTCCATCTTTCCACCCTCAGTGAAAGGGACAGAAGAGAAAGACACTTACAATTCCTCCACAGAGCTAGAACAGGAAACTCACCTACAAGTATGTGGTTTGGTTCCTCTCAATTCCAGGCTAGCCCAACCACAGTTGGGCCCTCAGTACAGGTGATCAGTCCTCTCTGCTTTAAGGAGCTATTCTTCCCTTACCCACATGAGCTAGTCTGCACCTCCAAGCTGCTCCTACAACTCATTATCTATCCCTCTAAATTGTCTGAGTATATGGAGCTTTTCAAGGGTGTGTTTTTCATTATCCCAAGTTGACTGTTCATCTTTGCAATTCTTGCCTTTCCACCAGTCTCAGAGGAAGCAAATATGTGTATCCTTTTCAAGGTCCATCCTTCTTTCTATTTGATTCTTTTGCCCTCTTGGCTCCAGTCCCTATGGCACTTCTGGGGCATTGTTCCATCACTTGTACAATCTTGTTCCTGGATCTTGAGACAACCTACTGATAGCTGCAGGAATTAGCCACCCAGTGAAATATTTGTAAATACCACCTCATGGTGCTTGTCATTTATCTAAGGGATACTCTTTTCACAAAGAATGAGGGCTTCAGATTGTGCTTGACAAGCATTATCAAAATCATTCTGGAACACAACTAATTCCTTCTCATACTTTCTTTTCACTTCCATTTCAATTTTTGTTATCTTGGCATCTTTAAAAAACTTCAATGGCAAATTGATCAAAAAATTAAAATTCCAACTATTACACTATAAAAACAGTAACAAATTATTTCTCCAGAGCTAGGCCCAACATTAATGCTGTGTCCAAATATGTTGTCCAAATATGTTCTATTTATTTCATCTATACTTTTTTCTCATTCACTGTATCTGTAGGACTCACTCAAAAGACATAAACAAATGTCGTGAGAAAAAAATATGCACAACAGTATACTATCACATTCTGTATTAAAAGTTCTAGATATTTTTGATAGACCTAAGATTAAGTCTTTAGAAGACAAACTTGTGAAGAGTAATAAGATAAAACTTACCTTTTGACATGTTTCTGCCCAATTTGCTCTTCTACTTCTCTTTTATATTCACTTGGCTTTATTTCCAAAGACTCAATCTTGATATGCTGAGGGTAAGCCTCTGCAAACTGATCATCTATAAGCCCAAACTTCTCAGCTATTGAAAAGCAACAGGTCAAATTAAGACACAGAAGTGTGGTCAGGTGTGTAAGAGGGCAGACGTCTGGTTTAAAAGTAAAAATTACACTTAGGGGAAAGTGCAGGTGTCTTCAATTTACTTTGAAATACACAAAGACAGTAACACAGATGCATGAATGAACAGATAAAAATGATGAAGCAAGTATAATACAAATATAATAGTGCCATCTAGGTGGTATATAAGTGTTAGCTAGAATTGTTTCAACTTTTCTATGTTTTGAAAATGCTCATGAAAAATGTTAGAGGAAAAAGAAAACCAATAGTAGAGTTTAAGCTAGAAAATACTGGAGTCTTCTCCTACTCTCTAAGTGCAAAGGCATGGAGGTCTTCACTGGACTTTGGTTAAAGCTGACTTCACATTCAATGCCAATATAGGTTAATAAGTGATTACATAACAGCACAACCAGCACACACTTCAAACCCTCCGCTTTACAGATAAAGAACAAATGCCACTATAGGTTAATAAGTGACAACATAACAGCATAACTGGGACGAAAGTGGGGTCTACTGACTCTTTCTTCCATTAGTCCAGTGGCCCTCAAACCAGCTGTGGATCTGAATCAACCACATAGCAGAGTGCAAATCTGAACCCAGAGTACAATCTCAACCATGTATAGCACCCACCAAAGAAGTATGCATACAGGAAAAAAGTCTGGCTGAAGTATATTAAAGCACTGATGGTGTTTGGCTCTGGTGGGCATGACTTTAGACATGTTTTTACATCTACTTTTCTGTATTTTCCAAATGCTGTCAAAATCAGAACCTTAAACCACATTGGGCCATTGACACTTGAAAGGTGTCAGTCTGAACTGGGATGTGATTTAAATTTAAAAAGCAGATGAGATTTTAAAGACTTCATACAAGCTATAAATGTAAAATATCTTATTAGTATTTTTATACTGAATACCTGTTAAAACAATATTTTAGATGTATCAGATTAAATATATTTTAAAAATTTCACTTTTTTTTTACTGTTTTCAATGTGGCTGCTAATGTTGTGTAAAAGGTTAGGTATGGTCAGCAAGAAAATTCAAGTAATTTAAATCAAATTAAATTTATAATCCTTCTCCTTAAAAATTAGCTTCATTATTTTATAAGGAAAATACATAGAAAAATCTTGTTAGGGTTTACAAAGATGCAGGCTCCTATCTTTTTGGTTTTATCAAATCCTAAAACCTGTTAAAAGAAAATATTTTGACCAGGTGCGGTGGCTCATGCCTGTAATCCCAGCAGCTGGGGGGGCTGAAGCGGGTGGATCACGAGGTCAGGAGATCTAAACCATCCTGGCTAACACGGTGAAAACCCATCTCCACTAAAAATACAAAAAATTAGCTGGGCGTAGTTGCACACGCCTGTAGTCCCAGCTACTCAGGAAGCTGAGGCAGGAGAATGCCATGAACCCGGGAGGTGGAACTTGGACTTTAGGAAAAGGCAGCTAGTTCTCTCAGAGGAGCTTTGATTTTTCTTTGCTTTCATTGGGGAATCCACAGGGCCCCTCAGCAGCACTACTGGACACCCTTTCCAGGCTTGCCATCGCCATTGACGGCCTCTAAGACACTGTCTCAACCTCATCTGCACCAGTGGGAGGCGAGTCCAAGGTGTGAGAACACGGCTCCACATTGGACTTGCCTTTGCCGTCGTTGTTGCCTTTCCTAGAGAGTCCCTGCGAGTCCCATGATGAAGGGAGGCAGTGAGGGCAAGAGCCGGCTGTCGTTCGCGGACATCCGCCTATGCGGTCTCAGGTATGATTCTATCACCTAAGGAACCTGCAACAACAACACACCAGACTATATTCCAGTCCTAGTGGGACCGGATTCTTGTACATAGCCTCTTTCCAGAATGGAGTCAGAAAAGCAATTTCCAGCGACCACCTCACAGTCTTGAAATGCCACTTCCCGCAGCGGGAGCCTACCGTGTAGAAGATCCAAATGGGCCCTGAGTTGGAGAATTTTAGGGTCCTGCAATGGGTTTTCGCAGTCAGCCTTTTTCCCGATAACAGGCTGCCTCTGCCTGAACCATCTTCTTCTTCAACTCTGACAGCTCCGACAGTCGGGCTCCGGGAGCTGCCTAATGAATGCACGTGCGCTAGTCTCAGGGCACGAGGCCTGATGGTGAGTTCTGGCTAGCGTCAAAATGAATGTCAGCGTTGCGTAGTAACAAGTCCCTGCATCTTGACGGAGAAGGAGACCTCCGTGGAGGTGTGTTGGTTGTGGACTGTTGCCTGTCTTATCTGTGGGAATCCACAGGATAGTCCCATGATCGCAGGAGGGGGCAGACATGAGCCAGTCTGAAGAAATGTCAAGAACAAGCCCCAGGAATAAACCACGAAATTCCTAAGGATCTAAAAGGAACTACAGGATTCCTCAGGCCTGCCTAGACTTTGTAGGGGGGGAGATTTTTGAAACTGGCCCCACTGTGATTTCTAGATACAGCATGCCTGTTTTAATGGGGGTTGCTCTCTCCCTGGTAGGTCTTCCTGCAGAACCATGCAGCCTCAGGAGCTGCTGGCTGTATGTTTCTGTAAGAGTGTTGGGAGTGGTCATGTCTGAGTGTGTGTGTGTGTGGCATTGTGTGTGTGTGTGTGTGTGGGAAGGGCAGGGGGGAATGTGCCTGTAAATGGAGTAGGCTTAAAGGAATGTGGCTAACACACTTCAGCACTTCTTTTTTTTGAGTCTCCCAACCTTTTGGTAGCCTGTGGTTGTGGCTCTGCTTTGGCTGCGGGGCTCTGTGTTCTTTATTTTTCTTTGGATCATTAATCCACAGTGAAGTGGCAAGCTGATCGAGACCTGCTGGCATCCAAATCACCTCCCCCTGAGAAAAAAAAAGCCACCCTTCTAGAAAGAAGAGGAGCACACAACACCAAGAAAAACAGGCATCTCCCAGTGTTTCATTTTCCTGTGGCCAACCCTGGGAAAGACATTAACAGTCCTGTCCACAGTGCCCCTTGAATTTACCTCGAATTCAGTTCCCAGCTGAGCAGGTGTTTCACAACATGAAGGGGCACTCCTCCATTGTCTTGGGATTTCATTCTGGGAAACAGAGTTTGAGCAGCAATAAGGTCAGATAGGAGTGAGGATAAAATCTTGTGAGGGGTGGATGGGGTCCCACAACTTCACCTGCAAAGAAATGAAGACAGGTAACAAAGAAGGCACTTCCAACTCCATCCTTGCATTCCCTTAACTGCACAAGCAGTCCACACCATGGCCCAGTGTTCATGTGAGAGTACTCCAACATGCAAGGAATATTTGGAGTGCAAATTGGGGTCAACCTGGCAAATTTCCGATTTGAGGGCTTTCATACCCCGAGCCAAATGAGATTGGAATGGATTGATGCTGGGTTTCATGTGGCCTCCACACTTACCTCTTCTTTTCCTGACTTCCATTTTCCCAGTCAGCCTAGGGTTTCCTGTGTCTGGCTCAAGGACTTGCACACTAAACTCTTCCCAATTCACAGAGAATGACCCTCATAGGAATCCATTGCAAAAGTGCTTCCTTCTAAACACTGTCGCATTTTAATGACTGGGCAGCTTTGATAATTTTAATACTGTAAAGTCCCATTTCAGCTGCCAACAAGGAAAGTCTTGTTCTCCTGCTTCTTTCGGAGGGCTGGATGATTACTTTATTATGAGAAGCAGGCAGCTGTGTTTGGCTTTTTCCTGGTAATCTAGTCTCTCTTTCATTTCATCTGCACAGGTTTCTCATTGTGAAGGGGCTCTTTCATTGAGATATTGCAGGATGGGACTGTTTCTTGCTACAGATTATGTAGCTGCCACAGATTTCAGAGAGCAAAAGAGACGTTGGGTAAGCTGGCTGTGCTCCAGGTTGGGTGTCGTTCTCTCGTTATGGGAGTTGAAGTTGTTTGCACTTTGCAGGAAGCTTTACGGTCCTCTGACAGGAATCTTTGTACATTGCTTAGACTCAAATACAAGGTGTCTTGTTCTCTCAGGCGAGCTTTGATTTTTCTTTGCCTTCATGAGGAATCCACTGTGCCCCCCAACAGCACTACTGGACATCCCCATCACAACAGGCGGCCTCTGAGACACTGTCTCAACCTCAACTGCACCTGTGAGAGGCTAATCCGAGGTGTGAGAAAACTGCTTCACCGTGGACTTGCCTTTGTCATGGTTTCTGCCTTTCCCAGATAGCCCTGCAAGTCCCAGGATGAAGGGAGAAAGTGAGGTCATGAGCCTGGCCGTCTTTCACTGACACCCACCTCTAGGATCTCAGGTATGATTCTATCACCTAAAGAACCCTTAATGACACAACAGAGTATGTCCCAATCCCCAAGGGATTCCATTCTTGCACACAGCCTCTTTTGGGCATGGAGTCAGAAGAGCAGTTTCCAGCAACTACCTCACAGTCTCAAAACGCCTCCTCCTCCAGTGGGACCGGTCCACGTACACAACCTGAAGTGGCCCTGAGGTGGAGATTTCTAGGGTCCTACAGCGGGTTTTTACAGGGAGCCTTTTTCCCGACATCATGCCGGCTTGGCCTGTACCATTTTCCTCTGCTTGCCTGCCTCAGGAATGTGCATGGGCTAGTCTCAGGTCACCAGCCGTGATTGTGAGCTCTGGCTAGTGCCATAATGAATGTCACCATTGCATAGCAACTAGTCCCTGCAGCTTAACAGTGAAGGAGACCCCCATGGGGGTGCATAGGTGGTGGACTCTCACCTGTCTTCTCTGTGGGATGCAAGGGATATTCCCATGACGCTAGGAGGGGACAGAAGTGAGCCAGCCTGAAGAAATGTCAAGCACAGCCCCAGCAATAAGCAGTGAAATCTGTAAGGATCCAAAAATCTCTGCAGGATTGCTCAGGTCTGCTAGACAATGTAGGGGTGAGTCTTTTTGAACCTTCTCCCACTGTGATTTGTAGGTACAGCCCACCTGTGTTCCTTGGGGTTGCTCTCTCCTGGGTGTGGCTTCCTGCAGAACCATGCAGCCTCAGGAGCTGCCGGGCTGGGTGTTTCTGTGGGAGTGTTGTGAGTGTCAGATGCCTGCATGTGTCTGTGTCATTGTGTGTTTGTGTGTGCATGTGTGTGTGCCTGTAAGTGGAATCGGCTTAAAGTAATGTGGATAATGCACTTCAATCTTTCTTTTTTTGAGTCTCCAAACCTTTTGGTGGCCTGCGTATGGCTCTGCTAGGGCTGAGGTGCTCAGTGTTCTTTGATTTTCTGTGGATCTTCAATCCACAGTGAATTAGGAGGAGTGCCAAGATGCACTAAATCACCTCCACCTGAAAAAAAAAGCCACCCTTCTAGAAAGAAAAGGAGCATAACACACACACACACACACACACACACACACACACACACACAGACATTTCCCAGTGTTTCACTGTCCGGCAGCTAACCCAGGGAGAGACATTAGCTGTCCTGCCTGCAGAGCCTATTGAATTTACCTAGAATTCAGTTCCCAGCTGAGCAGTTCCTTCAAGTTCTGAGGGGGCACTCCTCAATCGTCTTGGGATTTCATCCTGGGAAATAGAGTGTGAGCAGCAATAAGGTAAGACAGAGGTGAGAATACAATCATACAACCTCTTGAGGGGAAGGTTGGGTCCTGCAACTTCACCTGCAAAACAAAAATGAAAACAGATGACATAAAAGGTGCTTCCAACTCCATCCTTGCATTCCCTTAATTACACAAGCCGTCCACATCTTGGCTTGGTGTTCAGGTGGGAGTACTCCAACGTGCAAGCCACATTTGGAGTCCAAAATGAGGCCATCCTGTCAAATTCCCCATTTGAGGGCTTTCATACCCAGAGCCAAATGGGAGTGGAATGTGTTGATGTTGGGTGGGATATGGCCTCCAGACTTGCCTCTTCTTTTCTTTACTTCCATGTTCCTCATTGGCCTAGGGTTTCCTGGGTCTGGCTCAATGACTTCCGCACTAAATGTTTCCAACTTCATGGACAACATGCCTGATGGGAATCCATTGTGTGAGTGTGTTCTTCTTAACACTGTCACGTTTTAATGATTGGGCTGCTTTGACACTTTTAAAACCATAAATTCTCACTACAGCCACAAACAAGGAAACTCTTTGTTTTCTCACTTCTATCAAATGGCTGCATGGTTCCTGTAGGATGAGAGGCAGGCAGCCATGACTGGCTTTTGCCTGGTAATCTAGCCCCTGTTTTATTTCATCTACATGGCCTTCTCATTGTGGAGGGGTTCTTTCTTTGGAACTGGATGGGACTGCGTCTCATCACAGATTATTCAGCTGAAAGTGATTGCAGAGAGCAAGAGGCACTTCAGGTAGGCTGGCTGCACTCCAGTTTGTGGGTTGTTCTCTTATTGTGGTTGCTGAGGTTGTTTGCACTTAGCAGGAGGTTGTTGGGTCCTCTCACAGAAATCATTGAACATTGCTTGGACTCCAGCACAAGGCAGCTCATTCTCTTAGGCAAGCTTTGATTTCTCTTTGCTCTCATAGGAAATCCTCAGTGCCCCTCAACAGCACTACTGGACATCCCTATCACCACAGATGGCCTCTGAGACATTGTCTCAACCTCATCTGCACCTGTGAGAGGCCAGTCCGAGGGGTGAGAACACTGATCCACTTTGGACTTGCCTTTGTCCTGGTTCCTGCCTTTCCCAGAGAGCCCCTGTGAGGCCCAGGATGAAGGGAGGCAGTGAAGTCAACAGCCTGGCCATATTTCGACACTACAACTGCCTCTGGGGTCTCAAGTATGATTCTATCTCCCAAAGAACCCTCAACAACACACCACACTATATTCCAATCACCATGGACCTGAGTCTTGCACACAGCTTCTTTCAAGAATGGAGTCAGAAAAGCAGTTATCAGCAACGACCTCACAGTCGTGAATTGCCTTGACCTCCAGCGTGACCCGACCACAGAGATGACTCGAAGGGGCCCTAAGATCAAGACTTTCAGGGTTTCCCAGTGGGTTTTCGTAGGCGGACTTTTTCCCGATATCAGGCAGGCTCTGCCGGTACCATTTTCCTCTGCATAGGCAGGCTGACATCTCTGACAGCCTAGCGTGGGCGCCTCCATCGCGAATGCGCATGCGCTAGTCTTAGGGCACGGGGCCTGAGCTGTGAGCTGTGGTTAACATCCCAATAAATGCCTCCGTTCCCTAGCCACAAGTCCCTGTGGCTCGACTTAGAAGGACACCTTGGTGGAGGTGCGTCGGCAGTGGTCTCTTGCCTGCCTTATCTGTGGGATCCATGGGATAGTCCCATGTTCCTAAGAGAGGTCAGACGTGAGCAGCCTGAAGAAACCTCAAGCAGAGCCCAAGGAATAAATCACGAAATCCCTAAGGATCTAAAAGGATCTGCATGATGCCTCAGACCTGCCTAGATGTTGTAGGGGTGAGTCTTTTCGAAATTTGCCCTACTGTGATTTATTGGTACAGCCCTCCTGTATTCCCAAAGATGCTGTCTCCCAAGTGGGGCTGTCTGCAGAACCATGCAGCCTCAGAAGCTACTGGGCTGTGTGATTCTGTGAGAGTGTTGCAATTGTTGGGTATCTGCCTGTGTGTGGCTGTGTGTGTGTGTGTGGGTGGGTGTATCTGTGTCTCTGTCTCTGTCTGTATGCCTATAAGTGGAGTCCGCTTAAAAAAATGTGGCTAACACGCTGCAGAGCTGCTTTTTGTATTTTTTGTTTTTTTATTCCTCCAAGCTTTTGGTGGGCTGTCTCTGTGGCTCTGCTTGGGCTATATGGCTCCGTGTTTTTTATTCATTCTTCTGTGGGTCATGAACTTATAGTGAATTGGGAGTTTGACTGAGACCAGCTGGGATCCAAATCACCTCCCCCTGCAAAAGAAGCCACTCTTCCAGAAAGAAGAGGAGCACACCACACCCATAAACAGACATCTAGTGTTTCATTGTCCTGTGGCCAACCCAAGGAGGGATACTAGCATTCCTGTCTGCAGACCCCATTGAATTTACATCACATTTGGTTATCGGTTGAGTAGGAGCTTCACATCATGAGGGGACAGTCCTCTGTCATCTTCGTTCTGGGACAGAGAGTGTGAACAGCAATAAGGTCAGTTAGGTGTGTGGATACAATCTGGTGAGGGGTGGATGGGGTCCTGCACCTTCACCTGAAAAATGGTGAAGACAGTTGACACAGAAGTTACTTCCAACTGCATCCTTTCATTCTCTTAACTGTACAAGCAGTCCACATGATGACCCAGTGTTGAGGTGGGAGTACTTCAACGTGCATGGAACATGTGCAGTGCAAACTGGGACCATCCTGGCAAACTCCTGATTTGAGGGCTTTGATAACAGGAGCCAGATGAAAGCAAGATGGATAGTTGCTGGGTGGGATGTGACCCCTACACTTGCCTCTTCTTTTCCTTACTTTCATGATCCTCATCCTGGATCTGGTCAATACCGTCCACACTAAATATTTCCTAGTTCACAGAGGACGACCCTCATGAGAATCAATTGTGTGAGTGTTTCCTTCTAAACACCGTCATGTTTTAATGACTGCACATCTGAGATATTTTAAAACTGTAAATTCCTGTTAAAGCCACCAACAAGAAAACTCTTATTCTCCCACTTCTATGTGAGGGCTGCATGATTCCTGTAGGATGAAAAGCAGGTAGCCATGTCTGGCTTTTGCCTGGTAATTTAGACTCTGTTTCATTGTGCTTGCATGTCCTTTCTCACTGAGGAGTGGGTGTTTCATTGGGCTGTTGCTGTATGGGACTGTCTCTCACCACAGATCCTTGCTGGAGATTTCAGAGAGCAAAAGAGACTTCAGGTAGGCTGACTTCACTCCAGGTTGTGGGTTGTGGTCTCGTCTTGGGGATTGAGGTTGTCTGCACTTTGCAGATGGATTTGGGTCCTCTGAAAGTAGTGTTTCAGCATTGCTTGGACTTCAACACAATTCAGCTGATTCTCTCACAGGAGCTTTGATTTTTTCTCATTTTCATGGAGAGTACACATTGCCCCTAAAGAGTATTACTGCACACCCTTTTCAGGCTTACGGTCACAACAAATGGCCTCTGAGACACTGTCTCAACCTCATCTGCACCCATGAGAGGCCAGTTCGTGGTGTGAGAACACTACTCCACCATATACTTGCCTTTGTCGTGGTTCCTGCCTTTCCCAGAGAGCACCTGTGAGGCCCAGGATGAAGGCAGGCAGTGACGTCCAGGGCACAGACATGTTTTGTTGACACCTGCCTCTGCAGTCTCAGGTATGATTCTATCACCCAGAGACCCCTCAACGACTCACCAGACTATATTCCAATTGTTATGGGACCCGATTCCTGCTCACAGCCTCTTTCAGGAATGGAGTTAGAAGTGCAGTTTCCAGTGACCAGGCCACAGTCTCAAATTGGCTCCACCTCTAGTGAAACCCGACCAAGAAGATGGCTTGAAAAAGACCTAAGGGTGAGAATTTTAGGGTCTCTCAGTGGGTTATCTCAGGCAGCCATTTTCCCAGCACCAGGCCAGCTCTGCCTGTACCATTTTTCTCTGCTTAGACAGGCTGACAGCTCTGAGAGCTGGACCCCCAAGCCTGTGACACGAATGCAAATGTGCTAGTGTCCTGTCACCAGGCCAGAGTTGTGAGCTCTGGCAAGCGTCACAATGAATGACAGTGTTGCCTAGCAACAAGTCCCTGGGGCTTGGTGGAGAAGGAGGCCACCGTAGATGTGTACTGGAAGTACACTTTCACCTGTCTTCTCTGTGGGATCCACAGGATGTTCTGGTTATCCTAGGAGAGGGCAGACACAAGCCATCATGAAGAAAGATCAAACATAGCCCCAGGAATAATCTGCAAAATCCCTAAGGATCCAGAAGAATCTGCAGGATGCCTCAGGCCTCCCTAGACATAGTAGGGTTGAGTCTTTTTGAAACTTGCCCCCACTGTGATTTCTTGGTACAGCCCACCTGTGTTGCCTGGGGTTGTTCTCTCCCAGGTGGGGATTCCTGCAGAACCATGCAGCCTCAGGACCTGCAGGGCTGTAGTTTCTGTGGGAGTGTTGTGAGTTTGGTTGTCTCTGTGTGTGTGGCTTTGTGTGTGTGTGTATGTGTGTGTGTGCATTTAAGTGGAGTCTGTGCAAGTGAATTAGGCTAATGCACTGCAGCACTTTTTTTTGTTTCCCATCCTTTTGGTGGCCTGTGTGTCTTTGCTTGGGCTGTAGGTCCCTGTGTTCTTTATTTTTATGTGGATCAAGAATCCACAGTGATTTGGGAGGCTGGCTCTTACCTGCCATGGTCCAAATCTCCTACACATGCAAAAAAAACAGCCACTCTACTAGAAAGAAGAGGAGCACACCTCACCCAATAATGTACATCTTTGACTGTTTGACCTGTGGCCAACCCAGGGAGAGACACCAGCAGTTCTGTTGGCAGGGCCCCTTGAATTTACCTGTAATTCAGTTCACAATAGAGCAAGTGTTTCCCATTGTGAGGGAGCACTCCTCAATTATCTTGGGAATTCATCGTGGGACATTCAGTGTGAGCAGCAATAAGGTCAAATAGGAGTGAGGATACAATCTGGTGAAGTTTCAGTGCGGACCCACACCTTCACCTGCAAAAAAGCTGAAGACTGATGGTGCAGAAGTTACTTCCAACAGCATCCCCACATTTTCTTAATTGCACAAGCCATCCACATCATGGCCTGGAGTTCAGGTGGGAGTACTTCTCCATGCAGGGAACGTTTGGACTGCATACTCAACAATGCTGGCAAACTCCCAATTTCAGGGCTGTCATACCCAGAACTAAATGGATGTGGTATGGATTGATGCTGGGTGGGATGTGGCCTTCACACTTGACTCCTCTTCTCCTGACTTTCATTTTCCCTGTTGGCCTAGGGTTTCTTGGATCTGCCTAAATGTCTACCACAGTAAATTTCCCAGTTCATGGAGGATGACCCTCATTTGAATCCACTGTGTGAGTGTTTCCTTCTAAACACTGTCAAGTTTTAATGACTGGGCAGCTTTGATACTTTTAAAGCTGTAAATATCAGTTACAGCTGCCAACAAGGAAACTCTTATTCTCCCACTTCTTTCAGAGGGCTGCAAGATTCCTGTATGATGAAAAGCAGGCAGCCGTGTCTGGCATTGCCTGGTAATCTAGCCTCTGTTTCAATTCATCTGCAAGTCCTTTCTCATTGTGGAGGGGCTCTTTCATTGGGTTGTTGCTGCATTGCATTGCCTCTCGCCCCAGATCTCTTGGCTGCCAGGGATTTCAGGGAGCAAAAGGGACTTGGGGTAGGCTGGCTGCACTCCAGGTTGTGGGCCATTGTCTCATTGTGGGGGCTGAGATTGTTTGAACTTTGCAGGAGGCTTTGGGTCCTCTTACAGGAATCATTGAGTATTGTGTGGACTCCAGCACAAGGCATCTCATTCTCTTAAGGGAGCCTTGATTTTTCTTTGCTTTCATGGAGAATCCACAGTGATACACAACAGCACTACTAGACACCCTTTTCAGGCTTTCCATTGCCACAGACGGCCTCTGATACACTGTCTCAATCTCATCTGCATCCGTGAGAGGCAAGTCCAATGAGTGAGAACACTGCTGCACCTTGGGCTTGCCTTTGTCATGGTTCATGCATTTCCCAGAGAGCCCCTGTGAGGCCCAGGATGAAGGGAGACTGGGAGGGCATGAGCCCAGCCATCTTCCTCTGATACCCACCTCTGGGGTCTCAGGTATGATTCTATTGCTCAAAGAACTCACAACAAACAACAGACTATATTCTGATCCACAGTGTACCTGATTCTTGCACACAACTTCTTTCAAGAATGGAGACAGAAGTGCCGTTTCCAGTGACCACTTCAGAGTGTCGAAAAGCCTCCTACTTCAGCAAAAGCTCACCACCAAGACAGCCAGAAGTGTCTCTGAGATTGAGACATTTAGGGTCCCACAGATGGTTTTTGCAGGCAGCCTTTTTTCCGATACCAGGCTGGCTCTGCCTGTCCCAGTTTCCTCTGCTTAGGGAGACTGACAGCTCTAACAGCATGGTGCCCAAGCCTGCCACATGAGTGCACATATGCTAGCCTCAGAGCACCAGGACTGCCTGTGAGCTCTGGTTAGCCTCACAGTGAATTTAACCATTGCTTAGCGACCAGTCCCTGTGGCTTGGTGGAGAAAAAGTCATCCATGGAGGTCTGTCAGTGGAAGACTCTCACCTGTCTTCTCTGTGGGATCCAGGGGACAGTCCCATGATCCTAGGGGAGGACATACATCAGCCAGCCTGAAGAAACATCAAGCAGAGCTCCAGGAAGAACCTACAATATATCTAATGTTCCAAAAGTTTCCACAGGACTCCTCAGGCCTGCCTAGACATTGTAGGGGTGAGTCTTTTTGAAACTTGCTGCACTGTGATTTCTAGGTACAGCCTGCCTGTGTTCTCCAGGTTACTTACTCCCATGTGGGGCTTCCTGCAGAACTATGCAGCCTCAGGAAATGCTGGGCTGCCTGTTTCTGTGGAATTGTTGAGAATGTTTGATGTCTGTGTGTGTGCTGGACATTGTTTGTGTGTGTGTGTGTGCTGGACATTGTTTGTGTGTGTGTGTGTGTGTGACTGTAAATGGAGTCTGCTTAAAGGAACATGGCTAACGCACTTCAGTGCTTCATTTCTTTGAGTCACACAACCTTTTGTTGGCCTGTCTGTGTGGCTGTGCTTGGGCTGCTGGTACCTGTGTTCTTTACTTTTCTGTGGATCATGAATCCACAGTGAATTGGGAGGCAGGCAGAGACTCGCTGGCATACAAATCACCTCCCTTTGCAAAACAAAAAACAAAAAAAAAAAAACACCGGACACAGCACAGTACACCAAAAAACAGACATCTCCCAGTGTTTCATTGTCCTTTGGCAAACTCAGTAAGAGACATTAGCAGTCCTGTCCACAGGGCTCCTTTTATTTACCTCGAATTCAGTTCACAGGAGAGCAGGTGCTTCATATCATGAGGGTACACTCCTCCATCATGTTGGGATTTCATCCTGGGACATAGAGTGTGAGCAGCAATAAGATAAGATAGGGGTAAGGATACAATCTGAAGGGTGGATGGGGTCCCACAACTTCACCTGCAAAAAAAATGAAGACAGATGACACAGAAAGTGCTTCCAACTCCATCACCATATTCCTTTAATTGCACAACCAGTCCACACCATGGCTCTGTATTCAGGTGGGAGTACCCCAACCTGCAAGAAACATTTGGAGTGCAAATTAAGGCCATTTTAGAAAACTGACAATTTGAGGGCTTTCATGCCAGGAGACAAATAGGAGTGGAATGGATTGATGCTGGGTGTGATGTGGCCTGCAGATTCGGCCTCTTCTTCTCCTGACTTCCATATTTGTTATCAGCCTAGGGTTTCCTGCATCTGGCTCAAGGACTTCCACACTAATCATTTCCCAGTCACAGAGAACGACCGTTACTGGAACCCATTGCATGAGTGTTTCCCTCTGAACACTGTCAGGTTTTAATTACTGGGCTGCTTTGATACTTTCAAAACCATAAATTCCCATTACATCTGCTCACAAGGAAACTCTTGTTCTCAAGCTTCTATTCGAGGGCTTCATGACCCCTGCAGGATGAGAAGCAGGTAGTCATATTTGGCTTCTGCTTGGTAATCTAGCCTCTATTTCATTTCATCTGCATAGGCTTTTCATTGTGGAGGGGTTCTTTCATTGGGCTGTTGCTAGATAAAGCTGTCTCTCACCACAGATTATTTAGATGTCAGGGATTGCAGAGAGCAAAAGGGACTTTGGGTAGGCTGTCTGCACTCCAGATTGTGGGTCATTGTCTCCTTTTGGGGGTTGAAGTTGTTTGCACTTTTCAGGAGGATTTTGGGTCCTCTGACAGGAATCAGTGAACATTGATTAGTCTCCAGCACACGGCAGCTCATCCTCCCAGGTGAACTTTGATTTTTCTTTGCTGTCATGGGGAATCCACAGTGCTCCTCATCAGCAGTTCTGTACACCCTTATCATGCTTGCCATCAACACATATCGCCTCTGAGACAGGGTATCAACCTCATCTGCACCAGTGAGATGTCAATCCGAGGTGTAACAAAACTGTTCCACAGTGGACTTGCCTTTATCATGGCTCCTGCCTTTCCCAGAGAGCTTCTGCAAGACCCACAATGAAGAGAGGCAGTGATGGCAAGAGCCCAGCCATCTTTCTCTGACACCCGCCTCTGGGGTCTCAGGTATGATTCTATCACCCAAAGAACCCTCAACAACCCATCAGATTATATTTCATTTCCTAGCGGACCCAATTCTTACACAAAGTTTCTTTCAGCAACGGAGTCAGAAGATCAGTTTCCAGTGACTACCTCACAGTATCGAAACGTCTTCTCCTCCAGCACAACCCGACCACAGAGATGGCACGAATGGTTCCTGAGTTTGAGACTTTTAGGGTCTTGAAGTGGGTTTTGACAGCCAGCCTTTTTCACAATAACAGGTCACTTCTGCCTGTACCATTTTCCTCTGCTTAGGCAGCCTGACAGCTCTGATGGCCTGGCACCTGAGCCTGCCTCACAAATGCACATGCACTACTCTTGGGGCACCAGGCCTCATTGTGAGCTCTGGCTAGAGTCACAACATATGTCACTGCTGCCTAGGGACAAGTCTCTGCAGCTTGGCAGAGAAGGAGAACTCCGTGGAAGTGCATCAGCAGTGGACTCTCGCCTGTCTTCTCAGTGGGACACAGGGCATATTCCCATGATCCTTGGAGAGGGCAGATGTGAACCAGCCTGAAGAAACATGAAGCACAGTCCCTTCAATAAATTGTGAAATCCCTAAGGATCCAAAAGGATCTACAGGATTCTTCAGGCCTGCCTAGTTTTTGTAGTGGTGAATCTTTTTGAAACTTGCTCCACTGAGATTTCTAGGTAGAGCCCACCTGTGTCCCTGTGATCATTCTCTCCCAGGTATGGCTTCCTGCAGAACCACACAGCCTCAGGATCTACCAGGCTGTGTGTTTCCATAGAATTGTTGCTAGTGTTGGATGTCTGTGTGTGTATATTGCATTGTGTGTTTGTGAGTGCTTGTGTGTGTGTGTTTGCCTGTAAGCGGAGACTTCTTAAAGGAATGTGTCTAATGCACTTCAGCACTTTTTTATTGTTGTTGAGTCTCCAAACATTTTGGTTGCTTTTCTGCGTGGCTCTGCTTGGGCTGTGTGGCTCCATGTCATTCATTTTTCTGTGGGTCTGAATCCACAGTGAACTGGGAGGTGGGCAAAGACCCACCGGCTTTCAAATCACCTCCCCCTGCAAAAAAACAAAACAAAACAAAACAAAACAAACCTCTCTTCTAGAAAGAAGAGGAGCCCCTACCACATGAAAAACAGACATCTCCCAGGTTTTCATTGTCCTGTGGCCAACCCAGGGAGAAACCCTCACAGTCCTGTCTGCAGTGCCCCTTGAATTTACATTGAATTCGGTTCCCAGGAGAGCAGGTGTTTCACATTGTGAGGGGACACTTCTCCATCATCTTGGGATTTCATTCTGGGACATACAGTGTGAGATGCAATCAGTTCAGAAAGGGGTGAAGATACAGACTGGTGAAGGGTGGATGGGTTCTTGCAACTTCAACTGCAAAAAGATTGAAGACAGGTGTCACAGAAGGTGCTTCCAACACCATCTCTACATTCAATTAATTACACAAGCAGTCCACACTATGGCCTGGTGTTCACGTGAGAGTATTCCAATGTACAAGGAACATTTGGAGTGCAAATTGGGGCCATCCTGGTACACTCCTGATTTGAGGGCTTTCATACCCAAAGCCAAATTGGAATGGAATGGATTGATGCTGGGTGAGATATGACCTCCACACTTGCCTCTTCTTTTCTGGACTTCCATGTTTCTCATTGACCTAGGGTTTCCTGGTTATGGCTCAAAGACTTCCACAGTAAACTTTTTCCAGTTCACAGAGAATGATCCTCATGGGAATCCACTGTGTGAGAGTTTCCTTCTAAACACTGTCATTTTTAATGACTGGGCAGATTTGATACTTTTAAAACTGTAAATTCCCATTACATCCACCAGCAAGGGAACTCTTGTTCTCTCACTTCTATCAGAGTGCTGCATGATTTCTGCAGGATGAAAAGCAGGTAGCCGTGTTTGATTTTTGCCTCATAATCTAGTGTATTTTTCACCTCATCTGCATGTTCTTTTCACTGTGGAGGGGCTGGCTCCTTCATTGGGCTGTTGCTGCTTGGGACTGCCTCTCCCCACAGAGTAGTTAGCTGCCAGGAATTTCAGACAGCAAAACGGACTTCGGGTATGTCAGCTGCCCTTCATGTTGTGGGATGTTGTCTCGTTGTGGGGGCTGAGGTTGTTTACATTTTGCAGGAGTCTTTTTGGTCCTCTGACAGGAGTCATTGAACATTGCTTGTACTCTGCCATAATGCATCTCTTTCTCTCAGGCAAGCCTTGATTTTTCTTTGCTTTCAAGGGGAATACACAGTGCCCCTCAACAACACTACTGGACACCCTTTCAGAC
Organism: Homo sapiens; assembly: GCF_000001405.40. Classification (NCBI taxonomy): domain Eukaryota; kingdom Metazoa; phylum Chordata; class Mammalia; order Primates; family Hominidae; genus Homo; species Homo sapiens. The sequence goes on from NC_000024.10 coordinate 21,834,674, forward strand.
TTTGCACTGCCACAGACATCTTCTGAGATACTTTCTTAACCTCATGTGAACCTGCAAGAAGCCAGTCCGAGGTGTGAGAACACTGCTCCACCTTGGACTTGCCTTTGTTGTGGTTTCTGCCTCTCCCAAAGAGCCCCTGTGAGGCTCAGGATGAAGGGTGGCAGTGAGGTCAAGAGCCTGACCATCTTTTGCTGGCACCCACCTCTGGGATCTCAGATGTTTCTATCACCGAAAGTACCTTCAGAAACACACCAGACTATATTCCAATCCCCATGGGACCCTATTCTTGCCCACAGCCTCTTTGGAGAATAAAGTCAGAAGAGCAGTTTCCAGTGACCACCTCACAGTCTGAAAATGCCTCCTCCTCCAGTGGGACCAGACCACAGAGATGGCCCCAAGGGGCCCTGTCGTGGAGAAATTTAGTGTCCCACAGTGGGTATTCGCAGGCAGCCTTTATTGCAACACCAGGCCAGTTTGGTCTGCAGTATTTTCCTGTGCTTAGGCAGGCTGACAGTTCTGACAGCCAGACATCCTTGCCTGCCTCAGGACTGCGCATGTGCTAGACTCAGGGAACGAGGCCTGATTATGAGCCCTGGCTTGTGTCAAAACAATTGTCATCGTTGCCTAACTACAAGGCCCTTGGCTTGGCGGCAAAGGAGGCCTCTGTGTAGGTGCAATGGCAGTGGGCTCTCGCCTCTTTTCTGTTGGATTCTCCAGATAGTCCCATGATCCCAAGAGAGGGCAGATGTGAGCTAGCCTAAAGCAACCTCAAGCACAACCCCAGGAATAAATTGTGAAATCTGTAAGAATCCAAAAGTATCTGCAGGATTCCTCAGGCCTGTATAGCTGTTGTGGGGGTGAGTCTTTTTTAAACTTGCCCCACTGTGATTTCTAGATACAGCCTGCCTGTGTTCCAACAGGTTACTCTCTCCCAGGTGGGGCTTTCGGCAGAACCATGCGTCCTCAGTAGCTGCTGGGCTGTGTGCCTGTGGGAGGCTTGCGAGTGTTGGATATGTGTGTGTGTGTGTGTGTGTGTGTGTGTGTGTGTATGTGCATCTGCCTCTAAGTGGAGTCTGTTTAAAGGAATGAGGCTGACACACTTAAGCGCTTCTTCTTTTTTTTTTTTTTCAGTCTCCCAACCTAGTGTTTTCCTGTCTGTATGGCTCTGCTTGGGCTGCAGGGCTTTGTTTTCTTTATTTTTCTGTGGATCATGAATCCACAGATAATTGGGAGGTGTGCCATGAACCACCGGCTTTCAAATCAGCTCTGCCTGCAAAATATAAACAAACAAACAAACAAATAAATGCCACACGAAAAAACAGGCATCTCCCAGTGTTTCATTGTTCTGCAGCCAACCCAGGGAGAAACATTAGCAATCTTTTCCACAGGGAGATACACAAAGCCACACGCACATGCAGACATCAAACACTCACAACACTCTCACAGAAAAAGACAGCCCAGCATCTCCTGAGGCTGCCTGGTACTGCAGGAAGCTTCACTTGGGAGACAGCAACCCTGGGGAACCCATGTGGGCTGTGCTTAGAAAACAGAGTGGGGCAATTTTCAAAAAGACTCACCCCTACAACATCTAGGTAGAACTGAGGCATCTTGAAGATCCTTTTGGACCCTTAGGGATTCCCCGGTTAATTCCTGCAGCACTTCTTGAAGTTTCCTCAGGCTGGCTCACGTCAGCCTTCTCCTAGGATCATGGGATTATCCTGAGGATCCCACAAAGAAGACAAGTGAGAGTCTCCCACCGACCTACCTCCATGGAGGTTTCCATCTCCGCCACACTGCAGGGACTTGTCTCTAGGCAACGGTGGCATTCATTGTGACGCCATCCAGAGCTTACAGCTCAGGCCTCCTGCCCTGAGACTAGCACATGCAAATTCGTGAGGCAAGGTTGGGTGCCCAGCTGTCAGAGATTTCTGCCTGCCTAAACAGAGGTAAATAGTACAGGCAGAGCCGGCCTGGTATCAGAAAAAAGCCTGACTGTGATAATTCACTGAGGGACACTAAAAGTCTCAACCTTAGAGCTCCCTCCGGTTGTCTCCATGGTCTGGCCTTACTTCAGCAGGACACATTTTGAGACTATGAGGTGGATGCTGGAAACTGCTTTTCTGACTCCTTGCCCAAAAGAGGCTGTGTGTTAAGAATCAGGTCCTATTGAGAGAAGCTGGCTGGGCTTCTGGGTCCAGTGGGGACTTGGAGAACTTTTCTCTCTAGCTAAATGATTGTAAACACACCAATCAGCACTCTGTAAAAATGGACCAATCACCACTCTGTAAAACAGACCCATCGGCACTCTGTAAAATGGACCAATCAGCAGAACGTGGGTGGGGCCAAATAAGGGAATAAAAGCTGGCCACCTGAGCTAGCAGTGGCAACCCGGGGGGTTCCTCCCATGGTGTGGAGGGTTCCTTCTTTCGCTCTTCACAATAAATCTTGCTGCTGCTCAGCCTTTGGGTCTGCACTACTTTTATGAGCTGTAACACTGACTGAAAATGTCTGTGGCTTTACTCCTGAAGTCAGCGAGACCATGAACCCACCAGGAGGAACAAGCAACTCTGGAGGCGCCACCTTTAAGAGCTGTAACACTCACTGGGAAGGTCTGCGGATTCACTACTGATGTCAAGTGGGACCATGAACCCACCAGAAGGAAGAAACTCTGGACACATCTGAACATCTGAAGGAACAAACTCTGGACACACCATCTTTAAGAACTACAACACTCACCCCAAGGGTCCACAGCTTCATTCTTGAAGTCAGCAAGACTAAGAACCCACCAGAAGGAACAAATTCTGGTCACACCATGGGGATTGGAATATAGTCTGGTGAGTTTCTGTGGGTTTTTGGGTGATGGAATCATAACTGAGACCCCAGAGGCGGGTGTCTGCAAAAGATGGCTGGGCTCTTGACCTCATCCTCCCACTGCCCACTGCCTCCCTTCATCCTGGCCTTATAAGGGCTCCCAGAGAAAGGCTGGAACCATGACAAAAGTAGGTCCAAGTTGGAGCAGTGTTCTCACACCTCAAACTGGCCTCTCAAAGGTGCAAACAAGGTTGAGACAGTGTCTCAGAGGCTGTCTGTGACAATTGCAAGCCTGGAATGGTGTCCAGCAGTGCTGTTGAGGGGCAATGTGGACCCCCCATGAAAGCAAAGAAAACTCAAAGCTTGCCTGAGAGAATGAACTGACTAGTGTCAGAGACGCAGCAATATTCAAAGGTATATGTCAAAAGACCCAAAATCCTCTGTCAAAGTGCAAATAAATTCAGCCCCCAAAATGAGAACACAAGCCACAACCTGGAACATAGCCAGCCTACCTAAAGTCCTTCTTGCTCCCTGAAATTCCTGGCATCCAAAAGATGAGTGATGATAGGCAGTCCCATTCAGCAAGAACACAATGAAAGATCCACTCAACAATGAGAAGACCATGCAAATAAAAGTGAAACAGAGTCTAGATTACCAGGTAAAAGCCAAACACAGCTGTCTGCTTCTCATCCTACAGGAATCATGAAGCCCTCTGATAGAAGTGAAAGAACAAGAGTTTCCTTGTTGACAGCTGTCACGGCAATTTATGGTTTTAAATTATCAATGCTGCCCAGTCATTAAAAAGTGACAGGGTTTAGAAGGAAACACTCATGTGATGGATTCCCATGAGGGTCATTCTCTGAGAAGTGGGAAAGATTTAGTGTGGAAGCCATTGTGCAAGACCCAGGAAACCCTAGGCTGACGAGGAACCTGGAAGTCAAGAAAAGAAGAGGTCACCCCTCCCAGCATTAACCCATTCCATCCCCATTCCAACCTATTTGGCTATGGGTGTGAAAGCCATAAATCAGGAGTTTGTCAGGATGGGCCCAATTTGCACTCCAAATACTCCCTGAACATTGGATTACTTCCACCTGAAAAATAGGCCGTGATGGGGACCGCTTGCACAATTAGCAGAATGGGGGGATGGATTTGGAAGCAACTTCAGTGTCATCTGTCTTCATTTTTTTTTTTGCAGTTGAAATTGTGGGACCCATCCACTCCTCACTAGATTGTATCCTCAACCCTATCTGACCTTATTGCTGCTCACACTCTGTGTCCCAGGATGAAATCTCAAGATGATGGAGGAGTGCCCCCTTTGACCTGAAGCACCTGCTCAGCTAGGAACCAAATTCAAGGTAAGTTTCAGAGTTACTGGGGAAAGGACTGCTAGTGTCTCTCATTGGGTTGACCACAGGACAATGAAACAGTGGGAGATGTCTGTTTTCTAGTGTTGTGTGTTCCTCATCTTTCTAGAAGAGTGCTTTTTGTTCATTTGCTTGTTTGTTTGTTTTGCAGGGGGAGGTGACTTGGACGCTGGCAAGTCTCGACCCGCCCCCCAATATACTGGGGATTCATGATCCACAGAAAAATAGAGAACACAGCCCTGCGACTAAAGCAAAGCCACACAGACAAGCCATCAAAATGTTGAGAGACTCAAATAAAGAAGCACTGAAATGTGTTAGCCACATTCTTTTAAGCAGACTCCATTTGCAGGAACACACACACACAAAGACACAATACCACACAAACACATGCAGAAATCTGACACTCATAACACTCCCACAGAAACACACAGCCCGGCAGCTTCTGAGGCTGTGTGTTTCTGTAGGAAGCCCCACCTTGGAGAGAGCAACCCCAGGGAACAGAGGCAGGCTCTAACTAAAAATATCATGGGGGCAAGTTTCATAAAGACTCACTCCTAGAACTCCTGGGCAGGCCTAAGGAATCCTGCAGATGATTTTGGATCCACAGGGATTTTGTAGTTTATTCCTGGGGCTCTGCTTGACATTTCTTCAGGCTCACTCACATCTTTCTCTCCTAGGATCATGGGATTATTCCATGTATCCCACAGAGAAGACAGGTGAGAGTCCACCAGCGCACCTCCACAGAGGTCTCTTTCTCCACAAGCTGCAGGGACTTGTCTCTTGCCAACAGTGACATTCCTTGTGACACTTGCCAGAACTCAAAATCAGGCATGGTGCCCTGAGTCTAGCTCATGCACATTCGTGAGGCAGGCTCTGGCATCCGGCTGTCAGAGCTGTCAGCCTGACTAAGCAGAGGAAAATGCTGCAAGCAGAGCCGGCCTTGTATCAGGAAAAAGGATGCCTATGAAAACCCACTGCGAGACCCTAAAAGTCTCAAACTCAGGGCCTCTTTGGGCCATCTCCATGGTCAGGTCCCACTGGAGGAGGAGGTGTTTCAAGACTGTGAGGTGGTCGCTGGAAACTGCTCTTCTGACTCTATTCCTGAAAGAGGCTGTGTGCAAGAATCAGGTCCCATGGAGATTGGAATAGAGTCTCTTGTGTTGTTGGGGTTCTTTGGGTGATAGAATTATACTTGAAACCCCAGAGGTGGGCATCACTAAAAGATGCCCGAGCTTGACCTCATGGCATCCCTTCATCCTGGGTCTCACAGGGGCTGTCTGGAAAAGTCAGGAACCATCACAGAGGAAAGTCCAAGGTGAAGCAGTTGTCTCACACCACAGACTGGTCTCTCCTTGGTGCAGATGAGGTTGACACAGTGACTCAGAGGCTGTCTGTGGTGATAGTAAGCCTGAAAATTGTGTTCAGCAGTGCTGTAGTGCTGTTAAGGGTCATTGTAGATTTTTCATGAAAGCAAGGAAAAAACAAGGCTTGCCTGAGGAAATGAGCTGCCTTGTGCTGGAGTCCAAACTTGGACTGAACTCTTATGGGTAAAGATAAGGTAGAGACCATGTCTCAGAGGTCATCTTTGATGATGCCAAGCCTGAAAATGATATCCAGTAGAGCTGTTGAAGGACACTGTAGATTGTCCATAAAAGCAAAGAAAAATCAAGGTTCACCTGATAGAATGAGCTGCATTGACCTGGAGTTTAAGCAATGTTCAATGCTTCCTGTTAGAGGTCCCAAAAGCCTCCTGCAAATTGCAAACAACCTCAGCCCCCATAACGAGACAACGACTCAAAACTTGGAGCACCGCCAGACTCCTCAAAGTCCCTTTTGCTCTTTGAAATCTCTGGAAGCAAAATAATCTTTGGCAAGAGGCAGTCCCATCCAGCCACAGCCCAATGAAAGAACCCCCACTCAACGAGAAGACCATGTAGATGAAAAAAATCAGAGACTAGATTGCCAGGCAAAAGCCAGACAGGGCTGCCTGCTTCTCATCCTACAGGAATCATGCGGAATGCCAAGAGAAGTGAAAAAAAAAAGAGTTTCCTTGTTGGCAGCTGTAAGGGAATTTACAGTTTTAAAGGTATCAAAGCTGCCCAGTCATTAAATTGTGACAGTGTTTAGAAGGAAACACTCAGGCAATGGATTCCCATTAGGGTCATTCTCTGTGAACTGAGAAACGTTTACTGTGTCATTGAGCCAGACACAGGAAAACCTGCACCAACAAGAAACATGGACATCAGAGAAAGAAGAGTCAAGTGTGGAGGCCATATCCCACCAAGCATCAATCCATTTCATTCCCATTTGGCTCCCGGTATGAAAGCCCTCAAATTGGGAGTTTGCCAAGATGACCCCAATTTGCACTCCAAATGTTCTTGCCCATTGGAGTACTTTCACCTGAACACCATGCTATGGTGTGGACTACTTGTGCAATTAAGGGAATGTTGGGATGGAGTTGGAAGTATCTTCTGTGTCATCTGTCTTCATTTTTTTGCAGGTGAAGTTGTGGGATCTCATCCAATTCCCACCAGATTGTATCCTCACCCCTGTCTGACCTTATTGCTGCTCACACTCTATGTCCCAAAATGAAAACCCAAGTTGATGGAGTATTGCCCCCTCATGATGTGAAGAAACTGCTTGGCTGGGACCTGAATTTGAGGTAAATTCAAGGGCCCTATAGACAGGACTGCTAGTGTCTCTCCCTGAATTGGCTGCAGGACAGTGAAACACTCAGAGATGTCTGTTTTTTCATGTGGTATGCTCCCCTTTTTTCTAAGAGTGGCTTTCTTTTGGAGTGGGAGGTGAGTGTGACGCTGGTGGGTCTCAGCCTGTGTCCCAATTCTCTGGGGATTTATGATCCACAGAAGACTAAAGAACATGGAACTCCACAGCCCAAGCAGTGCTGCACAGACAGGCCACCAAAAAGTTGGGAGACTCAAAAAAAATAGCTAAAATGTGTTAGCCACATTCCTTTAAGTATACTCCACTTATATTCTAACACGCACACACACACACACACACACATGCAGACATCCAATACCCTCAATACTTTCACAGAAACACACAGGCTGGCAGCTCCTGAGGCTGTGTGGTTCTGCAGGAAGCCCCATTTGGGAGAGAGCAACCTCGAGGAACACAGCTGCTGTATGTGGATATCACAGTAGGGCAAGTTTCAAAAAGACTCACCCCTACAAAGTCTAAACAGGTTTGAGGAATTCTGCAGATTGTTTTGTATTCTTAGGGATTTCACAGTTTATTCCTGGGGCTCTGTTTGATGTTATTTCTGGCTGCCTCATGTCTTCCCTCTCCTAGGATCATGGGACTGTACCATGGATACAACAGAGAAGACAGGCCAGAATCCACTGCTGACACACCTCCAGGGAAACCTCTTTATCTGCCAAGCTGCAGGGATTTGTCACTGGCAAAGGTGACATTCATTGTGAAGCTAGCCAGAGCTCGCAATCAGGCCTGATGCCCTGAGACTAGGGCACGCACATTAATGAGGCAGGCTCTGGCCCTGGCTCTCAGACCTGTCAGCCTGCCTAAGCAGAGGAAAATGGCAGAGGCAGAGTCGGTCTGGTATCGGGAAAAAAGCTGCCTGTGAAACCCACTGAAGGACCCTAAAAGTCTCAACTTTGGGGGTTATTCAAGCCATCTCCATGGTTGTGTCCCACTGGAGGAGGAGGTGTTTTGAGACCATGAGGTGGTCGCAGAAACTGCTCTTCTCTTCTGAGTCCGTTCCCAAAGGAGGCTGTGTGAAAGAATTAGGTCCCATAGGGATTGATATATAGTCTGGTGTGTTCTGGAGGGGTTTTTTGGGTGATAGCAGCAGACCTGAGATCCCAGAGGTGGGTGTCAGCAAAAGATGGCCAGGCTCTTGACCTCTCTGCCTCCCTTCATCGGGGGCCTCACATAGGCTCTCTGGGAAAGGCAGGAAGCAAGACAAGGCAAGTATAAGATCAACACTGTTCTCACACCTCGAACTTGCCCCTCATGGGTGCATATGAGGATGTGACACCATCTCAGAGGCTGTCTGTGGTGACGGCAAGCCTAAAAATGGTGTCCAGTAGTGCTGTTGAGGAGCACTGTGAATTCTCCATGAAAGCAAAGAAAAATCAAAGCTCACCTGAAACAACAAGATGCCTTTTGCCAGAGTCCAAGCAATGTTCAATGATTCCTGTCAGAGGACCCCAAAGACTCCTGCAAAGTGCAAACAACTTCAGCTCCCACAACATACAACAATCCACAATCTGGAGTGCAGCCAGATGATGCAAAGTCCCTTCTGCTCTCTGATATCTCTGGCAGCTAAATAATTGGTGGGAAGAGGCATTCCTATCCAGCAACAGAACAATGCAAGAGCCCCTCCACTATGAGAAGGCCATACAGATGACAGGAAACAGAGGCTAGTTTACCAGGCAAAGCCAGACACAGCTGCCAGCTTGTCATCCTACAGGAATCATGCAGCACTCCAATAGAACTGGGAGAATAAGAGTTTCCTTGTTGTTGGCTGTAACAGGAGTTTATGGTTTTTAAAGTATCAAAGCTACCGAGTCATTAAAACATGAGAGTTTTTAGAAGAAAACACTCATGCTATGGATTCCCATGAGGGTCATTCTCATGAACTGAGAAACATTTAGTGTGGAAGCCGTTGAGCCAGACACAGGAAACCCTAGGCTGGTAAGAAACATGGAAGTCAGAAAAAGAAGAGGCAAGTGTAGAGGCCACATCCTACCCAGCATCAATCCATTCCACTCCCATTTGGCTCTGGGTATGAAAGCTCTCATATTGGGAGTTTGCCAGGATGACCCCAATTTGCACTCCAAATGCTACTTGCACATTGAAGTACTCTCAACTGAATTCTGGGCCATGGTGTGGACTGCTTTTGCAATTAAGGGAATGTTGGGTTGGAGTTAGAAGCATCTTTTCTGTCATCTGTCTTTATTTTTATTTTTATTTTTTTGCAGGTGAAGTTGCTGGACCCCATTTTCCATTCAGCAGATTGTATCCTCACCACAGCTGACCTTATTGCTGCTCAGACTCTATGTTCCAGGATAAAATCACAAGAAGATGTAGTAGTGCCCCCTCATGATGTGAAGCATGTTCACAGCTGGGAACCAAATTCGAGGTTAATCTAAGTGGCCTTGCAGACAGATCTGCTAGTGTCTCTCCCTGCGTTGTCCTCAAGATGATGGAAACACTGAGAGATACCTGGTTTTTGGTGTGGTGTGCTACTCTTCTGGAAGAGTGGTTTTTAGTGCAGGGGGAGGTGATTTGGACGCTGGCGGGTCTTGGCCCACCTCCAAATTCACTGCGGATTCATGATCCACAGAAAAATAACACGGAGCCATGCAGCCCAAGCATAGCCACACAGACAGGCCACCAAAATGTAGTGAGGCTAAAAACAAGAAGCACTGAAGTGTGTTAGCCCCATTCCTTTAAGCAGACTCCACTTACAGGCACACACACACACACACAATGCCACACACACTCGATGTCAAACACTCACAACATGCCCACAGAAACACACAGCATGGCAGATCCTGAGGTTGCATAGTTCTGCAGGAGGCCCCACCTGGGAGACAGCAACCCCAGGGAACACAGGCAGGCTGTACCTAGAAATCACATTGGGGCAAGTTTCAAAGCCCATACAACTTATAGGCTGGCCTGAGGAATTCTGCAGATCCTTTGGGATCCTTAGGGATTTTGCAGTTTATTTCTGGGGCTGTGGTTGATGTTTCTTCAGGCTGACTCCCACAAGCTCTCTGACCTTGGTTGATGTTTCTTCAGGCTGGCTCACATCTGCCCTCTCATAGTATCATGGGACTATCCTGTGGAATCCACAGAAAAGACAGGGGAGAGTCCACTGTCAATGCACCTCCAAGCAGATCTCCTTTTCTGCCAAGCCACAGGGACTTTTTGCTAGGCAACAGTGACATTCATTGTGAGGCTAGCCAGAATTCACCATCAGGCCTGGTGCCCTGAGAATAGTACATGCACATTCTTCAGGCAGGTTCAAGAACCCAGCTGTCAGAGCTGCCAGCCTGCCTAGGCAGAAGAAAATGCACAGGCAAAGCTGGCCTCACATCGGGAAAATGGCTACCTGTGAAAACCCACTGTGACACCCTAAACGTCTTGACCTTAGGGTCCCATGGGCAGTCTCCACGGTCTCCTCCCGCTGGAGGAGTAGGCATTTCAAGACTGTTAGGTGGTCGCTGGAAACTGCTCTTCTGACTCCATTCCTGAAAGAGAATGTGTGTGTACAATACCCCAATCCCATGGGGATTGGGATATAGTCTGTTGTGTTGTTCAGTGTTCTTTGGGTGATAGAAGACCCCAGAGGCAGGTGTCAGCAAAAGCTGGCCAGACCCTTAATCTCACTGCCTCCCTTCATCCTGGGCCTCACAGGTGCTCTCCCAGATAATCAAGAACCAAAAGAAAGGCAAGTCGATGTTGGAGACATGTTCTCACACTTTGAACTGGCCTGTCATGGGTGCAGATGAGGTTAAGACAGTGTCTCAGAGGCGGTCTGTGGAGATTGCTACCCTTAGGGTATCCAGTAGTGTTGATGTAAGAGCACTGTGGATTCCTAATGACAGGAGAAAAAAATCACTTGAGAGAATTGTTGGGAAACCAGCCCCACAATGCCCCGTGGGTACCCTAAATCCAACAGAGACAAATAATTAGAAAGAGACAGAATGAGAGTTTAAAAGGCAGGTCCAGGGGACCAGAGAATTGGAGGCTTGCTCATGGCCTGGAGCTCTCAGCCACCACCCAATTTATTGCTTTACAAGCTCTTTGTTCTTAGGGCAGATCTGAGGGGTAGGAAGGGCTGAGGGAAAGGATTAATCAGTGAGGGAGAACCCGTGAGTCATTCAATAAGATGTATAGCAGTAGCAGTTTCTGTGAATTTCCTCTAGCAAAGGCGTGTGTCTAAACTACTTAATATATTTAACTTATCAGGACTGAAATGGATGGGAGAAGGCTTCAGGAGAAGCCAAGATGTTTGATTATACTCCACTGCTTCAAGAGAGTGTTATTTCCCTGAGCAACCTGTGGCAGCCCGCTGAGCTGTTATGCTCTCTGGGCATAAGGACATGAAGGCAATAAGGAGACTTTTCTCCTCAGAGGCCACCCATGGGAGTGACTCCCCATGGGAGTCTCACACCGGAGAGATCAACTCATTTGGCATCCCAGAAACTCTCTTTCCCACATGTCCCACTTTTTTGTCTCCATTTTTTTAAATTAATAACCACCATTGCTATCATAGCTCATTCACGGTGTCTATCTACTCTCCCAAGATGCTGTCTGCATCAGTAGGTTAAAAAAAAAACAGCATAAAAAGACACACACCAAAGTAATATTTGCAATTGATGATCCACCTATGGTTTTAATTCACTTTAAAGGATTAGTGTTAAAAAGGCCCTCAGTGGTTCCAGCAAGAATATCAGCTCTAGGCAACAGGATGGGATGAGCCTGAGATGCGGCAAAAAGTTGTTTTTTCAGTTTAGCAGGATCTAATGTTAAATTATCTTCTTCTCCTGGTAGGTGATGTCTAATCATCTCCCAGTGGTGTTCAGTGATATTATAAGAGCTAGGAGGAATACGAAATCAGAAGTATTCCAATCACATTGCATTTGAATTCTATGCTCCAAGTTCATAATCCGATCTCCCATTCAGATTACTGTCTGATGATCATTAATTTGATTTGCCAATTTTTGATCTATTTGGCTTTGGGAATTCCAAAGCTTGGAAGAATTTTTCTGACAACTATGCACAGCGCTCGCAGGTTGAATAGAAGAGTGCAAAGCAAAGCCAGCAGCAGCAGCTATAGCTGTGACAGATTTAAGACCCATGATGAGAGCTATTAAAGTAAATATGAATCTCTTTGATCATTAAGTATTTCTTTTAGTACTGCAGTGATAATATATATGGAGGAAGAGGACTCCCAAGTTCTATTGAGGGAAACAGGTATCCAAACTCCTTCTTGGGCCCTAACCAGTAAAATGCTATTATCTTTATTAAAGGTAGAATTAATGCAGGTAAAAATATGACAGCTGAGGCATGATATGCTTTGAGAGTCAAGCAGGATATTAACTTTTCCTGCTGCTAACATAAAAGGAGGTTTAACACAACTCTGTAATGGGACTGTCTGATTAGCTATCATGGCTACAACAAATTGAAGTTTTTTACTCTGGGTGTCTGTTTTATATTCTCCTTTCTGAATCCCAACTGGGGTTTGAGACATCATTAATTTCCACATTTTGGATGTTCTGGACTTATAATTGGATCAATCATTTTTGGCTTTGGAGGAGCCATACCGTTCTCTCCTACTTAATAGGGTAATTTGTTTCAATTCTTCTATATAATATTGGTACATTATCTGGGTAGTCGTTTGTAAAGGAGTCTCTCTAAAGTCTTTGCTCTGTCCAGTACAATTTACTGAAAAGTGACCCCTAGGGGCCCAATCAGTGATGAATCCAATGGAATTATTTTCAATACTGCAGCACTGTTTGCAATACAGTCTTCCCAGGTTAGCATCTCTAGCTTTTCAGATCATTTAGTGGCCTGCCTGGGGCAGGACTTCTTATTAGGTTTAAATTTATTAATCTGATGATGTGTCATAACATAGCCATGCTCAAGGTATTTAATTGTGTCCAAAGATTGAAATGTTCTTCCACTGATTACATGAATAGAGGCCTTTCATCCATTATGTGCAGGGACATAAACCATCTGACATTGTTGATCATAATTTAAACATCCTGCTGTTGGCCCCAGGCAGATGGGAGGAAAGTGATAACCAATGGAAACTTTCATTAACATTCCTTCCTCCTCTGGATGAGTAGGACCTCAGTTATCTATTGGTCCAGGCATCCAGACACTAGCATTAACATAACCTTCACTGGGGCATCTAACCTTGTAACAGGTCTAATCAGTGGTGGGAATGGGATGTAGGTCCAATAAGTGTAATTTTGATCTGCCCCTCTGCAGGGAGACTCACCACCAAGGGGATTACCACCATCATAGCTACCATTAGATTACTGGTGGTCAGCAGCTTGTGCTGAGACCTCAGTTTCTCTTCTTCAATGTGAGCTAGTCTCCTCATCTGCCCCCAGGTCAGTGGAGTTGTTTAGTGAGTTTTACTGGTTTCCACCTGCTTAACAAAGATGTTCATCTGAGCCATCTGATGAACTGGTGGTGCAAGGACTTTCTGAGGTCTTTTCCTTTTGCTTGAATTCTGGCTCTTGGCACCACTTAACATGTCTTGTGGGTACCCAGAGAAGAAGCTGATTCTCTCCTGGTGAGATGCAAGCAAATCCTCACCCCCAAAAAGACCCACTGGGGCCTTTTGTTTGGGCCAGTTTTTTGGCTATTGATAAAGAACTATGATTGACATGTCTGCTCTTGTGTCGACCAGACCCTTAAATTGTTTTCCTTGAATAGTGACCATACAAATAGGTCTATTGTCAGAGACTTGATTTACCCAATGGGCAGCCTTGCCTGCTGAATTTGTGCTTCCAAATCCTCCTTTTTTTCTGAGCTTTCTCGTAACTTAACATATGGTAAAAGCAACAGTTGAGCTATTCTGTCATCTGGATTAGTACTCCAGTGGACAATGGAGGAAATAACAATTTGAATTTCTCCCTGGCAATCAGAGTCCACTACTCCGGTATGTACTTGAATTCCCTTTAATTTTAAGCTGGACCTTCCCAGTATAAGTCCCACCATGCCATTTGACAATGGGCGATAGACTCCCATTGGGATCTTCCTGCGAGTCTCCCCAGGAAGGAGGAATACAGCTTTTGTACAGCATGTATTTACTGCCCCACTTTTATCTCTGGAGGGGGACAATTGCTGTACATTTGTAAAGGGATAGACTGGGATGGGAATACTCTGTTTGGAGTCAGGGATGACCTGCCCTGAATTGGGAATGCCCTGTTTTGAATCAGGGCCTGGTCCTGAGTTTTGCCTTTTTTGGCTCTTTGTACACTCTCTTTTTGTATGTACTATCCGTCCACAATTATATCAAGATCCAGGGAACACTCATGTGCTTTTTGTTACCCTTAGTCCAGCCACTGCCTGAGAAAGGAGGTTGGCCTTATATAAGTGCCCCTCAATGCCATCACAGGCTGTAATATATTCACTTAAAGTTTTTCCTCATTTAGATCTGCCTTTACCTTAATAGATCTAATTTCTGCCTGACATTCTGTATTCACATTTTCATAAACAAGCAGCTGAATGATCACTTTCCTGGCACAGGAATTCAAAATAGCCTTTTGAGCATCTTCTTGCAAATGTAGCAATAAAATCTGGATAAATCTCCCTTGGGCCCTGTCAAACTGAGTTAAAAGAAGGATAAGTAGTAACAGGGTCATGAATTTTTTTCCTGGTATCTTCAGCGTATAGTTCTGAGCTGATCAACAGACTCATCACCCATTACCATCTGTTGATTTACAGTACCCAATGCCTGTCTGATTCCAAGCAATAGATCAGATGTGATATTAATGGGAGGTTGGGCTTGAGCATGTCTGCATGCCTGATTTGTTGCTTCATCTGTCCACCAGGTTTTAAAATGGAGAAACTGAGAGGGAGACAGGGTGGATCGAGCTAATCACTCCCAATCCATAGGTATTAAATGCCAGTTATAAGCCACAAATTGTAATGAGGAATGAACATAAGAAGAATTTGGCCCATATTGTCCACTTGCTTGCTTTAAATCTTTTTTAATATTTTAAAGGGAAATGGCTCCCAGCATGCCTCAGCATGTTCTCTGGGCTTTTCAGCTGGAGAAATAATTATTGGAAACTGCCAAGCATCGAAATCCCCTATTTCTTGTGCCTGTCAAATGGATGCCTGAATTGCCACTGCACCATAATTTGTATTTGGACTGGCTGGATGCCTGAATTGCCCCTGCACCATAATTTGTATTTGGACTGGCTTACAGTATTTTTCTCCCATAATTAACAGGTGGACAAGCCTGGATCATTCCCTCACTGTAACTGGCTGTTGGGCTGTTGAAGCTTCCCTTTACCATAGTCAATGGTAGGTCATGCAACAATGGGAGCAGCAAGCCACGTCTCAGTCTCCCATTCCAAAAACTCATAAGGCTGAGGTGGAGGTGGTCATTCTGCACCTTCCCCTAAAGGCACAGTAGGGGGAACTGTTTCTTTCATATGTTTTTGGAAGTTAGCATATATTCCTTCCCATTTCGCCCCTTTTTTTTTTAAACTAGACAGTGATGGTTCACTTTGCTGATTATCAGACTCCTGATTATTAAACTTTTCTATGTCATCCTGAAACTTCTCCTTCTTCTCCTCAGTGTGGAAGGGCTCCAGTGCTGTTTTAATTGCTGACCACCCAGAGCAAGTGGAGAAGGGAATATTGTGGCCCTCTTGGTGTGCTCCTTTTAAGTCTGGTCCGATCTTGTCCCAGTCTTTTACATTCATGGTTCCATATTCTGGGAACCAAGGAGAATACTTTTCTATGAGATGGAAAACAGAGGTGAGATTCTGAGTACTCATAATTACTCCTCTATGGCTCAATAACTGCTGCACCAGGCTTAAGTAATTAGCAAACTTGTTTTCACCCTGACCCATATTTTCCTGAGGTTGCCCTGGAATTCTCTGAGAGCCCTACTGACCTATAGAGCGTGAGTGAAAAGGTACTCAGCTGTCCTTTGTCAGTCATCCTCCACTTTCCATGCTCTGGCTTTTCCTCACTGGATTATTTGTAGATATTATAGGGAGCACCATGTTGGGCACCAGATGTTGAGGAAAGAAGCCCCACACCAGCGGGTGGGTCCCCCAAGTCCAGCGGAGACAAAGGAATTAGAAAGAAGCAGAATGAGAGTTTAAAAGGCAGGTCCAGGGGACGGGAGAATTGGAGGCTTGCTCATGGCCCGGAGCTCTCAGCCTCCACTCAATTTATTGGTTTACAAGCTCTTTGTTCTTAGGTCAGATGGGAGGTGTAGGAAGGGATAAGGAAAAGGATTAATCAGTGATGGAGAACTCATGAGTCATTCAATAAGATGTATAGCAGTGGTGGTTTCTGTGAATTTCCTCTAGCAAAGGCATGTGTCTAAACTACTTAAGACTTTTAACAGCCGGGTGCAGTGGCTCACGCCTGTAATCCTAGCACTTTCGGAGGCCGAGGTGGACAGATCACGAGGTCAGGAGATCAAGACCACGGTGAAACGCTGTCTCTACTAAAAATACAAAAAATTAGCTGGGCACAGTGGTGGGGGTCTGTAGTCCCAGCTACTTGGGATGCTGAGGCAGGAGAATGGTGTGAACCTGGGCGGTGGAGCTTGCAGTGAGCCAAGATCGCACCACTGCACTCCAGCCTGGACGAGAGAGTGAGACTCCGTCTCAAAAATAATAATGATAAAAATAATAAAAATAACTTATTGGGACTGAAATGGGTGGGAGTGGGTTTCAGGAGAAGACAAGATATTTGATTGCACGCCACTGCTTCAAGGGAGTGTTATTTCCCTGAGCAACCTGTAGCATGCCACTGAGCTATTATGCTCTCAACATGACATGAAGGCAATAAGGAGCCTTTTCTCCTCAGAGGCCACGCATGGCTCCCCATGGCTGTCTCACACAGGGGAGACCAACTCATCTGGCATCCCAGAAACTCTCTTTCCCACAGAGAATGAGTTGCCTTGTTCTGGAGTCCTAGCAATGTTCAATGATTTCTGTCAGAGAACACAAAGCCTCCTGCAAAGTGCAAACATCCTCACCCCCCAAAACGAGACCAAAACCCACAACCTGGCTTGTGGTCAGCCTACACTAAGTCCCTTGTCCTCCCTGAAATCCCTGGCAGCCAATAAATCTGTGGTGAGAGGCAGCCCAACTCAGCAAAAGCCCAATGAAAGACCCTTTCCACAATGGGGAAGGACATGCAGATGGAATGAAACAGAGTCTAGATTACCAGGCAAAAGCTAGAAATGGCTGCCTGCTTCTCCTCCTAAAGTTATCAGCCCTCTTGTAAAAGCTGGAGAGCAAGAGTCTCCTTGTTGGTGGCTGTAACAGGAATTTATGTTTTTAAAATTATCACAGATGTCCAGTCATTAAAACATGACAGTGTTTAGAAGGAAACACTCATGCAATGGATTCTTTGAAGGTCATCTTCCATGAACTGGGAAATGTTTTATGTGGAAGACATTGAGCCAGACCCAGGAAACACTAGGCTGATGAGAAACAGGTAAGTCAGAATACAAAGAGGCAAGTGTGGAGGCTACATCTTGCCTTGTATCAATGGCTCTTACTCCGATTTGGCTTCTGGTATGAAAGCCTTCATATGGGGGTTTGCCAGGATGGCCCAAATTTGCAATCCAAGTCTTCAAATGTTCCTTGCACATTGGAATACTCCCATTGTAGTGGCATAAGCCATGGACAAAACCCTTCAGACACTGGCTTAAAGAAGGAAGTGACTTTATTCAGCCGGGAGCATCAGCAGACTGTGTCTCAAAAACCAAGCTCCCTGAGAGAGAGATTCCTGCCCTTTTTAAAGGCTTACAACTCCAAACGGCTCCCTGTGAAGGGGTCATGATTGATTGAGCAAGCATGGGGTATGTTGCTGAGGCTGCATCTATTGGTAATCAGGATAGAAGAGAACAAAACAGACAGTTTCACGATGCTTCCTCATACAGTGTCTGGAATCTATAGATAATACAAGCGGTCAGGTGAGGGGTTGATTTTTAATTACCAGTCCTGGAGTGTGGTGCGTGTTCCGTCTGACAGTTGAATTCATTTCTGCCTTTCTTTAGGTTTTGATTCCTCTTTCTTTTTTTAAGGTATGAGACAATAGGAGAGGTGGTCTCCCTCCTTATTCCCCACTTTGAGAATCTCACTTATTAGTTGGATTTCTCACTCTCATCCTCCCTAACTAGGTCTTCCTGCAAGACAGATCTATAGTAGTTCATGTAATATACAGGTGCTGAAGCATTTTGGTGGACCAAGGCAGTAACAAGGCTTCTCATTATTTGAAGGAGTACAAGTAGCAAGCAGGGGAGAAACAAGCAGGTTCCTATTACTATTATTATTCCTACTATGAGAGTTTTAAATCTTCCTAACACTGGGAACTGTTTTCCAAATATTGATCCTGGATCAAACCAATGTCAGTGGATATTTTTCATTCTTTTTCCAGGTAGCCAAAATGACAGTACGTGTGCAAGCTGTGTCCTATCTCTGATTATATTTTTGACCACTTGCCCTTGATGATCTATATACAGACAGCAATTGGTTAGGTTAAATTTTCCACAGACCCCTCCTTCAGCTGCTAGCAAGTAGTCTAGGGCTAATCTATTTTGATAGATAGTGTTTCTTATCTGGGTTTCCTGCCAGGCTAAAAGACTCAAAGCTCTGCCTGTT
Source organism: Homo sapiens (assembly GCF_000001405.40). NCBI lineage: Eukaryota > Metazoa > Chordata > Mammalia > Primates > Hominidae > Homo > Homo sapiens. The sequence goes on from NC_000024.10 coordinate 21,853,224, forward strand.
TTATTAGTGATTATTTCTAAGACAGTGTGTAACTGTATGATTTGGTTGAGCATGTAAATGGGGGTTCAGTATCCCCATGAGCCATCTTGTGTCCAAGTGGCAGGCACATAGTATTGTATGATTCTTTTAGGGAGACACTCGATATATTTCCATTTACCTATAGCTATGCTCCTCTTTTCTCAGGAAGCATAGACTGGGAAGCCTATGAGTTCATGCGTTTTCATGGGCAGTAGGAAAAATGATGGTTTAATTGTGCCGATAACACAACTACCTGCCCAGTGTTCAGGTAATGTGTATGCTCTATGCCCAGATATCCAGTATAGTCCAGCATGGGCTGTCCAGTCCTGATGAGACTCTGTGTGGGTCCACATGGTTTGCAACTTTGGAAATTTACCAACAGATTTTTCTCAGTGTGGTTTGCACCCCACCATGTGGCTGTTTTTACTGTGCTGTTATACGGCATTTGCCGAGCTTTTCCCCAAGGCAGGTAAACCTTCCCACAGGGAGGATGAAGTTGTTTCCTTCTATAGCTATTCAATACTGCCCAATAATTGAGGTTCTTTGGACCCAGAAGTTGCCAGTGTGAGTCTTCTGGATTGTAATCATATTGGGAATTGGATCAGTAGGCACTTATTCTTGGGCTTCTTAAAGCTATTGGTCTCCCATAGTGGTTCCCTCATATACATAAAAGGAAGAAACATTGAGGGAATGGACTACATTTTCTGCTAACTGCAGAAACAAATTCTTTGTCTTCCCTGGGAACTCTGGTACGGGCAGATTTAATTCATCACAGATGGTCTGAAACACTGGTTTGTGAGAACACATTTTGACCTCTTGTCTGACTGAAATATTTACTCAAGGATCCAGTCCAGCTACATTGATCCCAAGAGTTACATGTTTTCCCTTTTTCCAGTGGGGGTATAGGGGACTGGTGATTATTGGTTCTAAGGTGTTACAGTGGCTGCTTGTGCAAGAGGAATCGCTCTTTCCTTTCTGAAGCCATACTGGATATTTTTCATTGTTTTTCCAGGTAGCCAAAATGACACAAGACCAGTAATTACATGCTTTGTCACATCAGCCTAACTCGTAGCAAATATACTTATTCTCTGCTGGATAACTTTTTTCTCAGTCTATACAGCCACATCCTTATCCTTCCTTGATGGTTAATATTAATGGTGGCACAACCATCATAATTTAAGATTTTGTGTTTGGGGATTCATTTTTCTTCTGTTTTGCTATTGTTTTATTTGTATAACTTAGAAAAGGAAGAGTTCTTAATCTTGTTTCAAAGACTGTGATCACAGGAGATTCAGATGCGTTATAGCACATCTGAGTGAAGTTACACAGGCAATTTTCTTTTAAAGTTCCCAGGCATTCAGAATATCTATAAAAGAGAAAGATTGTTTTAACTTGTTTCCCTACCTCAGTAACATGATGAATACACAGGGAACAGTCCTCCATGTTGGGAACATGACAGGGTTTAGAAGGAAACACTCATGCAATGGATTCTTTGAGGATCCTCTCCCATGAACTGGGAAACGTTTAGTGTGGAAAACATCCACAGTAAACATTGTATAATCAGTCTTTATTATACAAGTCCAAATTTTAAGGAGAATAAATCCCACCATGAGTTTTCTCATGCTTCAATCATGTGTAGACCAGTCAGCTTAAAAGTGTGACTGGAGCAGGACTTGTCATCTTTCTGAGTGTCACTTTGCAGTGGTTGCCTGGTCTTGGTCTTACCTCCCAGGTCTCAGGCACTGAAGGTGTTTCACGATGGTGATGGATCCAGGCTGTGTATGGGTTAGGTACTGTTGGATGTAAAGTCACTGTAGTGTGATTGACTAAGAACAAGTCCTGTATTGGCCTGTAGTCCTTGGTCCCTGGCTTGAGAACAGGCAAGAGGGGAGTGTTCCATGGTGACTGACAAGGGACTATAATTCCAAAGGCTCTCTGGCATTTGAGATGAACCTGGCTGGATACCTTGTCAAGAGCTTGTCTGGGGACTGGGGACTGTCTTTGTCTGACCAGCTGGGCCCCAAAATTAACTTCTATGAGTATGGGGGCTTGGTTGACTGCGAGCTCTGGAGGCATATCTTTTGCCCACACCCTTGGCCACCACTTAGCCAGAGCTAGTCCTAGCTCTTGGCCTGGCTTAGTTAAGAAAAGTCTCCATTCCTCCTCCCGGGGTAGATAAGCGCCATAATGAACAGTGATTCAGGTGCCCCTACAGTACAAGTCTGGGGCAAGCAGAAAACTTGTTTTGCTGAGACCCCTGTGGCTCTGATTATATCAATAGTCTTTTTGGATAAAGGGGTGACCGGGGTGGTTACTACTGAATGTTCCACACCAGTATTGACAAGAAAATCAATGTGTTTGCCCCTGACTGTCATACTGACCATGGGCTCATTGGGAGCACCTGAGCCCAGTTCCCCTCAGTCCAGTAAATCTTCTGCCAGATTAAACAAGGACACTTCATCCTTGCTTGAGACCTCTGGCTCAGGCCATTTTGTTTCTCTTTTAACTGGGGGCACTTGTCTTTCCAATGCCCTATTTCTTTACAGTATGCACACTGGTTATGCTGCAGGTGTGGTTGGTCAAACTGGGTGTTTTTTTTCCAGGGCCTCCCTTTCGTTGGCCCTTCAGGTGAACCCCTCTAATAGCTGCGGTTAGGAGGTTGGCCTTTTGCCTAGCTTTGTGCTCACTTTCTTTGCAGTTTTCTCTATGGCCTGATGCATCTCTATTCACAAACACCTGATTGGCTATTTCCAATAACAGTGAAGTGTTTATACCCTCAAACCTAGCCTGTTTCTGAAGTTTTCTTATAATGTCTCCTGTGCTTTGATTAACTAAAGCCATGTTAATCACGCATTGATTTTCAGGGCTTTCAAGATCAAAGGGTGTGTACATACAATAGGCCTCAACATCTTTCATAAAATTGTGCTGGACTCCCTTCTTTCCCTTGAATGACCTCAGACACTTTGCTAACATTTCTGGCCTTCTGAGCTCTCTTCTTAACCCTTCTAGGATGCCTTCCCTATATTGCTTTAACCTTTCTATACCTTTCCCTGCATTTGGGTCCCACTGGGGGGTTGTTTCTGGTAATTGGATCCTCATGTACTCCTGCAGATTTGGTAACTGGCCAGAGCATGTCCCTCCAGCCACTTGGTTGCTGCCTGGAGCACCCTTTGCCTTCCATCTGTGTTACGGAGGTACAAAAGCAGCTGGTGGCAATCAGCCCAAGTAGGGTTGTGGGTCTGGATAATAGTTTGGAGAAAACCCATTAAAGTTTGAGGTTTTTCAGTATAAGATGGGGTATTATTTTTCCAATTTAGGAGATCAGCAGAGGTAAAGGGTTGATACAAAAAGGCACACCTTTTTAATATATGCCCATCCTCATCTACCCCACTATGCTGCTGCTCCCACAGGGGCATTTGAATCTCAGCCTTAGGTCATAAGTGAGCTGCCAAGGGTGCGGTTTATCCCATGGCTTCACATCCTCTCTTGTCTACTGTGGTGGCATAGGGGTGGGTGTGTGTCCTTCAGAGACACAGATGCTGTGGGCTCGGGAGTAGGGAGTCTCTCTTCTCGGTAAGGTTGGGGTATCATCAGTGCCATTTCCTGCCATGAGTCTTCTGATATTGGGTCAGACAGAACTTTAGGAGCCGACTTCCTTTGGCGGGTGGAGTGGGATCCTTCGTTGGCTATCTGTCCCATTGCCACTAGCACTGCTGCTGCTGCCTATCCTCTTAATCACTGTGCAGGGGGGTCTAAAACCAGCTATAACCAAGTGTCTATGTATGGGAACTTATCTGGGTGCCCTGGTTTACAGATTACAATTCCTTTGAAACAAGGGACCTATCTAGGCTTCCTTCTGATGGCCAACCCACTTCTAATGCTTGCCTGTCTATCTCACACAAAGTTCTAAGTTTCCCTGATGTCATAGTAACTCCATAGTCTCCTTTAAATCTCTTCTTGAAATTTTTCAACATAGTTCCTAGCAGGGTGGGCTTACTTTGTGTCTGATCCATTTTTCTCCCAAGAAAAGACAATACTCACACTGCAAGAGGGAAAGGGTAAAAGTCACACACTCGTCTAATTCACACTAAATCAAGTAATTAAATCCAAGTCAAAATCAAAACCTAAACCAAAGTGCCAATAAAGGCATGCCATGGGTATCAGGCCATGCTTCCGCTTGGAGTAGGCAAGTTCCCAAGACCAGCCATACTATGTTCCAGATGTCCAGACTCCAAGTGCCAGTTCCTTCCTGGTGTACAGCCACTGCATCAATCCTTTATGGGTGCCTGCTGTGCACTGCTCTGGTGAGGCATTCCACTGGGGCAATTGCCTACCCAAGAGCGCTCTCAGGATCCACGTCGCTCAAGCTGGATGGAGCCCTCCACAAGGATGCTCCACAGGGCAGACCTAAGCCACCTAATGGGCTGCGTCAACCTTCTGCTAATCACCTTGCTTCCCAGTCAAGGAAGTGAAAATTGTAGCAGGAGAAGCCATGGACAATACCCTTCAGACACCGGCTTAAAGAAGGAAGTGGCTTTATTTGGCTAGGAGCGTCAGCAGACTTGTGTCTCAAAAACCAGGCTCCCTGAGAGAGAGATTCCTGCTCCTTTTAAAGCTTACAAATCTAAGGGGTCCATGTGAAAGGGTTGTGATCAATTGATCAAGCATTGGTATGTGGCTGGGCTGCATGTATCAGTAATCAGGACAGAACAGAACAGAACAGAAACTTTGACAATTCTTCCTCATACAATGTCTGGAATCTATGGATAATACAAGCTGTTAGGTCAGTGTTGACTTTTAAGTACCAGGCCTGGAGTGTGGTGCCAGCTTTCTGACTATTGATCTCATTTCTGCCTTTCTTTAGTTTTTACTTCCTCTTTCCTTTTCTGATTTATGAGACAATAAGAGAGGTGGCATCTTTCCTCACCACCTGAACACTGGGCCATGGTGTGGACTACTTGTACAATTAAGGAAATGCAGGGATGGAGTTGGAATCACCTTCTGTGTCACCTGTCTTCATTTCTCTTCCAGGTAAAGTTGTGGAACCCAATCCACCCCTTACCAGGTTGTATCCTCACCACTATCTGACCTTATTGCTGCTCACACTCTATGTCCCAGGATGAAATACCAGGATGATGGAGTGCCCCCTCATGACTTGAAGCACCTGCTTGGCTGGGAACTGAATTCGAGGTAAGTTCAAGGGGCCCTGTGGACAGTACTGCTAGTGTCTGTCCTTGGGTTGGCTGCAAGACAATGAAACACTGGGAGATGTTTGTTTTTTGTTATGGCTTTTTATTTTTTTGCAGTATTAGGTGATTAGGATGCCAGAGGTTCTTGGACCCCCTCCCAATTCACTGAGGATTTATGATCCACAGAAAAAAAAGAGAAAAGAAAAAAACATAGAACACTGCAGCCCAAGCAGAGTCACACATATAGGCTACCAGAATGTTAGGACACTCAAAACAATAAAGCCATGTAGTGTGTTAGCCACATTTCTTTAAGTAGACTCTACTTACAGGTGCACACATACATACACACCCCCACACACACAAATGCCACAAAAACACATGCAGACATCCAAGAGTCACAACACTGTAACAGAAACACGCAACCCGGCAGATCCTGAAGCTGCGTGGTTCTGCAGGAAGTCCTACCTGAGAGAGAGCAACTCCAGTGAACACAGGTGGGTTGTACCTAGAAACAACAGTGGGGCAAGTTACAAAAAGACTTACCCCTTCAATGTCTAGGCAGGACTGACAAATCCTGCAGATACTTTTGGATCCTTAGGGATTTTGCAGTTTTATCTTGGGGCTCTGCTTGACTTTTTTTTTGGCTGGCTCAACTCTGCCATCTCCTAAGTTCATCAGACTATCCACTGGAACCCACAGAAAAGAGAGGTGGCAGTCCACCACCGATAAACCTCCATGGAGTTCTCCTTCTCCACCCAGCCACAGGGACTTTTGGCTAAGCAATGGTGACATTCATTGTGACACCAGCCAGAGCTCACAATCAGGCATTGTGCCCTGAGACATGCTTATTCCCATTCATGAGGCAGGCTCAACTGCCTGGCTATCAGAGCTGTCAGCCTACCTATACAGAGAAAAATGGTAGAGGCAGAGACAGTCTGGTATCGGTAAAAAGGCTGCCTGCAAAAATCCACTGCAGGACCCTAAGAGTCTCAATCTCAAAGCACCTTCAGGCTGTCTCCGTGGTCAGGTCCCCCTGGAGGTGGATGTGCTTCGAGACCCTGAGGTGGTTCCTGGAAACTGCATTTCTCACTCTTTTCCCAAAAGAGGCTGTGTTCCAGAATCAGGTCCCATGAAGATTGGAATATAGTCTGCTGTATTTTTGAGGGTTCTTTGGGTGATAGAATCATATCTGAAACCCCAGACGTGGCTGTCTGTGAGAGATGGCCAGGCTCTTGACTTCACTGCCTCCCTTCATCGTTGGCCTTGCAGGAGCTCTCTGGGGAAGGCAGGAACCACAACTAAGGCAAGTCCAAAGTGGAGCAGTGTTCTCACATCTTGCACTGACCTCTCATGGGTATGGATGAGGTTGAGACAGTGTCTCAGAGGCCATCTGTGGTGATGGCAAGCCTGAAAACTATGTCCAGTAATTCTATCGAGGGGCACTGTGGATTCCTGAAGAAAGCACGGAAAAATCCAAGGCTCAGCTGAGAGAACAAGCTGCCTTGTGCTGGAGTTGAAGCAGTGTTCAATGATTCCTGTCAGAGGATCCAACAGCCTCCTGCAAAGTGCAGACAACCTCAGCCCCCACAATGAGACAAGGACCTGAAACATGGAGTGCAGCCAGCCTACCCAAAGTCCCTTTTGCTCTTTGAAATCCCTGGCAGCAAAATAATCTGTGGCAAGAGGCAGTCCCATCCATCAACAGCCCAATGAAAGAGCCCCTCCACAATGAGAAGGGCTTGCAGAAGCGCCATCCCATCCAGCATCAATCCATACCATTTCCATTTGTCTCTGGACATGAAATCCCTGAAATCCAGAGTTTGCCAGCATAGCCCAAACCTACACTCCAAATGTTCCTTGAACGTTGGAGTACTCCCACTGAACACCGAGCCATGGTGTGGTCTGCTTGCGCAATTAAGTGAATGTGGGTATGGAGTTGGAAGCAACTTCTGTGTCATCTGCATTCATTTTTTGTGTGTGTGGGTGAAGTTCCATGACCCCATCCACCCCTAGCCAGATTTTATCCTCACCCCTGTCTGATCTTATTGCTGCTCACACTGTATGTCCCAGGATGACATCCCAAGATGATGGAGGAGTTCCCCCTCACAACTTGAAGCACCTGCTCAGCTGGGAAGAGAATTCTAGATAAATTCAAGGGGCCCTGCAGACAGGACTGGATAGTGTCTCTCTTGGGCTTGGCCACAGGAAAATGAAACATGGCGGGAGAGGTCTACTCTTGTGTGAAGAGGAGTGGCTTTTATTGCAGGGGTAGGTGATTTGGACCCTGTCAGGTCACATCCGCCTCCCAATTCACTGAGGATTCTTTATCCACAAAAAAATAAAGAACACAGAGTCACACAGCCCAGGCAGAGCCACATAGATAGGCCACTAAAAGATTGGAAGACTCAAACAAAAGATGCATTACAGAGTGTTAGCCACATTCATTTAAGCAGACTCCACTAACACACACACACTCACACACAAAGGCAAAGCCACACACATAAGCAGACATCCGACACTCACAACAATCCCACAGAATCACACAGCCAGACAGCTTCTGAGGCTGCATGGTTCTGCAGAAAGCCCCACCATGGAGAGAGCAACCATGGAGTACACAGGTGATCTGTTCCTCGAAATCACACTGGGGCAAGTTTCTAAAGGACTCACTCCTACAACGTCTAGGCAGGCCTGATGCATCCTGCAGATACACTTGGATCCTTAGGAATTTCACTGTTTATTCCTGGGGCTTTGCTTGACTTTTCTTCAGGTTGGCTCACGTCTGCCCTCTCCTAGGATCATGGGACTCTCCCGTGATCCCACAGAGAAAACAGCCAGAATCCACCACCTATGCACCTCCACGGAGGTCTCCTTCTCCACCAAGCCACAGGGACTTGCTGCTATGCAATGGTGGCATTCATTGTGATGCCAGACAGAGCTGACAGCTTAGGCCTGGTAGCCTGAGAAGAGCGCATGTGCATTCGGAAGGCAGGCACAGGTGCCCAAATATCAGATCTGTGAGCCTTCCTAAGCAGAGGAAAATGCTACAGGCAGAGCCAACCTGGTATCTGGAGAAAGGCTTTCTGTGATAACGCACTATGGGACCCTGTAAGTCTCAACCTTAGGGCTCCGTCGGGCCATTTTTGTGGCCTGGTCCAGCTGGAGGAGTTTCAAGACTGTGAGATGATTGCTGGATGCTGCTCTTCTGACTCCATTCCCAAAAGAGGCTGTGTGCAAGAATTGGTTCCTATGGGGTTTGGAATATAGTCTGGTGGGTTGTTCAGGGGTCTTTGGTTGACAGAATCATACCTGAAACCACAGAGGTATTGTCAGCGAAAGTTGGCCGGGCCGTTTACCTCACTTCCTCCCTTCACTCTGAACCTTGCAAGAGCTCTCTGGGAAAGGCAGGGACCATGGCAAAGGAAAGTCCAAGGTGGAGCAGTGTTCTCACACCTCTAAGTGGGCACTCACAGGTGCAGATGAGGTTGAGACAGTGTCTCAGAGTCCATTTGTTGCCATTGCAAGCCTGAAAAGCGTGTCCAGTAGTGTTGTTGAAAGTCACTGTGGACCCACAGTGAATGTGGACCCGCAGAGAATGAGCTGCCTTGTGCCATGCAGCTCTGCCATGCAGAGCAAAGAAAAATCAAAACTCACCTGAGAGAATGAGCTGACTTGTGCTGGAGTCCAAGCTGGAGTCCAAGCAATGATCAAAGATTCCTGTCAGAGGACCCAAATCCTCTTGCAAAGTGCAAACAAATCCAGTCCCCACAAAGAGACCAGGACCCACACCCTGGAGTGCAGCCAGCCTACCCAACTTCCCTTTTGCTCCCTGAAATCCCTGGCAGCCAAGAGATCTGTGGAGAGAGGCAGTTGCATCCAGCCACAGTCCAATGAAATACTTCCTCCACAATGAGAAAGGACATGCAGACACAATGAAACACAGCTTAGATTACCAAACAAAAGCCAGGCATGCCTGCCTGCTTCTCATCCTACAGGAATCATGCAGCCCTCCAACAGAAGTGGGAGAAAAAGAGTTTCCTTTATGGCATCTGTAATGCTGATTTATGGTTTTAAATGTATCAAAGGAGCCCAGTCATTAAAATGTGACAGTGTTTAGAAGGAAACATGCAATGAATTCCAGTGAGGGTCATCCTCCATGAATGGGGAAATGTTTAGTGTGTAAGACCTTAGCCAGACCCAGGAAACCCTAGGCCAACAGGGATCATGGAAGACAGGAAAGGAAGAGGCAAGTGTGGAGGCTACATCCCACCCAGCGTCAATGCATCTCACTCCCATTTGGCTATGGGAATGAAAGCCCTCAAATCAGGAGTTTGCCAGGATGGCCCCAGTTTGCACACCAAATGTTCCCTGCACGTTGGAGTACTCCCAGGTGAACACAGGGTCATGGTGCACACTGCTGGTGCAATTAAGGGAATGCAGAGATGCATTTGGAAGCACTGTCCATGTCCTCTGTCTTCACCTTTTTTGCAGGTGAAGTTGCAGGACCCCGTCCACCCCTCACCAGATTGTATGCTCACCCCTATGTGAACTTATGGCTGCTCACACTCTCTGTTTCAGAATGAAATCCCAAGACAATGGAGGAGTGTCCCCTAATGACATTAAGCACGTGCTTGGCTGGGAACCGAATTGGAGGTAAATTCAAGGGGTCCTGTGGACAAGACTGCTGGTGTCCCTCCCTGGGTTGGCCACAGGACAATGAAACACTGGGAGGCGTCAATTCCTGGGTATGACGTGCCCCTCTTCTTTCCAGAAGAGTACCTTTTTCTTTTTTGGCAGGGGAGGTAGTTTGGCCTCCGGCGGGTCTCAACCAGACTCTCAATTCACTGCAGATTCACGATCCACAGAAGAATAAAGAACACAGAGACCCACAGTCCAAGCAGAGCCACAGACACACAGGCGACCAGAATGTTGAGTTACCGAAAAAAAAGAAGAGCTGCAATGTGTTAGCCACTCTACTATAAGCAGACTCCGCTTACAGACATGCATACCCACACATACACCTGCAAATACACAAAGCCACACAGTCAGGCAGACATCCAACACTTGCAACACTCCAACAGAAACACAGCCCAGCAGCTCCTGAGGCTGAATGGCTCTTCAGGAAGCCCCACATGGGAGAGAGCAACCCCAGGGAACACAGGCGGGCTGTATCTAGTAATCACCGTGGGATAAGTTTCAAAAATACTCACCCTTACAATGTCTAATTAGGCCTGAGGCATCCTGTAGATCCTTATGGATCCTTAGGGATTTTGAAGTTCATTCCTGCGGCTCTGCTTGATGTTTCTTCAGGCTGACTCACATCTACCCACTCCTAGATTCATGGGACTGTCCTGTGGATCTCTGAGACAAGACAGGCAATATTCCATCGCCAACACACCTCCAGGGAGTTCTCCTTCTCTGTCAAGCCACAGGGACTTGTCACTAGGCAATGGTGGCATTCACTGTGAAGCTAGCAATAGCTCCCTGCTCAGGACTGGTGCTTTGAGGCTATCACAGGCGCATTCATGAGGCAGGCTTGGGTGCCTGGCTGTCAAAACTGTCAGCCTGCCTAAGCAGACAAAAGTGGTACAGGCAGAGCTAGACTGGTATTGAGAAAAAGGCTGTCTGCAATAACCTACTGTGGGACCCTAAAAGTCTTGACCTTATTGACCCTCTGGGTCATCTCGCTGGTCAGGTCCCGGTGGAGGAGGAGGTATTTCGAGACTGTGAGGTGGTCGCTGGAGATGGCTCTTCTGTCTCCACTCCTGAAAGAGTCTGTGTGCAAGAATCAGGTCCGACGGGGATTGGAATAGAGTCTGGTGAGTAGTTGAGGGTTCTTTATGTGATGGAATCATACCTAAGACCTCAGAGAATAAAAATGGCTCATCACTTTACCTCACTGCCTCCCTTCATCCTTGGCCTCACAGGGCCTATCTGGGAAAGGCAGGAACCACGACATAGGCAAATGCAAGGTTGAGCAGTGTTCTCTCACCTTGATCTGGCCTCGCTTGTGGGCAGATGAGCTTGTGACAGTGTCTAAGAGGCCGTCTGTGGCGATGGCAAGCCTGAAAAAGGTGTCCAGTAAAGCTATTGATGGGCAATGTGGACACCCCAGGAAAGCAAAGAAAAATCAATGCTCACCTATGAGAATGGGCTGCTTTGTGCTGGAGTCCAAGCAATGTTCAATGATTCTTGTCAGAGCACCAAAAATCCTTCTGCAAAGTGCAAACATCCTCAGCCCCCAACACACAACCAGGACCCACAACCTGGAGTTCAGCCAGTCTATCTGAAGTCCCGTTTCCTCTCTGAAATCCCTGGAAGCCAAAAGATCTGTGGCAAGAGGCAGTCCTATCCAGCAACAGCCCAACGAAGGAGCCCTGCGACAATGAGAAAGGATGTGCACATGAAATGAAACAGAGCCTAGATAACCAGGCAACAGTTAGACACTGTTGCCTACTTCTCATCCTAAAGGAATCATGCCACCCTACAATACAAGTGGGAGATCAGTAGTTTCCCTGTTGGTGCTGTGTGGGAATTTACATTTTAAAACTATCAAGGCTGTCCAGCCATCTAAAACATGAGTGTTAAGAAGGAAACACTCATGCAATGAATTCCCACGAGGGTCATCCTTCTTGAACTGGGAAATGTTTTGTGTGGAAGATGGTGAACCAGACCAAGGAAAACCTAATTCAATGAGGAACACAAAGTCAGAAAATGAAGAGGCAAGCGTGGAGGCCACATCCCACCCACATCAATCCATCCCACTCCCATTTGGCCCTGGGTATGAAAACCCTCAAAGTGCAAAGCCCCAGTTTGCACTCCATATGTTAATGGCAGGTTGGAGAATACCCACTTGAACACAGGGCCATGGTGTGGGCTGCTTGTGCAATCAACGGAATGTGGGGATGCAGGTGGATGCAACTTCTGTGTCATCTGTCTTCACCTTTTTTTCAGGTGCAGGTGTGGGACACAATCCACACCTCACCAGATTGTATCCTTTTCCTTATCGGACCTTATTGCTGCTCACACTCTCTGTCCCAGAATGAAATCCCAAGATGATGAAGCAGTGCCCCCTCATGACGTTAAGCACCTGCCTGGCTGGTCTGACATATTGATTAATCATACTTATAATTGTTTACATTCATTGTTAAACACAATGTTTCATTTTTCTTCCTTATTCTCCACCATTTATTTTCTTCTCATATTAGTTACAGTTTGTAACTTATTTAGTTAAATATATACAATGAAGTAACACTGCAGTATTGCAGAAAACATACTGCACTGGAAACAGATTCATATTGAAACAGGAAAATGTTCCTTATCCCCCATTACTGGGCAAGAAATGAGAACAGGTTTTGGGGCTCCGACCCCAGGCAGCATCCAGGGGTGAATTTTTACAGCTCCTGAATCCCCATTGGGCATATGTTACATGGTGTTAATTTAGTTTATCCTAGGTCAGTGAGCATCGTCCTGTTGGTGGAGCCCTAGCCAAGAACCACACCCTCCTCTACCAGACACGTCCCTGCCCCCCTTCCATATCAATATTTTTTAAATTTAAAACTCCAAAAATAGTACCCAAATCCTTTAGAGAAGACAATTGGAGAAGACAGCATTAGAAGAACCAGTCTAGGATTAGGGTCACTACATAGAAAATGGAAACACAGAGAGCATGTCCTGAAGGCCGTGGAATCACTGTGGAAACATATCTCTTACTGAGAAGGAAAGGGAAACAAACTGGCTTCTCTCATCTTGTTCTCTAATCTCTGCAGTGTCACCCATTAACTGAACTAAAATAGAAAGTCAATTTTATGTGAGCCTAGGAACCGTGCCTCTCAGGGGCCAGGCCTCTCTATAACAGAATAGTGCCAGGGAGAGGTGAGTGATGTTATCTGTGGGCATACAAACCCAGGACCTCAAACAAAGGAGTATCAGAGAGAAATATAGTATGAAGAGATTAAGAGTGAAGTAGTATCAGGAACAATTCATGCATGATATTTGTGAAAAGACCAAAAAATAAAACAGAGCTTATGAAGTAGTAGACATAATAAGAACATAAAGAAAAGCAGGCAAAATTGTAAAGTCCAGGGTATTTAACTTTCCTTTATAGGATTTTGAAAATCCCTTCCAGAATCGTTTTCCCAATAGCTTCCTTTCATGGATTCATTCAAGAAATATTTAGTGAGCTAGTATGGTCTAAGAATTGGTCAGATGGCCTCATATGCATTGTTAGTACTTCTTTCATTGACAAAAAGAATGTTTCTTTTTTTCTACAATGTTTTTCTTCCAAACATTCTTCATGCAAATTCGAATCCTTACTGATCCAATCAATTGTTCCTGCCCTCAGAATGTTCCCCAAACCGCTGCAAACCCCGTTAAGAACTTCATTCCTCTCCAAGTTACTAAATTGTGTCTATTTTAACACTTGTCAGAGTACATTACAATTATTGCTGCTCTCTTTATTCTCCAATTAAACTATGACTATTTTGAAGGAAATATCTATAAACACAATAGCTTGTCATTTGTCAATACTTATTGTACGAAAGGTTATTAGATATTAACATATAATATTCTAATATAATTATCCTAATTTTTGGAAAACAATACAAACAATGTTCACTGCCAATTCCCCATGAACTGCTCAACTTTAAACAATGTCTATGCTTTGGAGCAATTATACAAACTTCCAAAGAACACCTGAAAGTGTTTTTATTTTGACTTTGTTTTGTTATATTGAATTATTATGTAGAAACAAAGTCTTGCCCCATGGCCCAGGCTGAAATGCAGTGTGCAATCACAGCTCACTGGAACCTTGAACTCCTGAGTAAATAGAAAAACAGGTGTGTGCCATTATGCCCAATTTAATTAATTAATTAATTAGTTACCTTTGTAGAGATTGGTCTTGCTATGTTGCCTGTGCTAGTCTCCAACTCTGGGTTTGAAGCAATTCTCCCTTCTCAGCCTCCCAAAGAGCTGTGATTCCAGGCATGAACCACCAGATCTCAAAGAGGAAATTTTAAATTTTAGAATATTGCAATATGTTAGACTCCATTTCTTCTTTCAATTTTGCATTTGCAGTGGCACTTAAGAAGAATTATTTCTTATGGTGAGAGTGTGATTTCTCATATTTGGTCAACAAATTTTGAAATCTTTGTTTACTTAAACCCTAATAACTGGTAGTCAAGTCAGCTGAAAGTCAAGTACATGTCAAATACATGGGTGTTTTTGTGTTGAGGTTTTGAAGGCAAATGTAGAGAGATATTAAGAACCAAAGACTATATATATATATATATATATATATATATATATATATATATATGCTAAAGTTGCATCCTTGCAGGTGAGGCATCATACACGGCAAGGATAGTTTTATACAATACCATGAAATACATAATTTAGTAACCAATTCAGCACTTGAAATTTCCCAACTTTGTTTTCACCAGGAGTTAATGATGTATGGCACTTCTAGTAAGTAAATTAATGTTTGAACTGCTGTTATTTAAGTCATTGCTCAGCTAATCATTTATCAAAGATTTTTACTTGTGCAATATCATAAATGCTGGACATTAAAAATTAATCACTAGGGTTTATGTATCTAAGAGCTACCATCTAATGTGATATTCTTCACTAAGTTGACAACAATAATTATGCAGAAAAATAGTCATTCCCATAGTGTGAGCCATTACAGCAATTTCCACCGGAGGATTTCACAGTCAGAGTCCAGATCTGGGCAACAGTGATTAATATAAAGGTTTTTTATGAGAAGAGATTTTGATATATCTAGCTGTCTTTAGATGTCAGTGCCTTGAATAGACGGGTTTGCTATTAATAAGAAAGGGTGCATTGGACTGGATACTAAGAAACATACTGAATTGTTTTTCTTGTTCTCTATAACATGAAAGCTCAACCAGAGATATAGAAACAATGGAAAATTTCACAGCATGGCCTGACATTTCACAGCACTTTTATTTTTTTTTAGCCATGTACAAATTCTTTAAATATACAAAGGTAGGACTGTTACAGGAAAAAAGTGTTGGCGTGAGAAGTCACAATCCACAGCAAAGTTAGTGTCTTGTGGATGGCACCTTGAGTGATGAATTAGAGTGAGAATCAACTTTCAGGCTGCCAACAGGGGACAAAGAGAATGAAGTTATCATCAGTTAACATTATTGGATCAATTAAAGTGAATGTTGACAGAGATTTTGTTGGTTTTACATCAAATTGAGTATAGTACTTCAAATTGATTATTTGATAAAGATAAACTCTTACCAAATTTCCCACATGTAAAATTGAGGATTAAAATATTACACAACCCACACATTATGGGTATCTCATATAAATTTATATACACATGTGCAAACTTGCAGTGTGCTAATATTTGTCTATATCTAAATATATCCAAATCCACTGATGAACAGTTAGAAATTTAGAAATTATTCTCCCATTTTACCATTCCCTTTCTTAGAATTTTGTCACAAATATAATTTTTCCATCTATTTGAAGGCTACTCTCTGGAGTCATGTAATGTATGGTTACAGTAAAGCCATGCATGAGCTATCACAGGGTTTCTATCAGAGAAATCAATAAAACTGGTGTTATAAAAGATCCACTGTGAGGAGAAATTTATACTTCACATGACTACAAATACAGAAGTGTTATTTCATTGAAAGCTGGTATCAGTCAATACAATTTGTTTTTAAAGTTTTATTTAAAATACTTAATCTCAAAAGGATTATTCGAGTAGAATAATGTTATTGGTAATAAATAATGATTAAGAATTTCCTTTCCTTTGTTGATTATTTAAAATGCAAGTAAAATACTAAAAAGTACTGTATAGTGTAGTTTCACCATGCATTCTCCGTGGTTTTTGTAAAATTAATGGCCTCAATGGAATTTTTTGACACAGAGAAATTTCCTTATATCATTTTATTAGTGTACTTTCACTTTATTACTTGCTTGCACATCATAACTGATGGAAATAAAAATATTTTTATTTACACATATACAAAGCATGGAATTGTATGTTTTCTAGTGAGAAAAAGTCACCAATAATTTTATCTGTATAGGAACATTTTGATATGCCCAAAGTTCTTAACTTTCTTTTCTTTAGAAGTTTCATATTTCAGTCTAGGTATGAGATGGAATTGACTGACTGTGATCATTGTTTTTATTTCACTATGACTACTGAGTTTCTGACACAGTGATACTAATGTATAGACTTAAAAGCTTGCCGCTTCCTCCTCCTCCTCCTTCTTCTTCTACTTCTTCTTCCTCTTCTTCTTCTTCTTCACCTCCTCCTCCTCCTCTTCCTCCTCATCCTCCTCCTCCCCGCTTTGGACCTGTCCATGTGATTTCTGCAGTAATATGCACCGTTTTCTGAAATAAGGTTGCTGAAAGATACAAGCGTAAGTGGAGTTCTTTATTTTTGTGAACCTTTAGGAACAGAGAAGTAAAACTGAAACATAGTTGTGATATGAATTTAAGTCTGCAGTTTCTCACAGAAGTACCAAAAGGATGAAAATAAATTTAAAAATACATGGCTTATCCAAAACATGACGTAGAATAATGAAAAATTTAAATTGACATAAAGACCAATTTAAAAGTTATAATTATTCCAGGTGAGAGAAAGTAGCACTAAAAATCCTATTTTCCCTGTTTAAATACATAACTATTACTGTATCTTTAGGCTTAAAAAGTGTTAAGTCTAACTTAAGCAACAACTTGGCAATTTCTAACAATGAGTGCATCATCTTAGAATTTCTCCAAGAATCTTTTGGGAGAAATATAATCTAATCTTGCTCTATAAACAATTGAATTAATCAAGGAAATTATTATGACTGTAGTCTTGCAATTTCATTGTCCTTCTCTTTTCAGTTTTTACATATTCTCTTTAAAATTCAAAATCCCCTAGGGAAAATATGATAAATAACAATGACTGAAACAGTTGAAAAACAAAAACTGAACAGCGGACACATTTCAAGGTTTCCTTTATGAGAATGCTTCACTAACCATGTAATACACACATGATATAAATCACTGTGAGAAAAAAAAATTTGTATAGCTACTTGACAGTTTATACAGTAACAGCAAATATTCTCATTTGAACTTCAAAAGGGTTTTTAAACTTGTGTTTCATAAATGAGGAAAATGTGGTTTCTATTTCCTGTATTTGCCTATTACAGCAGTTATCACACTTATTATTCCTCATTTATCTCTGTGCCTGTAACAACTGCACTCTCAGAAGGACCATGTTTTTCTGAGCTTCTTGCAGACTGCCAGGCTTACTGTGGCATTTAGAAACTATCTGCTGAATGTTTGTGATATCTTAATGCAAGTTAGATTCTAGGCCACTGATACTAATTTTCTATTTAGTATTTGGGTTTGTAGAGCTATTTTTCCTTTTCAGTTTTTTTTCTTTTTTTTTTTTTTTATTATACTTTAAGTTCTAGGGTACATGTTCACAACGTACAGGTTTGTTACATAGGGATACATGTGCCATGTTGGTTTGCTGCACACATCAACTTATCATTTACATTAGGCATTTCTCCTAATGCTATCCCTCCCCAGCCCCGCATCCCACCAACCACCCCATGTGTGGTGTTCCCCACCCTGTGTCCCTGTGTTCTTATTGTTCAACTCCTACTTATGAGTGAGAACATGCGGTGCTTGGTTTTCTGTCCTTGTGATAGTGTGCTTAGTATGATGGTTTTCAGCTTCATCCATGACCTTGCAACCACAAAGAGATACCATCTCATGTCAGTTAGAATGGCAATCATTAAAAAGTCAGAAAACAACAGATGTTGGAGAGGATGTGGAGAAATGGGAATGCTTTTAAGGTTTTTTTTTTTTAAGTATACTATAAGGATATACTTATCTGGACGTGGAGTGGACAGTGAGTGGACAGTGCAGGTCATGGTCAGTGGGACCTCCAAAGGAGGCACCCCATTCAAATTGGAGGCTCTGCAGGAGAGGGCAGCCAGGGCGCAGAGTTCGAAGGCACTCTTGGGGGAGGAGAAGGTGCTGGTGGTGGACAACATCATGGCATGGTCCAGGTGGTGGTTGAGGAGAAGCCTGACATGGAGCCTGGTGGAGGACCAGCAGACAGCCTGGCCCTGGATCCAGCACACCCCAGCCAGCCACAGACTCGCTGGAGGCCCTTCACTTGAAGCAGAGTTCCATGAATAACCAGTCCACATGGCCTGCCCACAGCTGAGATGTAAGCTTTGGCAGAGGTGCCTTCCCAGCCTGGATGGCACAGGGGCCATCAGCCAGGGCATCTCCAGCTTCTGGGCCAGAGGCACATCTTTGCAGCTGCCCATTCGGAATGACTGGCAGCAGGGGGTGGGCATCTGGCTTCTTGGGGTGGGGAGCAGGGGAGCCAAGCAAGGGGCACACGGGGACAACCAGGAGGCAGGGGATGGGGGATAGCGAAGGGAGCTGAGGCCAGGGTCCTGCAGATAGGAGGGCAGCTTGCTTGGGGGTGCCCTGAGAGCACATGGTAGGGACTGGGAGCCAAGCTCAGCACTCACAAGGGAGAATAGGAGCCCCATGGACCCTTCACTCACAGCAGAAACTTGAAGGGCATGTTTCCATGAGAAAGTCCTTGGAGGAAGGGGAGTCTGCAAGCCCATGCCAGCCATAGAAACCACCCTGGCTGCCCATGTCTGTGGCCAGCAGCCTTACCCCAGAAACACAAGGTGCTTAAGACTTGGGTTCACGGTGCACTGGGCTGCTGTCCTCTGCAAGGCAGGCACAAACTCCCCAGATACGCTTTCTTCCTTCTGCCTGTACTGCACCCAAAGAGCTGAGCATATACAACCTCCGTTGCACAAACACCTCCATTACACACATGGAAGCCCCATGGGGAGCAACAGGCACAGCCCTGCAGTCCCCTCTATCCACAGCAGCTCCCTCAAGTGAACACGCCCACCCCTCAGGAAGACCAGGAGAAGAGGGGACTGCACACCTGGACACCCTCAGCAGAGCCAGTCCAGCATCCAGCACACAATGACCATGTGCAGCTCAGCAACTCTGAAGATACAGCCGCCTCACACAACAGCACCCCACACCCAATCCCCTGCCTACTTGTGCCGCCCGCTCCTTGTTGGCAGGAGCTTTCCGGGCCTCCCTCCACCCTCCCACAAGACCACCACAACCACTACCATGCCCCCAACACTGGACAGAGACAGGACCACCAATGCAGGGTACCAGGTCAAAGGTTTTGGGATAGCCCTGCCAAACACTCTCCCAGCTCTTGCAAAGTTGTGGGGTGTTTCCTGGCATGCCCACCCAATCATCTGGAGGTTCCTTGACCAGAGGCAGATTGTGCAGCACACCTACATGTCGGCAGAGTTCAGAAACCATGAGGAAGTCCTGCTAAGTAAGCTACAGGATGGATTTGAAGCTCAGCCTGAGGAGCCGGGGTCTGCGGGACGGGTCCAGGGTCTTGCTCAGGTTGAGGTCCTCCTGGGGCACAGGGGTTCTGAGTGGTAGAGCTGGGAAGGGGCAACACATGCTGCACCCCAGTCAGCAGGCCCTCAGCCCAGATAGATGAAATGGATCCTTTGAGTCTGTCCTCTTCTTCTTGGCATGGCAGGTGGAGGAACTCAGCCATCCCAGGTACCGGCAGCAGGATGAAGTGTTCCTTTTGTCACAACCTTTATTTCCACAATAAAGTGATCATTAAGGAATATCGTGTTCACATCCTTGGTAAGGAGTGCCTCCTGGTGTGGTAGAGGGTGGAGTGTGGGACGCTAGGCCTGGCATGAGCCTTTTTGACTCTTGTTCCAGGATGCAGGGCCACTGGCTCTAGTGTAGTCCAGTGGTTCTAGAGTCATCAGAAGAAGCCCCACCTTCAGTAAGGACACAGCCTACCTGAGCTTCCTCAGCTAGTTGGCTGACTGTGACCACTCAGGGTCAGCCAGGACTGCTGAGGCAGGGGCCGCTGTGGGGCGTCATGGGAAAGGACCTTGCTGGTCTTTCCTTGGCATCTTGGGAACTGGCTTTGAACTATGACCTGACCTTTCACAGACCACTTTCCCCACTCCTCCAGATCATCAGTCAGGGCTTCCGTCTCAATCCCCTGCAGCACTACCTAAGGATTAGGTCCTCAGAGAGGGAACAGAGAGGAGGCCAGGTAAGCAGCCCACAGCTGGGGGCTCAAAGGCCTGTGGGTCCTGCAGCTGTGACACACATGGAGAACTCAAGGCTCAGGGAGGAGCCTGCAGTGAGAAATCCCAGGCCATCCCTGGACTGGGGCAGAAAGGCCCATCAGGGAACTGTAACACTCATATTTCAGAATTGGGGAACCTGAAGTGCCTGAGGCAGAAGTGGCAAAGGTCAATGGGTGAGAAGCAAGGCTCAAGGGATAGCTGTCTCATCATCCTTCTCTGGCTCCCTTCTACGCCTTGAGGCCTGCTACTACCTGGGGCTCAGTTTGGGCTCAACTAGAGTGCACGCAGGGCGTGCCTAGGTCTACGTACTTCTAGAATGGCTATCCCAGCCCTGTCACGTTTTGTTTCAATGACCCCAGGCTCCCCTGACATGCTTTATCCCCTCTGCCATCCTCATTCATGCTTCCCCGGCTCTCAAGACATTTCCTATGACATTAAAAAATAGACATAAAGTTTTTTAAATGCCTTAATAATATAGATGCAGATAAAAGATTTCATTATAAAAAGTGCTTTTCCTCTTTACTTGTATCAAAGTCTTTTTCATGATGGGGAAAAGAATGCAACATACTTTGGTAAGTTAAAAAAGTATAAAAGTAAAAATAAATCCTACTGCAGATGATCAATTAAATGGCAGGGGATCTTCTGTGTGTGTCCAGGGAGGGTACGTGGCTGAGCAGTAAGCCTCACCTGAGTATTGGTGTAGACACCCAGTTTCCCTCGTACCAGTGTGGGTATGGGCACATTCCAGTTTGCGTGTCCAGCCTGTGTGTCTAAGCTGATGCACGCATGTGCACACGTGTGCCTGTGTACCTTTGTGTACCTTGGTTTTGGGAGGGCCGACACTCCTGCCCACAGGTGTGCCTCAAACTCAGCTCTTAAGCTGGCAAGCAGGGTGCCGCTGGGTTTGGCAATCCAACTTCAGGACCCGTGAAGTCTGCATGCTAGGGAGAAGCAAAGAGTCCTCATGGTTCTCACAAATGGCAGAGGGAGGAGGAAAAGGGTGGCTGGCACAAGCTACCTAGAGGAGATGTCATAAACCTGAAATGACACCCAGAGGGATATAAAACCTAGTAGCTGCCTGTGTTTACCTGTGTGTTCGGCTGGGGCATTCAGGTAAGAATCAGTGAAACCTGCAGGGCTTTGGGATTCGCTATTCGGGAATCCCTGTGCACCAGAGTCTCCGGCCCATGAGAGAGGACAGCATGTGGGTCCGGCAGGGCCTGAGTCTCCAGGGAGGGTGGCATTCTCCCTAAGAGGGCATGGGTCAGTAGGTGGAAGAGAAACCTGGGCTGTGGGTTCAGGTAGATGGGACACTTGCCACTTAGCCAGGTGGGAGCTCAGGAGAGGGCCAGGAGAGCCTAACTGGCCGGTGACACCCCGTCCCAGTGCTGGGTGTGCGCACACGAGCTTTGCCCCATGCACCCTCTCCAGGATGCCTCACCTGGGCAGACAGGAAGCAAGGCACACAAGATCCTAAGCTTATGGTCATGAGTGGACCCAGACTGGGGGGTCCCTAGGATCACTGTTCCCAGGAGAACCAGGCATGCAGGGTCTCTTCAGGACAGGGGTAAAATGCATAAGCCCAGCTCTCCACCCAGTGAGTGTCATGCCCTGATGATGTCAGCCATGGCAGATACAGGTCTTCCACCTAGATTGCAGATCCACAGGCTTACAACCTCCCCCTGGCCTTCTCTGGGACAGACCCCTGGACTCTGGAACAGCCAGTGCCCCAGGACTGTTCCTTCCCCGCCTCCAAGCTCGTGGGAGGCTCAGTGAGGACTCTCCTCCTAGTACATGGCCACCCACAGGCACTGTCAACAACCCAGGGCCCTTCTACATTCCGGGGTCCTGCCACCTTACCCAGCAGTGGGATAATGGGAAGGCAAAGAGCGGGAACAGACAGAGCGGGGGCCACAAGCCTCACCCTCCCACATGACAAGGGAATGAGGGGATCCTTCTCAGCGCAGGCAGCTGCTTTCAGAACATACCTGGAGGCACAGCACCAGCTGAGGGATTCACTCTGCCACAGCTGGGCATGGGGGATTTCAACATGTGCCAGGGACCTTGATCCTGGTTGCTGTACCAGGTGTATCTCTCTTCCAGATCACAATATGCTCACACCCTCCTTAACCTGAATGGACTCCTTGTCCTCACCACATGGTGTTAGCGGGAACTGCTACTCCTGGTGCCCCAGCTGCAGTTTCAAGGTGAAGAGATAGAGCAGCACACCCCTGAGTCCTTGTCCTCTTATCCAAGTAATATCCATAGAAATAGTAAAATAGTGGCATATTAGACCTATTGACATTTTTAAGGCTGATCTCTTTATAAGCATTTCATCCATATATTTATGACTTTATCTCATGTATTTTATTTATAACTCTCATTTCAAAATCAATTTTTGCTCAAGTTATTTCAACATATAGCCAAATGTTCAGAGCTATGATACATAGGTTTCAAGTTTAAAAGTCTGTATCTGCTATTATTTTGGGAAAAACCCATCGAGCACTTGTAAAAATAAGGAATTATTAGGCATGACCACTGTAGTGGTCTAAAACACACTTTGAAATTCTTCTCACACCCATTTGAAAATATTCCTGATGGGACTGAACACAGTACTTGCTTGTAATGAATAGAAAACAGTGCAAGCATTTTCTGGATACTGGACCACCTCTGGCCTAGTTTAGAAAAGGTGACACAGCTCTGCCTAACTCTCCTGCTCTCATCCCCCTTAGGAGCCCCCGACCAGTACATCACGAAGTCTAACACCCTGATGACACTATGCAGAAGGGACATCCAATGGAGAGACTCAAAGAAACAGAACAAGATGTCTGAGCATCTCAGCAGTCCAGCCCCTGCTATTTGAGTCACGCTAGCCATGGCACCAGGGAGATGAGAAGACACCCGCCAACGTCCCCAACCTTGGCCATCACTAGATTGCGTCCTCCTGAGTGCCCCAGAACCACAATCATTTGGCTGAGTGACTGCGGGGGATTGCAGAGACTGACAGTTAGTAAATTATAATTATTGTTTAAGCCACTAAGCTTTAGATAATTCTGAAAAGCACTTTAGACTCCTAGAAAAACTGAGTTGTCTACTGACTTAATTGCAGAGAGCTGTAAAGGCCAACATCATGAATGCTAATACCCTGGAAAAGTCAAATCATCGAGACTCTTCTAAACACAACAGATCTTTAATGCCCCTTCGCTATGGCTGGAGAATAATCTAACATGTATCTGATAGAGTTGTTTGAAAGCCTCTGTTCACATCTCTCAGCCTGGTATGGGTCAACTCTGGTCTGCTTTAATTCTAGGCAACTGCAGCAGTTCACGTTCCATTTTAGGTCGTGGCCTACACTGATTTTTTGATCACTGACCGTGTCTTTGTCTGTGTGTGTATGTTTTGTGTGTTATCATATTTTATCTGAGGAGGCTAAATAATAGTACTATAGTTTTGTAAACAGAAAACATTCCAGGAAGTCAGTATTGCTTATAAACTGAGCTTTAAAATAGATATGAAATTAGACATGGCAAGATGCCATGTCTACTATCATACCAAAGCTAGCCAAGCTTGGTGGCCCATGGATATTATCCCAGCTACTTGGAAGGCTGATGCAGGAGAATCCATTGAATCCTGGTGATGGAGTTTGCAGTAAAGTGAGATCACACCACTGTGCTCCAGCCTGGGCAGCACAGCGAGACTCTGTCTCAGAAATAAAAAGAGAATAAAATAATAAAATAGGAGAGATTACTGAAGAGACAAATGCATAAAACTGGGTGGGCATTGTGGCTCACGCCTGGATCCCAGCATTCTCAGAGGATGAGGTGAGTGGATCACTAGAGGACAAGAGTTCAAGACCAGCCCGAGCAAATATTGTGAAACCTGGTCTCTACTGAAAATAGAAATACACACACACACACACACACACACACACACACACACACATACAGGATTGGTGTCATATGACTGCAGTTGCAGTTGCTTAGGAGAGTGTGACTGGACAATTGCTTGAACCCGTGATAAGGAGGGAGCAGTGAGCTGAGATCACGCCACTGCACTCCAGCCTAGGTGACAGGGCAGGATTCTTTCTTAAAAAAAAAAAAATCAGTGAGAGAAAAAGATACAGAGACAAAAAGAAAGAAAGACAGGAAGGAAGAAAGGAAGGGAGGGAAGGAGGAAGGGAATGAAAATTTGTACCTAACAGTTGTAGATACTTTTGGCATACATGTGATATTTTGATACAAGTAATGTGAACTGGTAAGCGAGGGATCAAAGAGGGGATGGGGGTGGGTTAAATTATACTTGCTTAGAAGGAATAATATCTAGTGTTCAGTGGCACAGGATGACTACACTTAATAATGATTTATTGTACATCTCAAAATAATTAATAGAGCGAAGGTGGAATGTCGCTGATACCAAGAAAAGATACGCCAGACTCAGTGAGGTGGAATGTCGCTCATAATGAGAAAAGATATGCCAGACTCAGTGGCTCACGGCTATAATCACAACACTTTGGGAAGCCAGGGAAGGAGGATTATTTCGGTCTGGGAGTTTGAGACCAGCCTGAACAATATATCCAAAGCATTGTCCCTACCACACACACACAAACACAAAAGCTGGGCACGGTGGTTGGTGTGTGTCTGTAATTCCAGCTACTTGGGAGGCTGAAATGGAAGGCTTGCACATTTCAAGCCCGTGTTCAAGGCTGCAGTGAGCTATGATGGTGCCACTGCAGTCTAGGCTGGACAACAGTGTGAGACCTTGTCTCTAAAAAAGAAAAAAGAATCGGTAAGTGCTTGAACTGAAGGATACCCTATTTATTATGTATATATTTGTTGATTGATATAATTATTTTTGTGTTGGAGTCGCACTCTGTCACCCAGGCTAGAGTGCATGGTGCAATATCGGCTCACCGCAGCATCAGGCTCCCAGGTTCAAACCACTGTCCTGCCTGAGCCTCCCAATTAACTGCAACGTACTACAGGCAGGCACCACCATGCCCGGCTAATTTTTGTATTTTTGGTAGAGATGGGGTTTCATGGTGTTGGCCAGCCTGGTCTTCAACTCCTGTCCTAAAGTGCTCTGCAAGCCTCGGCCTCCCCAAGTGTTAGAATTAGAGACCTGAGCCATCACACATGGACAGTAAGATACACAAGACTCGGGAGATTTATCTTTTCACTTCATCCTCACAATGCTACAGGTGAATGAAAACACTCCATAACATGAATAACTCACTTGAAAATCAAAGTTGGTAACTTCTCCCTTTAAAATTATTTGTACCCTTACCCTGTAAAAATTGATGATTCTGTCAAAATTTTTCAAGAAAATACTTCCTCCTTGCAGATTAGTCTGTCAATTGTAAGAATTATGGACTGCAAAACTTCTGGAACTTGATGTATTTCATTTCTTTAGTTTGTATAATCAGGAAAATTAATTCATTTAGTTATTTCGGTCTAAATATTTGTATCATTCAGTGATGTCTTAAAACTTTAAGCAATCCCGTCGGAAACTTTATGCTGTTGTTTATGTTTTATACACTTCACTTTCCCCTAAGTATGAGGTTTAAAGCGTTTCCATTCATATTATCAATTAAATACGATAGGCTGACAGTGGTGGCACACGCCTATAATCTTAGCACTTCGGGAGTCTGAGGAGGGTGGATCAGGATTTTAAGAACAGCCTGGCAAACAAGGTGAAACGCTGTCTGCACTAAAAATACAAAAATTGGCCCCGCTGTGCGGCACACATATCTAATACCAGTTACTCAGGATGCTGAGGCAGGAGAATAGCTTGGATCCAGAAGGCAGCGGTTGCCATAAGCCAAGACAGAGCCACTGCACCCCAGCTTCGGCGACAAAGCTATACACTTCATCTCAAAAAAAAACTGATACTATCCCAACCACTCTAGATTATTCCTATCTGTAAGAACATATTACTAAACCATTACTTACAACATCCACTGTCAAAATATTCAAGAAAAAATTAACGTGGGAACCTCACAAGACAAAACACTTACTTTCCACTATTTAAACTACGAACATTTAAATTCATTATGCTACGCACCTGAGAAACTTAGCTGGTTCACTTCTGATTTAGGTGAAAAAAAAAGTTTTCATTACCGTTATCCTCTTCAGTCACAGAATGCTTCACATAGAATGTTCCGGATGTCTTAAACTTTAGTATCAATACATCTAATGATTTCCTTTGACCTGTACTATTCCTCTAAAAAATAAACGTTTTATGGTGAGGCAGACAGTTTTGTAGTCTTTCTGAAGACTTCTCCAACATTTTAACCTTGTTAGTTTTTAAAGAGAAACAGCCTAATTACAAAACTTGAGCAGCTTGCAAGGGCGACATAACACATCCCTAATTTTGTACCTATGTTCAAAGAAACAAAGGAAAATGTACAACAGACTACACAATTTACTCTCCTATTGAATTTGCTTTAAGCATGCGCGGCTAACCAATAACACCAGGCATCTTGCAGTACATGTCAAATTTTATTGTGAAAATTTTAAGGTAGATATTACATCTAAACACTTTTCAAATAGCATCAACAAGTATGAAATTACTTTGAAAACAATTCCTTTTCCTTTGAATACCTCAAAAAATTCATGGAGGAAGTTAGTATCTACCTCTCTCCACAAAACCAACATGTTTCTTTCAGTAATATGCAGGTAACAATGCAGAAATAACATTTCAATTTTTGATTTGCAAACAAGGATTGGTATGCAATAACTATTATTTTCAATGCTTGCTTTAATATCTGCTCGAGTCTCCTTTTTCAGATCGACTCTCCCCACCATCTACTATAGATGCCACATAACTTGAGCTACCACATGCTTCACGAGGATCAGGGAGCACCCTACCCAGAGAAGGCGGATTCCTTTGGTCTTTTCTGCAAACATGCTCACGATCACAATAATGAAAATCACCACAGCTCGAGTAACTCTCCCAACTTCTGCCATATCTATCTCGTGTATTACTATATGCGTGGCAGGTGCTTCCACCATAGGACATCCGAGGCCCTCTTGCAGGTGGTGCACCATGAGAGGTCCCTGCAGGGTTGGTAAAATAATATGTGGGACTACATTTAAACATTTTTACTGCTATCATTAAAGCATGAATTAGTTAAAGTACTATTTGGAAATATCTGCTTTCCTCCGCCTTTGTTGACAGGATATTAATCAAGGCTTTAATAGTCAGAAGGTTTTATTTAAGAGAAGTGTAAGAGTAGTATTTTGCAGCTTAACAAACTTAATTCTAAAGTAAATGCTCAGTCACATTTTCTTAACGTTAACTGAAGTTCTCACCTTCATATCATTCCCTAGGCTTTATACTGTTAAGAATACTCAATATTTAAACATGTTGCATATGGCCTTTACAATTTTCCTTAGAATTTCATTAAAATAACAATCTGGTCTATTAAATAAAATTCTGTAATTTACAAATCCATCCTGGACCCTTACCGTATCTCTGAAGTGCATCTCTATAAGAACTTCCACTTAGATGTTCAGAATGATCTCTACCAAGGGCCTCACCGTAGCCATCATGATAACTAAATTGAAAAAAAAAAAAGTCTTTTCAATTTCAGAATGAACAATTTAAGAAATCCATTTGATAAATCCAGATAACATGTTAGTACCTATATCCTCTAGAGGAATGTTCATCCCAACTAGAATGACCATAATCACGGTATGCATAGTCTCTATGTGGTGGAGCATAATCCCTGGTTTCTCGGGAACTTGGATGATTTCTGCGTGCACGAGTTGAAGCAAGGAATTTTAAATTGTCACCTTCTAGTATCCAAAACATAACTACATTACAACTTAAACACAATTAAATTGCCAAACATCTAAATAAAATGCCCACAGAGCCCAAATGCCCAAAATGCCCAAATGCCCAAAAAGCACATGAAACAGATACTCATAATCAGTGATTCAGGAAATGCATTTCAAATAAAAAAGGAGCTTCCACACTTCACACACACACACTGGAAGGGCAAAAAATTTTCAAAAGCAGGAAATAACAAGTGTTTGAGAGGATGTAGATAAATTGGAGCCCTGATACAATGTTAGTTGGAATGAACAATTTAAGAAATCTATTTGATAAATCCAGAAAAAGTTACAGTATCTATATCCTCTAGAGGAATGTTCATCCTGCCTAGAATGACCATAGTCTCAGTATGCCTAGCCTCTAGATGGTGGAGCATAATCCCTAGTTTCTCGGGAACTTGGATGATTTGTGTGTGCATAAGTTTAAGCAACAAGTTTTAAATTTTCATCTTCTAGTATCGAATACATGACTAACTTACAACTTTAAATTAAAAGGCCAAACATCTAAATAGGTATTTCTCCAAATAAAATAGGCAAATGCCCAAAAAGGACAAGTGACAGATACTCATATTCAGTGATTCAGAAAATGCATTTCTTTTTGTTTTATTATACTTTAAGTTCTAGCATACATGTGCATGATGAGTTAATGGGTGCAGAAAATGCATTTCAAATCCAAAATGAGATATCATATTTCACACACACAGATGAATGGCAATAGATTTTCAAAAGCAGGAAATAACAAGTGTTTGAGAGGATGTAGATAAATTGGAGCCCTGATACAATGTTAGTTGGAATGAACAATTTAAGAAATCTATTTGACAAATCCAGAAAAATTACAGTACCTATATCCTCTAGAATAACTTTCATGTCGACGAGAATGACCATAATCACGGTATCCATGGCCTCTAGATGGTGGAGCATACTCCCTAGTTTCTCGGGAACTTCGACGATTTCTGTATGCATAAGTTTAAGCAACAAATTTTAAATTTTCAACTTGTAGTATCCGATATATGACTAACTTACAACTTAAACAAAATTAAAAGGCCAAACATCTAAATAGATATTTCTCCAAATAAAATGGGCAAACGCCCAAAAAGCACATGGGACAGATACTCATATTCAGTGATTCAGAAAATGCATTTCTTTTTTTTATTATACTTTAAGTTCTAGGGTCCATGTGCATGACGAGTTAATGGGTGCAGAAAATGCATTTCAAATCCAAAATGAGATATCATATTTCACACACAGATGAATGGCAATAAATTTTCAAAAGCAGGAAATAACAAGTGTTGGAGAGGATGCAGATAAATTGGAGCCCTGATACAATGTTAGTTGGAATGAACAATTTAAGAAATCTATTTGACAAATCCACAAAAAGTTACAGTACCTGTATCCTCTAGAATAACTTTCATCCCGACGAGAATGACCATAATCACGGTATGCATGGCCTCTAGATGGTGGAGCATAATCCCTAGTTTCTCGGGAACTTCGATGATTTCTGTATGCATAAGTTTAAGCAACAAATTTTAAATTTTCAACTTCTAGTATCCGATACATGACTAACTTACAACTTAAACAAAATTAAAAGGCCAAACATCTCAATGGATATTTCTCCAAATAAAATGGGCAAATGCCCAAGATGCACATGGGACACATACTCATATTCAGTGATTCAGAAGACGCATTTCTTTTTTTTTTAATTATACTTTAAGTTCTAGGGTCCATGTGCATGATGAGTTAATGGGTGCAGAAAATGCATTTCAAATCCAAAATGAGATATCATATTTCATACGCACACACTGGAAGGGCAATAAATTTTCAAAAGCAGGAAATAACAAGTGTTTGAGAGGATGTAGATAAATTGGAGCCCTGATAGAACGTTAGTTGGAATGAGCAATTTAAGAAATCTATTTGACAAATTCAGAAAAAGTTACAGTACCTATATCCTCTAGAGGAATGTTCATCCCGATTAGAATGACCATTATCACGGTATGCATAGCCTCTAGATGGTGGAGCATAATCCCTCGTTTCTTGGCAACTTGGATGATTTCTGTGTGCATAAGTTTAAGCAACAAATTTTAAATTTTCAACTTCTAGTATCCAATACATGACTAACTTACAACTTAAACAAAATTAAAAGGCCAAACATCTAAACAGATATTTCTCCAAATAAAATCGGCAAATGCCCAAAAAGCACACGGGACTGATACTCATATTCAGCGATTCAGAAAATGCATTTCTTTTTGTTTCATTATACTTTAAGTTCTAGGATACATGTGCATGATGAGTTAATGGGTGCAGAAAATGCATTTCAAATCGAAAATGGGATATCATATTTCAAACACACATTTGAATGGCAATAAATTTCAAACAGCAGGAAATAACAAGTGTTTGAGAGGATGTAGATAAATTGGATTGCTGATACAATGCTAGGTTGGAACGGAAAATGATGCAGCTACTATGGAGAAATGTGGTGGTTCCTCAAGAAAACAAACATCATTATCATAGGACCATGCAATTCCACTCATATACACCCAGAACCGAGTAAGCACACTCAAACAAATATTGGTGCGTAGAAATACTCGAGTGGAAACAACGCAGATAAAATAATGGGTTAATAGCTTGTGGAAGGAGTGAAGTGCTATGATGTAAATGAACCTTCAGGACATCATGCAAAAGGAGAGGAGACAAATACAAAAAGTCATGTAGTGTTTGAGCACATTAACATTAAATACCCACAACAGGTAAGTTCAGAGGCAGAACACTGACTGGTGTTATCTAGCAGCTGAGGAAAAGGAGAAAATGGGAGGGACTGCTTAACTGGTAGTAGGAGTTTCAATTTGGAGTGATGAAAATGTTCTGGAACTCGATGGAGGTAGTTGTTGCATGGCACAGAATGTATCAAACACCACCTAACTGTTCACCTTATAATATTTAATTTTGTTATGTGAATTTCATCACCACAGGAAAAAAAAATCAACTGTGCTTTTTAATTTTTCCTTTACCCATCGTTAGTTGCATAACCATCATGTCTTGTTGACATGCGATCATTTCTCCAGGAAGATATTGTCGCTCTGCGTGGAGGAACTCCATAATTCTCTCTTCTTTGTGACATGGGACCTTTAACATTCAAATGATGGAACATTACGTAAAGAACACCAAATCTGAAACGCTATTTTCTCTTCTCTCAAACAACTTTTTAAAATTATTTCTTCTATGACTCCATTCTTTGTTTCCTAAATTACTAGACAGACATGACACTGTGAATATTTCTCATGGCTTTGGATAATCCCATGGCTCCCACAAGGCCAGTTCTTCTAATGAAGCTGAAGGCAAACATTAATGCTTAGGTAAAAGTTCATTTGTAATGGTTAATAACTACTTAGTTATTATTTTCCTTTCCATATAAATTACTGATGACTGTGAGTGACACAGGGAAAACACGTAAAACCATCAAACTCTTCACTGATTTTAAAGTTTACATACATTGTTCTTTCTCAGCCAAAGAAGGTAGATTTTCCAATATCATTCAGTCCATCTCACAGACACATAAATACAGCTACCTTTAAATGACTATATGCTAAATGTTTACATAAAAGTTCTTTAACTGGTTGGCTCTATCTTAAATGTTGACAAATTAAAATGTATTAGTGAAGATTTTCTAATGATGGTCAAGATTTGCTTTTACTGCAAAGAAAGCAATGCTATGCAAGGGGTCATTACAACACTGTTGCTGTTTCAAAATAGAAAGTTTCTCCTCTAATATATTCTTCACTTGCTATTCCTTAGCGGTCAGTGTTTCACATATGATACCTTCACTGGCTAATTTTCCAATGGAAATGTGTTGGCTTGGGTATCCTGAAGCCAATAAATACCTCCCTTCACCGATACTCTACGTATGAAATGTAAAATTGAAAATGGCAGTTTTTAACTTCCTCCGTATGCGGATGGAGGACTAAGAAAGAATTTTAATTTGCTCTGCTTAAACTTCCTTGCTAAGAACTTTTATTTATTGTCTTATTTTCTTCTGTTCAGTCTGCAGTCTTACAATTCTTCTCAAAAGTATTACTTGCATTCAACCCTACCGCTCACCTCATGTTGCTGAGTTCTAAATTCTCTCCTCAAATAATTTCAAATCTTACACTAAGGATCTTGTGTTAATGTTTAAACATCCCGGTACAATCTCAATTACTGATTTACATACACCTATATTTCACAACTCTGCATTTCTGTGATATCCACTTAATTTAAGAATTTTGGACTCCTACGTGTCTACCTCTCGAGCCTTAAATTTATTTTTAAATCATATTTAAGCCCAATGACTCCTTGTCTGCTAAATGCTCTTGTAGTTCTTTTGAATCTTCATGCAAGCAGTGAGTATGCCTTGCACATACGCATTACTGAGGTCTCAGAAGCTGGACGGCCAGGCTTAGCGGCTCACACTGTGAGTGAGTGTGGAAGGCTGAGGCAGCTGGACCGCTTGAGCCCCAGGCTTTAACATCAGTTTTGACAATGTAGTCAGATCCTCTCTCTACAAAAACATAGGGAAAAAAATGTAGCTAGGTGTGCTGCTGCATGCCTGTAGTTGCACAAACTCGGGAGGCTGAAACAGCAGAATTGCTTGAGCCCAGGAATTTGAGGCTATAGTAAGCCGTCATCTCACAAATTTGAGGCTACAGTAAGCCGTCGTCTCACATAGTGCACTCTCACCTAGTAAGAGCAAGACTCCAACCCAGCAAAGTCACCGAACAAGCAATTTTTAGAATGGGACACCAGGGGACTTAGGAAATGGAAGAGTTAATTAGATCAAGAAGCCTACCATCAAAGAATACTGCTAGGAACTTTTAGAAAAATTAAGGGGAATTTTCTAGCCAACACAGGATTAAAAGGAATGTTGGCCTCACTCTAATCACTTCTTTGATCTGCAATGAGAAGCTCAAGTATTTCTTCAACATAAATCTGAAATGTACCTAGTGAGATAGAAACTATAATAAAAGCTATCAATCAGTAATTATGCTCACGTATGTGTCACTTCTCTTTTGTTCAATGAACTTAAAGCTAAGCATTCAGCTAAAACGGCTCATTTTTAGTCATACAAAAACTACGGTCTTTCTGTCAGGCAGCATTTACCTTGGCTTCCCATCCAACTATTGCTTCTTGCCACAGCAGAAGGAGCAGATTTTTTCGGAGGAGGACCTCCACTTCTTGAAGATGGACCTCTTTTAACTGGAATGAGTCCCCTAGAATAACTCATCTTGAGATCAGGAGTGTATCCACCATCATCTGTATTTCAAACAAAATCTTTTTAGTTAACTGACGTCACTGTTTCTTAAATGGCTAAGTTTTAGTTGTTTACAAATATTTTCTACATTTTATAACAAATTCACATTTTGTCTAAACTAATAAAATTAGCATTCCTACAAGGTATTAGTACACTTCAAGCATTAAAAGTTCATTTAGAAAATCTAGAAAGAAACTCAAGTATCATAATATATCGGTATGAAGGAGAGATGTGGGAAAATGGGGAGTGAACGGGGGCAGAAATCTATCACTAAAATATCCAAATATAATATACATAAAAATATTAAAAGAAAAATGATAAATGACTGTTTATATCATTCTGTAATGAGGAAAAATTTTCAAAGCACATCATAAAGATAAACTAATTTCCATTCAAAGAAACTCAAATATTTCCAATACCAAGAAATCACATATCAGGAAAATACATTGTCTCTAAAATTTGTTAACACAATATAGAATTCTTAAAATTCCCTTATGAGACACTAATTTTCAGATGAGACTATGCTGAATTTTAACAGTCTTTAAGAATTGCATATTCGGTAATATAAACATATTTTTATACATCTACAAAAACGTAGATATATGCCAATTGCCAGGTGGTGTTACAGGTTAGAATTTATGTACACATTCTCGTCCGTGGCAGAGTATAATTGAAGCTCACCCTCAAGATCAGTGGAGGCAAAACAGCCGTGAAGCTACGCATCTTAAAATGGAGCAAACACTGCAATTTCAACTTGAAAACAATCTCCAATTAATTACATGTCTGGTTATTAAAACTCCAAGCTATTTGTTAGAGTTCTGAAGGTTGGTTAATAGATAATACAAGTTAACCAACAGGTTTATTTATTTATTTATTCAGATGCACTCTTGCCCTATCACGCAGGCTGGAGTGCCATGGCATAACCTTGGCTCACTGCAGCTTTTGCCTCCCAGGTTCCTGTGATTCTCCTGCCTCAGCCTCCTGAGTAGCTGGGATTACAGGTGCACGCCACCAGGCCCAGGCAAATTTTTTTGTATCTTTAGGAGAGACAGGGTTTCACCATGTTGGCCAGGCTGGTCTGGAACTCCTGACCTCGTGGTCCACCTCCCCTGTACTCCCCAGGTGCTGAGGTGACAGGCGTGAGCCACCTCGCACAGCCCATCCAATAGTTTTTTCTTTTTCCTTTTTTTTAAATATATGGTTTGTTTTTCTTTTATATGTAAAGATGGACCCCTCATTTCTATTAAGTAAATCACTCATAAATATCATTTTCAGTGACTCAGCCTCCAGCAAAGAAAGATTCATACATATCTGTGAAGCAGTGGTTTTTAGATCTTTCCAGAGTCACAGACTCTTTTCAGAAATTAAAGTTCTACATTTCTTAAATTGAAAATGCTTTACGGCAGGCCAATGTACAAACTCTCTGTATCAAAATTACAAAGCAATACATTTGCATAGATGTTTCCACATGTAGACACAAGAAAACAAATACTGCAAAATCAATCTTCAGTATTCAGTTACTTCTTCCTGTTGGAAAATTTTAAATATTACATCGTACTTTGATAATACAACTGACACGAAGTTCTGGGCCCTAAAGTAGAAAACTCTAAAGTATAATGAATATAAATGAGTTCTGCAGAAAACCGGTTGAGTACAGGCAATCAGCATTCACAAACACAACTCAGTTTCAAATGTGTGTTACTTCAGTGCAAACTTATTATAATTGTTAAACAAATTTTAGATATTAGTTCAATCATTCTTATAATACACCTTTATAGTACTTAGAAATAAGTTTGCTTATTATCAATAAGCTAATTTTCTCTTCATACAGGAAAGAAAAAAATTAAGAAATTTCAATATCGTCAAACTTATTTTCTTTCAGTCCTATGGTTCCATCTTTATATTTTAAAACATTACCCAGGTGCCCTTCTTGTGAGGGAAGCCACCCTCTTGTTCCTCCACGGCTTCCTCTTGCAGATCTCAGACTTCCTGAAGGGCTTCTGTTTCTCGAAGAAGCTGGTGGTCTCCGCCTACCACCACTTTGAAAAGATGGTTTCTTGGCTTGTTCTACTTTTATTGCTTTTCCATGCAAAGACTAGAAGTATTAAGGGTACTATCAATAACACCGGCACATTTAACGTAAGCACATTTTACAAACATTTTTACATCAACTGTAGTTCAATTTGAGGTATTTTTCTCCCAAAAGGAAACTTTTTTTTCTTCTAAAATGAACACATCTTTCGCAATGCCAAATTTGAGATAGTTACTGAGCACATGCCTTCCATTAAGGGATCAAACACAAATTCTATTATTCAAATTCCTTGAAAACTTTTCCATCATTAAAAAAAAAAAAAACTCAAACATAAAAAAAAAGTTTGACCCATCACACATTCTGTGGAAGAATGTGGCACATCTGTTTTTTACAATATATAATCCACTTCATCTTTGTAGTCACATCACTGATTTGAAAGTTGCAGTGTCCCAATGAAACTCGTGTCATTTAAAAAAAAAATGAGCTTACTTTTTCAGAGTGATTAGGCACATTACTCATTATGAGTTGTTTCTTGTTGGATTTGCTAACACTTCCATAAAATGTCCCCATATGATTTACAATTCTATATTGACTCTAAAAATGTTTCTGTAAATGTGATCCTTGTTTGATCTCATTAAGTTTTCTTGCCTTACTCATTTCTTACATTGCCTTAGACGTGCCCCTAAAAAACGAATCTTAATATAGTACTTCAGGTAATTTCTCAGAAATGCTTAACTATCCTAATTAATTTCATAATAACATTTTTCACTGTAATCTTTTCTACAGGCCACAGCAATTTTTGAAAACAGTTCAGCTAATAATGCGATTTAAAAATTACATGGCTTTTGTTATTTGGAGGAAGGACTTAAATCCCTGAACAAGACCGCTTGCAGCCACATCGCCCGTTGTTCCTACCTTGAAACTTCTTTTGTTATTTCTGGGCTCAAAATATTTTCCCCAGATTTGCCCACGGCTGCTTCCTTCCCAGTGTTCTGAAGTCAGCCAAAATTCCTTAACTGTTAATTCCCCCTGAAAACTCAAAGAACCTCCTTTATTGGCCATCTTAACATTAATGTGCATACAACATTCATAGTTATTTTAACACAATAAAATACGTGAGATGAAGTAATTTAGAAATAACGTTGGCTGGGCGCGGTGGCTCACACCGGTAATCCCAATACTTTGGGAGGCCAAGGCGGGTGGATCATGAGGTGAAGAGATAGAGCTCACCCTGGCTAACAGGGTGAAACCCCATCCCTACTCAAAGTACAAAATTAGCTGGGCGTGGTGGCGCGCCTCTGTAGCCCCTGGTACTGGGAGGCTGAGGCAGGAGAATCGCTTGAACCCGGGAGGCGGAGGTTGCAGTGAGCCAAGATGGCCCCACTGCAATCCAGCCTAGGGCACACAGCGAGTCTCCATCTTAAAAAACAAACAAACGAACAAAAACTTTACACAAATTACCTGCCCTTTTGCTTGAAAACTAGAGGGAAAAAAGAAATTATCATAGCTTCCTATACAGAAGTCAAAATTATCTCCATACCTACCACAAAGCCATGAACCAAAAGCAACTCTCGGTTTCTACCACAGCTTGAAATACTAATTTATAAGGGTGAATAAAAATGTACTTTCTGCTATGTGACAGGAAGTGTGCTAGATGTAACAGAAAGAAAAGCAACTAGCAAGACTTAAATATGCACTATATACAATTTCACGATCAATAGATTAATACATAGTACAGCGAGTAGAAAATACCTACAATACGCAATGAGGAAGAAAATTATGAAATCTAAGTGGTTTTTGAAGCATAAATTTTATTTATGAGCCATACACAGGGAAGGATAATTCTCAAGAAGTCTAAAAAAGCACTTTGGGAATAGCGTGAAGACTAACAGGACCTAAAAACAGATTGGGATAACGTTATTTATTTATTTTATTTATTTTTTGTTTTTTTCAGACGGATTCTTGCTCTGTTGCCAGGCTGGAGTGCATCGGCGTGATCTCGGCTCACTGCAACCTCTGCCTCCTTGGGTTTAACCGATTCCCCTGCCTCAGCCTACTGACTAGCTGGAACTACAGGCACACACAACCAGATGCAGCTAATTTTTTTTTTTGTATTTTAGTAGCGACAGGGTTTCACCATGTTGGCCATTATGGTTTCTTTCTCCTGACCTTGTGATCTGCCCGCCTTGGCCACCCAAAGCGCTGGGATTACACGCATGAGCCACCATGCCCGGCATGATTGGGATAATGTTATAAAGCAAAAAACACTAAAGAGCACAGAATGGAATGCTCTTGACTACAATGTAAAGGAATTCAATAATTAATATCATTACATAGAAGTTTAAAGCTTAAGTAAACACACAATCTCTAGATTTAAGACTCAACAGGACAAGAGACCATTGGTTCAATCAAAACAAGTCCTCAAACACACTGGGGAAATGAGTAATTAGCTATTCATGTTACATAAATCACTCTGGTGACAGGAAAGAAATGTCCTTAGGAGAAAAAGCAAGCATGGAGCCAAGAATGCCAGTTACTTCTTCTGTTATCTGACTTCAATGTTCTCATATTATTTTCTATTTTCAACTACTTAACCTTTCCGTA
Organism: Homo sapiens; assembly: GCF_000001405.40. Taxonomy (NCBI): domain Eukaryota; kingdom Metazoa; phylum Chordata; class Mammalia; order Primates; family Hominidae; genus Homo; species Homo sapiens. The sequence goes on from NC_000024.10 coordinate 21,891,347, forward strand.
AATGTAAAGGTCTTATTTAAATACACTTTCGCAAGAATATATTTTCATAAAATATATTCTTCAAGAAGGAAAGAGTCTTTCCTTCTTGTGCGTCTGTCTAGATGTCTATCCAGTTTGTCTACGCTCTAAAAGTATTTCCATGAATTGGATGTACTTCAATTAATAGCATTTAATAAATATTGACTTATTACTTTCATTTACATGAGGGTTCCTTATAAGTTTTAAAGCTCTTCAAAACCTTTTAAAATCTATTTGCACTCATATCGAAATACAAACATAGAAAAAGGTTACCAAATATTAATTTATGTAATGTTAATTCCAATACCCTTCCAACTACACTTGCACGTATATGGCACAAAAAAGAGGATGGCTTCATGTGTCATTCTACTATCCTCAAAAGTTTAGCAATATTAAAAAGACCTAGAAATATTGTTAATTGAAGAACAGAGTTAGAATATTAGTAATAAGGGACTCTTACCTTTCCATTCATATCTTTGGCAGCATTCTTAGCATCTGCAGGGTTCTCAAAAGTAATAAATGCAAAGCCTCTGGATTTGCTGGTTCGATCCTTTATCAAAAGAACTAAAATATATGAAAACATTTTACATTCATATAATGGACTCATCAAGGTACTCACCATCTAAAGGTTACATCAAACTAAAAAATAATTGCATTTCACATCACTATTATGGTTCTCGATACTCAGTCACCCCTACAGTCAGTCTAGTTTATTCCAGTTTGTTTCGGAACTCCACAGCACATTTACTTTCCCTCATTTTCCTTTCTAAGTAGTAGGTTATCCTTTCCATAGAACCTTAACCTACTACTATGAGAATTTTCCAAATATCAAACAGATACTACAAAATAAGAGTTTAAAATGCATAAGGCATTTTAATGTAGGTATACAATGAACTTTGAAAAAATATATTTTTTCAAAACATATATATATAACATACATATTTTAAACATACCTATTGAAATATACATGTGAAAATACACACACACACACACACACACACACACACACACACACACACACACACGGTTTTAAGAGTTACCTTCTGATATGGGACCATGTTTCCCAAATACTGCTTTAAGCATCTTCTCATTGGTTTCTCTATTGAGGCCACCAATGAAAAGCTTGCCAGGATGATCTGCTTCTACCATTGTGCTGTAAATGGTAAAAAATTATCTATATTTAGATATAAATAAGCTAAAAAGATAAAATTTTATTACATACTGTGCTGAAAACCCAAGTAAAATTCCCTTCCTGAGGCTGACATCTTTTTAGTATTTCTTACTTTATATATGTAAAATTTGTAACACTCAGAGCAAAGGGGCACTAACTTCATGGACAAATGCTGCATTTTAGTATGTACCTGACAAAAATCTCATTTCTAAAAATTAGATAAGAAAAGCTATTGTAATTTTCCTCAGTTGCAATATGAAGAATGTCCCCATTTAAATAATTTTATTTGAAAAGAATCTATTTATGAGGTACAGTGTGATGTTTTGCATATTTTCTTTCTTGAGATGTCTGTCTCCTGTCGCCAAAGTGAACTGCTCACTGCAGGCTCTTCCACCCAGCCTCAACTGATCTTCCTACATCTCAGCTTCCCAAGTAGCTAGTACTACAGGCGCTTTCTACCACAGCTGGGCAATTTTTTGTATTTTTAAAAATAGACAAGGGTTTCCCCATAGTGCCCAAGCTAGTCTCCAAATCTTCGGCTCAAGTGTTCTGCCGGCTTGGGACTACCAAAGTGATGGGATTTCAAGGGTGACTCACCACACTCAGCATGATATTTGGATAAGAGATTAAATCAAGCTACTTAAAATGTTCTAGGAGGAGAATATTTTAAATATTTTACCATCTTTTAGTGATTTGAAATATACAATAGGTCAAAGATCCCCAAACCCTAGCCTTCAACCCGTACCTATCTGTGGCCTGAATGTGATGCCGGAGGATGACCTGCAATACCTGTCTGTGGAGAATGTAACGCCTGAGGATGACCTGAGGTGGTACAGTTTTATCCGGAAACCATCCTCCCTACTCCCTCGCTGGCCCTCCCTGTCCCCGTGACAGCCTCACTGCCCCACCTGGCCTCTGTCACATTGCTCCTACCGGAAGACCCGCCCCACCACGTGCCCCTCGGAGACCTGCCGCCAGCCCCCACTCCCAAACCTGTCCACCTCGCCGCCTTCTTCCCCTGCGCAACCTTTCTCTGAGGAAAAACTGACTTCCACTAAACCAGTCCCTGATGCGAAAATAGCAATGAAAGAGTCCAGTACGTTACCCAGGCTGGTCTCAAACTCCTGACTTCAAGCCATCCTCCGACCTCCACTTCCCAAAATGCTAGGACTACAGGAGTAAGGCAGTGTGCCAGGTTAACAGAATAACTTAAGCGCATCTATTTTGTTCCAGTTTTCGGCTATCTAACTCCATTTGTCTCGATTACACCCACTTATTCGGTTTAAATTATTTACGGTGCCAAAGACACATGAAACGTTTCAAATACTGCCATACAACGAAGGAGACAATCACAGGCTTTACAGAGGCAAACTGAAACTCAGATTATTTGTGGCCCCATATTTCTACATACACTAAAGTAACACAATTTATGTCAAAATTTGATAATTCTTCCAAGCAAATCAGACACGCGACATGTGCTAACCAAAAGTGTGACTTTTTAATCGCAGTGGTTAAGTGTATTGCCTGTATTCTGAATTATCACCACATTCACAGAGAAAACCCGCTTTAATAAAAAGTGCACATGAAAACCAATGGCGGCTTAGCACCATCTCCCACAACTAGTCGGACACATTAGGCAGTTAAAGGTAGAATCCTCAGGAAAAATCAATGAGTTTAACGAAAGTGAGTCTCTTAATAGCACTGAGGAGTTCTTTCCCCACTGACTCCTCCCGTAATTCAACACCCACACATAGAAAACCCATCCCCTTTTATAGACAAAATCCCAAACCTTCGCTTTCTATTCTTGCCGAGAGACCCAGCTGTCCAGAGAAACAGAAAATACCTGCGCTTTTTAGTAGGACAAAGAGCCTGAGGTTCGCCTGGCCCTCAGGCCGTACGTAACCGGCTTCGGAACACCACAGGGCCAACTGCGGGAGGGACAGCTGGAGCTTCCCTGAGAGGGAAGGACGCCGGAAGCCGTGCCCGGAAATCCCGCCTACCTCCAGCGGCCAATCATTGCGAAGGCGGTGGGCGTCAGCCAGTTACTGCAAAGGCTGTGGGCGTGTCCTGAGGCCGCTCCGCCCCAGCAGGCCTGCGGCTCCATCATCTCGCGGTAACTCTTCCGAGACCACGCTTGTGCCACGTGGCGGGCCGCGGTGGATTAAGGCACACGCGAACTGTGAGCCCTTTGCAATTGTGGGCATGGAAGACCTACACCCTAACTGGCATCCTGAGTGTGGCAAGACATTAACTAACCCACAGGGAACACATGAAACATCTCACTTCATTAGGCAGGCTAGGCTGATGGTACTGAATATTGCGGATCCAGAGGGGAGAGAGAGGGACCAGCGCTGCTGCTGGGGCGAGGGCAGCAGCGGTGGCTTGGGGGGATTGGGGCAGGGCGGGTGCGTGGGACTAAAGTCGACTGGTACGTTGCTGAGGTGGAATTCATCTGCACCAGAAGCTGAAACCCTGCAAGGATTCTGTCAGGTCTAGGCAAATACATACTCCGAGTTCCATGGTTCCTCCCTGAGGATGCTGTACTCACAGGGGCATTCCAAAGGACTTCTCATCCTGTGCCCTGGGCACACGGGAGGCCTACCGCCATGGTCGCCAATGCAGTGATCCGTGTGCACTGCTTTGCTGGTGCAGAGGCTCTCACAAGTGCAGTGGTGGCCGTGTGCCTGCTAGCGGGGCTCTGGAAGCCAGGGCCTTGGCATCCGACTCCAGGGCTGCCGTGCGCAGCTAACCCTGCTGGGTAGCTGAGCCCCAGTGTGAGTGTGACAGGCTAAGGGCCCTGTGGGGCCCCCCAGGAACCCTGTTCCACATAGGTGTAGGATGTGGTTCTCAGCAGGGCAAGGCCCGCAGGCCTCTCCTGGAGTTGCCCCCAGAGTTGACGGGTGCCGGGGGGGTGGGGTGGGAGGCACAGGCTTTGCTCTGTTGGAGCCTCAAGGAGGGCACCATGTTAAGGCTGGAGGCTGTGCAGGAGAGGATGGTCTGTGCACAGAGCAGGAAGACAACCCTGGGGGGAGAGGCATGCTAGTGGGGGATGACATCATTGCAGAGATGGAGGTGGTGGCCAAGGAGGAAGGCCAATGTGGAGCCACAGCAGGAGGACCTGCAGGCACAGCCTGGCCCTGGCCCCAGTACGCCCCGGCCAGCAACAGACTCGCTGGACGTCCTTCACTTGGAGCTCGGCTACGTGAATGTCCCAGGCCACAGGGCATCCCCGGCTTCTGGGCCAGAGCCATATCCTTGCAGCTGCCAATTCGGGATGGTTGGCAGCAGGGGATGGGCGCGGAGCTCCCGGGAGCGGAGGTGGGGGGAAACAAGGTGGTAGGCACTGGCGGTCAGCCAGGATTCAGGGCATGGGGGACAACAAGGGGAACTGAGAACAGGCTCATGCGGATAGGAGGGCAGCTTAATTGCATGTGCCCTGAGGGCATGTGGTAGGGACAGGAAGCCAAGCACAGCACTCACCAGGGAGAATAGCAGCGCCAAGGACCCATCATAACAGCAGAAAGTTGAAGGATACGATTCACCGGGAAAGTCCCTGGAGGAAGGGGAGTCTGCATGCCCATGCCAGCCACGGAACTTCCCTGCTCCCCTTGCCTGTGTCCAGCAAGCTTACCCCAGAAACACAAGGTGCTCAAGACTCGGTGTCACTGTGCACGGGGCTGCTGTCCTATGCAAGGCAGGCACTATCTCCCCAGACACAATTTCTTCCCTCTGCCAGCGCTGCACCCAAAGATGTTTAGGCCCTGAGTATATATAAGCTCCCTTGAAACCACTCGAGCTCCACGGGGAGAGCCAGGCACAGCCCCGTAGCTACTTCTACCCACAGCGGTTGCCTGGGGTGGACACGTGCACCCCTCAGGGAGACCAGGAGAAGGAGAGACGGCACACCCAGACAGCAGCAGAGCCTGTCCAGCACCCAGCACAGGAGGGCCTCCTGCAGCTCAGAAACGCCGAGCAAGTAGTCGCCTCACACAACAACACCCCGCCCCCAACCCCCTGCCCACTTCTTCAGTGCCAGCCCCTGGTCAGAGCAGGTTGTCTGGGCCTGCCTCCACCCACCACCAAGACCACCACAGCTCTGATGGTGCCCTCCACGCCAGACAGAGACAGAGGACCTGGAAGGGAAGGTGCCCTGCCCCACACTCTCCGTGCTCTTGCAAAGTTGCAGGGTGTTTCCTTGCACGCCCACCCAATCATCCGGCGGCTCCTTGACCAGAGGCAGATTGTGCGGCACACCGAGATGTTGGCCGGGATCACAAATGATGATGAAGTCCTGCTAAGCTACGTACGTGATGGATTTGCAGGTCGGGCTAAGGAGCCTGAGTCTTCGGGAGGGGTCTGGTGTCTGGGTCAGGTTGAGGTACCCCTGGGACCCGGGGGTGTCTCAATGAGAGAGTTGGGAAGGAGAAACACATGCTTCACCCCAGCTAACAGGTCACCTCACCCCAGCTACATGAAATGCTCCTTTGAGTACGTCCTCTTTCTCCTTCTTGGCCAGGTAAGGGGAGGAAAGCAACTCTTCCGGGTACCGGCAGCAGGATGAAGTTTTCCTTTTATCACAGTCTCTACTTCCACAATGAAGTGATCATTCAGGAGTACTGCCTTGGCATCCTCGGTAAGGAGCGCCTCCCAGCATGGTAGGGGAGCTGGTGTGTGGGAGGGTAGGTCTGGCATGAACCTTCCTGACTCCTCTCTCTGCAGGATACGGGATGTCTCATTCCACTGCAGTCTAGTGGTTGTGGGATCATGAAGGTCAAGCCTCCAGCTGCAGGCCGTACAGCTCCTACCTGACCTTCTTCAGCTGGTTGGCTGACCATGACTGCCCAGGTTCTGGCAGGATTGCTGAGGTGAGCGCCAGGTAGGGCATCATGGGAAAGGATCTTGCTGGTCATTCCTTGGCCTCTGGGGAACTGGCTTTGAGCCATGACCTGAACTAACCTGTACCCACTTCTGCAGTCCCCTAGATCATCAGCCAGAGCCTGTAGCTCAATCCCCTGCAGTACTTCTCCAGGGAGGGAGGCCATTAGAGAGTGAACAGAGAGGAGGCCAGGTGAGCAGTCTGGGGCTGGGGACTGAGAGGCGGTTGATTCCTGGAGTTGTGCCCCACATGGAGAAACCAAGCCTCAGGGAGGTGACTGCAGTGAGCAATCCCACGCCATCCATGGGCTGGCGGAGAAATGGCCATCAAAGAACTGTAACACCCACATTTTAGGATTGGGGCACCTTCAGCCGCCTAAGAGGAATAAGTGTCTAAGGTCAGTGGGTGAGAAGCAAGGCTCAAGTGGTAGCTGTCTCATCATCCCTCACCGGCTGAGGCCTGAGGCCGGCTACCACTTGGGGCTCAGTTTGGGCTCAACCAGGGCCCTCTCACCTTCCACGCAGATATCCTCCCAAGGCCCCTCTCTATGTCTTCCCTGATGGGCTGTCCCACGCCCATCATTTTTTGTTACAATGATCCCAGGCTTCCCTGAGATGCTTTCTGCCCTCTGCCATCATCACCCACACTTCCCTGCCCCACCCTGCCCCACCAGACAAGAGAGGCCGCTACACAGGGAATCTGGAGAACCACACTGGGCTCACAGGGGAGGAAATGTGAAGAGATTGCAAAATGGATGAGCCCTTCATTGTGTGTCCAGGGAGGGAACCTGGCTGGGAATTAAGGCCCACCTGAGTAGTGGTGTGGACACCCAGTGTTACTTATCATGATGAAGACCTGCTTTGTCACATCCCCTAATATTAATATGGAAGTTATTTTCTTGGAACAGTGAAACAATGTGTACAAAGAAATAGTGTTTGTTCAGATTTGTGTAGAAATACTGCAGACGCGTCCCTTTTCCATTACAATTCTTATGTGAGACTTGAAGTGTTTATTGAGTTGTAAGATACATTTTGATGGTTCTGCCCCCAGCAAATTTTATGATCATGTTTGCACTGTAGAGACATGGAATCCAGAAAAGTTTTGAGTGACTTTCAGCTTCTTGTAGAGTACTTACTTGTAAATTTTGAATTTTTTTCCGTATAGTTCTCTTCAGTTTATTATTTTAATTTTATGTGCAAGGTGATTCATTTGTTTTATTTGCCTTTTGTGGAAACTTTGTTTTAATGTACTTTCTGTTTTCCGTTAGATATGCGAGTTGAACTGTGAGTACAAAATTTTTATTTTCATTTTTTAGTTGTTTTGGGGTGTCTGTGTGTGTTTTGAGGAGTACTGCTCTGTCACCCAGGCTGGAGTGAAGTGGCAGGATCTCGGCTCAACCTCAACCTCCGCCTCCCAGCTTCAAGCAATTCCCCTGCCTCGGCCTTCTGAGGAGTTGGGATTACTGGTGCATGCCACCATGTGCAGCTAATTTTTGTATTTTTAGTCAAGACTGGGTTTCACCATATTTGCCAGGCTGGTCTCCGACTCCTCACCTCAACTGATCCACCCACTTTTGCCTGCCAAACTGCCAGGCTTACAGCGTGAGCCACCATGCCCAGCCTCATTTATTTGTTTCTGTATTAGAACCCTTCTTGTATACTCTTCATGTACACACATTTTAGAGTGAATGGAAGAGTGTATTTTATTTATTTAGTCAATAGTAGAATTTTAAACGCAATGTTTTTATTCAGTAAATACAGTATTGTGAATAGGTTAAACCTAGTATAGTATTGTCATTCTCTCTTTCATAAATTTTTCAAGAACGCTGATACTGTTTCCGTCCCCCCGCCTCCGAGGAGAACACGCAGATAGGTCCAAAAAATTGTGGAAGTGAGTGGGTATGAAAATATAATTTGAAGGCCGGACGGGGTGTTTCACGCCTGCAATCCCCACACTTTCGGAGGCCAAGGCTGGTGGATTACCAGACGTCAGAAGTTCAAGACCAGCGGGGTCAACATGGTGAAACCCCACCTCTACTAAATATTCGAAAATTAGCTGGGCATGGTGGCAGGTTCCTGTAATCCTAGCTATTTGGGAGGCTGAGGCAGGAGAATCGGTTGAACCCAAGAGGCGGTGGTTGCAGTGAGCCAAGATCACGCCACTGCACTACAGCCTGGGTCACAAGACCAAAGCTTTGTCTCCACCACCCCACACCCCCCAAGAAAGCATTATTTTGGGAAAAACCCATCCAGCACTTGTAAAAATAAGGAATTATTAGGCATGGCCACTGTAGTGGTCTGAAACACACTTTGAAATTCTTCTCAAACCCATTTGAAAATATTCCTGATGGAACTGAACACAGTACTTGCTTCTAATGTATAGAAAACACTGCAAGCAGTTTCTGGATACTGGACCACCTCTGGCCTAGTTTAGAGACGGTGACACGGCTCTGCCTAGGTCTCCTGCTCTCATGGCGACAAACCCCTTAGGAGCCCCCGACCAGTACATCACGCAGTCTAACACCCTGATAACACTATGCAGAAGGGACATCCAATGGAGAGACTCAAAGAAACAGAACAAGATGTCTGAGCATCTCAGCAGTCCAGCCCCTGCTATTTGAGTCACGCTAGCCATGGCACCAGGGAGATGAGAAGACACCCGCCAATGTCCCCATCTTTGGCCATCACTAGATTGCATCCTCCTGAGCGCCCCTGAACCACATTCATTTGGCTGAGAGACTGAGGGCGATTGCAGAGACTGACAGTTAGTAAATTATAATTATGGTTTTAAGCCACTAAGTTTTAGATAATTCTGAAAAGCACTTTAGACTCCTAGAAAAACTGTGTCGTCTACTGACTTCATTGCAGAGAGCTGTAAAGGCCAACATCATGAATGCTAATACCCTGGAAAAGTCAAATCATCGAGACTCTTCTAAGCACAACAGATCTTTAATGTCCCTTCGCTATGGCTGGAGAATAATCTAACATGTATCTGATAGAGTTGTTGGAAAGCCTCTGTTCACATCTCTCAGCCTGGTATGGGTCAACTCTGGTCTGCTTTAATTCTAGGCAACTGCAGCAGCTCACCTTTCATTTAGGTCGTGGCCTACACTGATTTTTTTTGATCACTGACTGTGTCTTTGTCTGTGTGTGTATGTTTTGTGTGTTACCATATTTTATCTGAGGAGGCTAAATAGTAGTACTATAATTGTTTTGTAAACATAAAACATTCCAGGAAGTCAATATTGCTTATCAATCGAGCTTTAAAACAGATACGAAATTAGACATGACAAGATGCCACGTCTAGTATCATACCAAAGCTAGCCAAGCTTGGTGGCCCGTGGATGTTATCCCAGCTACTTGGAAGGCTGATGCAGGAGAATCCGTTGAACCCTGGTGATGGAGTTTGCAGTAAAGTGAGATCACACCACTGTGCTCCAGCCTGGGCACCAGAGCGAGACGCTGTCTCAGAAATAAAAAGAGAATAAAATAATAAAATAGGAGAGATCACGGGAGAGAGAAATGCATACAACTGGGTGGGCAGTGTGGCTCATGCCTGGATCCCAGCATTTTGAGAGGCTGATGTGGGTGGATCACTAAAGGAAAGGAACTCAAGACCAGCCTGAGCAAATATTGTGAAACCTGGTCTCTACTGAAAATACAAAATATTTGCCAGGATTGGTGTCATATGATTGCAGTCGCAGCTGCTTAGGAGGGTGTGACTGGACAATTGCTTGAACCCGTGATAAGGAGGGAGCAGTGAGCTGAGATCACGCCACTGCACTCCAGCCTAGGTGACAGGGCAGGATTCTTTCTTAAAAAAAAAAAAATCAGTGAGAGAAAAAGATACAGAGACAAAAAGAAAGAAAGACAGGAAGGAAGAAAGGAAGGGAGGGAAGGAGGAAGGGAATGAAAATTTGTACCTAACAGTTGTAAATACTTTTGGCATACATGTGATATTTTGATACAAGTAATGTGAACTGGTAAGCGAGGGATCAAAGAGGGGATGGGGGTGGGTTAAATTATACTTGCTTAGAAGGAATAATATCTAGTGTTCAGTGGCACAGGATGACTACACTTAATAATGATTTATTGTACATCTCAAAATAATTAATAGAGCGAAGGTGGAATGTCGCTGATACCAAGAAAAGATACGCCAGACTCAGTGAGGTGGAATGTCGCTCATAATGAGAAAAGATATGCCAGACTCAGTGGCTCACGGCTATAATCACAACACTTTGGGAAGCCAGGGAAGGAGGATTATTTCGGTCTGGGAGTTTGAGACCAGCCTGAACAATATATCCAAAGCATTGTCCCTACCACACACACACAAACACAAAAGCTGGGCACGGTGGTTGGTGTGTGTCTGTAATTCCAGCTACTTGGGAGGCTGAAATGGAAGGCTTGCACATTTCAAGCCCGTGTTCAAGGCTGCAGTGAGCTATGATGGTGCCACTGCAGTCTAGGCTGGACAACAGTGTGAGACCTTGTCTCTAAAAAAGAAAAAAGAATCGGTAAGTGCTTGAACTGAAGGATACCCTATTTATTATGTATATATTTGTTGATTGATATAATTATTTTTGTGTTGGAGTCGCACTCTGTCACCCAGGCTAGAGTGCATGGTGCAATATCGGCTCACCGCAGCATCAGGCTCCCAGGTTCAAACCACTGTCCTGCCTGAGCCTCCCAATTAACTGCAACGTACTACAGGCAGGCACCACCATGCCCGGCTAATTTTTGTATTTTTGGTAGAGATGGGGTTTCATGGTGTTGGCCAGCCTGGTCTTCAACTCCTGTCCTAAAGTGCTCTGCAAGCCTCGGCCTCCCCAAGTGTTAGAATTAGAGACCTGAGCCATCACACATGGACAGTAAGATACACAAGACTCGGGAGATTTATCTTTTCACTTCATCCTCACAATGCTACAGGTGAATGAAAACACTCCATAACATGAATAACTCACTTGAAAATCAAAGTTGGTAACTTCTCCCTTTAAAATTATTTGTACCCTTACCCTGTAAAAATTGATGATTCTGTCAAAATTTTTCAAGAAAATACTTCCTCCTTGCAGATTAGTCTGTCAATTGTAAGAATTATGGACTGCAAAACTTCTGGAACTTGATGTATTTCATTTCTTTAGTTTGTATAATCAGGAAAATTAATTCATTTAGTTATTTCGGTCTAAATATTTGTATCATTCAGTGATGTCTTAAAACTTTAAGCAATCCCGTCGGAAACTTTATGCTGTTGTTTATGTTTTATACACTTCACTTTCCCCTAAGTATGAGGTTTAAAGCGTTTCCATTCATATTATCAATTAAATACGATAGGCTGACAGTGGTGGCACACGCCTATAATCTTAGCACTTCGGGAGTCTGAGGAGGGTGGATCAGGATTTTAAGAACAGCCTGGCAAACAAGGTGAAACGCTGTCTGCACTAAAAATACAAAAATTGGCCCCGCTGTGCGGCACACATATCTAATACCAGTTACTCAGGATGCTGAGGCAGGAGAATAGCTTGGATCCAGAAGGCAGCGGTTGCCATAAGCCAAGACAGAGCCACTGCACCCCAGCTTCGGCGACAAAGCTATACACTTCACCTCAAAAAAAAACTGATACTATCCCAACCACTCTAGATTATTCCTATCTGTAAGAACATATTACTAAACCATTACTTACAACATCCACTGTCAAAATATTCAAGAAAAAATTAACGTGGGAACCTCACAAGACAAAACACTTACTTTCCACTATTTAAACTACGAACATTTAAATTCATTATGCTACGCACCTGAGAAACTTAGCTGGTTCACTTCTGATTTAGGTGAAAAAAAAAGTTTTCATTACCGTTATCCTCTTCAGTCACAGAATGCTTCACATAGAATGTTCCGGATGTCTTAAACTTTAGTATCAATACATCTAATGATTTCCTTTGACCTGTACTATTCCTCTAAAAAATAAACGTTTTATGGTGAGGCAGACAGTTTTGTAGTCTTTCTGAAGACTTCTCCAACATTTTAACCTTGTTAGTTTTTAAAGAGAAACAGCCTAATTACAAAACTTGAGCAGCTTGCAAGGGCGACATAACACATCCCTAATTTTGTACCTATGTTCAAAGAAACAAAGGAAAATGTACAACAGACTACACAATTTACTCTCCTATTGAATTTGCTTTAAGCATGCGCGGCTAACCAATAACACCAGGCATCTTGCAGTACATGTCAAATTTTATTGTGAAAATTTTAAGGTAGATATTACATCTAAACACTTTTCAAATAGCATCAACAAGTATGAAATTACTTTGAAAACAATTCCTTTTCCTTTGAATACCTCAAAAAATTCATGGAGGAAGTTAGTATCTACCTCTCTCCACAAAACCAACATGTTTCTTTCAGTAATATGCAGGTAACAATGCAGAAATAACATTTCAATTTTTGATTTGCAAACAAGGATTGGTATGCAATAACTATTACTTTCAATGCTTGCTTTAATATCTGCTCGAGTCTCCTTTTTCAGATCGACTCTCCCCACCATCTACTATAGATGCCACATAACTTGAGCTACCACATGCTTCACGAGGATCAGGGAGCACCCTACCCAGAGAAGGCGGATTCCTTTGGTCTTTTCTGCAAACATGCTCACGATCACAATAATGAAAATCACCACAGCTCGAGTAACTCTCCCAACTTCTGCCATATCTATCTCGTGTATTACTATATGCGTGGCAGGTGCTTCCACCATAGGACATCCGAGGCCCTCTTGCAGGTGGTGCACCATGAGCGGTCCCTGCAGGGTTGGTAAAATAATATGTGGGACTACATTTAAACATTTTTACTGCTATCATTAAAGCATGAATTAGTTAAAGTACTATTTGGAAATATCTGCTTTCCTCCGCCTTTGTTGACAGGATATTAATCAAGGCTTTAATAGTCAGAAGGTTTTATTTAAGAGAAGTGTAAGAGTAGTATTTTGCAGCTTAACAAACTTAATTCTAAAGTAAATGCTCAGTCACATTTTCTTAACGTTAACTGAAGTTCTCACCTTCATATCATTCCCTAGGCTTTATACTGTTAAGAATACTCAATATTTAAACATGTTGCATATGGCCTTTACAATTTTCCTTAGAATTTCATTAAAATAACAATCTGGTCTATTAAATAAAATTCTGTAATTTACAAATCCATCCTGGACCCTTACCGTATCTCTGAAGTGCATCTCTATAAGAACTTCCACTTAGATGTTCAGAATGATCTCTACCAAGGGCCTCACCGTAGCCATCATGATAACTAAATTGAAAAAAAAAAAGTCTTTTCAATTTCAGAATGAACAATTTAAGAAATCCATTTGATAAATCCAGATAACATGTTAGTACCTATATCCTCTAGAGGAATGTTCATCCCAACTAGAATGACCATAATCACGGTATGCATAGTCTCTATGTGGTGGAGCATAATCCCTGGTTTCTCGGGAACTTGGATGATTTCTGCGTGCACGAGTTGAAGCAAGGAATTTTAAATTGTCACCTTCTAGTATCCAAAACATAACTACATTACAACTTAAACACAATTAAATTGCCAAACATCTAAATAAAATGCCCACAGAGCCCAAATGCCCAAAATGCCCAAATGCCCAAAAAGCACATGAAACAGATACTCATAATCAGTGATTCAGGAAATGCATTTCAAATAAAAAAGGAGCTTCCACACTTCACACACACACACTGGAAGGGCAAAAAATTTTCAAAAGCAGGAAATAACAAGTGTTTGAGAGGATGTAGATAAATTGGAGCCCTGATACAATGTTAGTTGGAATGAACAATTTAAGAAATCTATTTGATAAATCCAGAAAAAGTTACAGTATCTATATCCTCTAGAGGAATGTTCATCCTGCCTAGAATGACCATAGTCTCAGTATGCCTAGCCTCTAGATGGTGGAGCATAATCCCTAGTTTCTCGGGAACTTGGATGATTTGTGTGTGCATAAGTTTAAGCAACAAGTTTTAAATTTTCATCTTCTAGTATCGAATACATGACTAACTTACAACTTTAAATTAAAAGGCCAAACATCTAAATAGGTATTTCTCCAAATAAAATAGGCAAATGCCCAAAAAGGACAAGTGACAGATACTCATATTCAGTGATTCAGAAAATGCATTTCTTTTTGTTTTATTATACTTTAAGTTCTAGCATACATGTGCATGATGAGTTAATGGGTGCAGAAAATGCATTTCAAATCCAAAATGAGATATCATATTTCACACACACAGATGAATGGCAATAGATTTTCAAAAGCAGGAAATAACAAGTGTTTGAGAGGATGTAGATAAATTGGAGCCCTGATACAATGTTAGTTGGAATGAACAATTTAAGAAATCTATTTGACAAATCCAGAAAAATTACAGTACCTATATCCTCTAGAATAACTTTCATGTCGACGAGAATGACCATAATCACGGTATCCATGGCCTCTAGATGGTGGAGCATACTCCCTAGTTTCTCGGGAACTTCGACGATTTCTGTATGCATAAGTTTAAGCAACAAATTTTAAATTTTCAACTTGTAGTATCCGATATATGACTAACTTACAACTTAAACAAAATTAAAAGGCCAAACATCTAAATAGATATTTCTCCAAATAAAATGGGCAAACGCCCAAAAAGCACATGGGACAGATACTCATATTCAGTGATTCAGAAAATGCATTTCTTTTTTTTATTATACTTTAAGTTCTAGGGTCCATGTGCATGACGAGTTAATGGGTGCAGAAAATGCATTTCAAATCCAAAATGAGATATCATATTTCACACACAGATGAATGGCAATAAATTTTCAAAAGCAGGAAATAACAAGTGTTGGAGAGGATGCAGATAAATTGGAGCCCTGATACAATGTTAGTTGGAATGAACAATTTAAGAAATCTATTTGACAAATCCAGAAAAAGTTACAGTACCTGTATCCTCTAGAATAACTTTCATCCCGACGAGAATGACCATAATCACGGTATGCATGGCCTCTAGATGGTGGAGCATAATCCCTAGTTTCTCGGGAACTTCGATGATTTCTGTATGCATAAGTTTAAGCAACAAATTTTAAATTTTCAACTTCTAGTATCCGATACATGACTAACTTACAACTTAAACAAAATTAAAAGGCCAAACATCTCAATGGATATTTCTCCAAATAAAATGGGCAAATGCCCAAGATGCACATGGGACACATACTCATATTCAGTGATTCAGAAGACGCATTTCTTTTTTTTTTAATTATACTTTAAGTTCTAGGGTCCATGTGCATGATGAGTTAATGGGTGCAGAAAATGCATTTCAAATCCAAAATGAGATATCATATTTCATACGCACACACTGGAAGGGCAATAAATTTTCAAAAGCAGGAAATAACAAGTGTTTGAGAGGATGTAGATAAATTGGAGCCCTGATAGAACGTTAGTTGGAATGAGCAATTTAAGAAATCTATTTGACAAATTCAGAAAAAGTTACAGTACCTATATCCTCTAGAGGAATGTTCATCCCGATTAGAATGACCATTATCACGGTATGCATAGCCTCTAGATGGTGGAGCATAATCCCTCGTTTCTTGGCAACTTGGATGATTTCTGTGTGCATAAGTTTAAGCAACAAATTTTAAATTTTCAACTTCTAGTATCCAATACATGACTAACTTACAACTTAAACAAAATTAAAAGGCCAAACATCTAAACAGATATTTCTCCAAATAAAATCGGCAAATGCCCAAAAAGCACACGGGACTGATACTCATATTCAGCGATTCAGAAAATGCATTTCTTTTTGTTTCATTATACTTTAAGTTCTAGGATACATGTGCATGATGAGTTAATGGGTGCAGAAAATGCATTTCAAATCGAAAATGGGATATCATATTTCAAACACACATTTGAATGGCAATAAATTTCAAACAGCAGGAAATAACAAGTGTTTGAGAGGATGTAGATAAATTGGATTGCTGATACAATGCTAGGTTGGAACGGAAAATGATGCAGCTACTATGGAGAAATGTGGTGGTTCCTCAAGAAAACAAACATCATTATCATAGGACCATGCAATTCCACTCATATACACCCAGAACCGAGTAAGCACACTCAAACAAATATTGGTGCGTAGAAATACTCGAGTGGAAACAACGCAGATAAAATAATGGGTTAATAGCTTGTGGAAGGAGTGAAGTGCTATGATGTAAATGAACCTTCAGGACATCATGCAAAAGGAGAGGAGACAAATACAAAAAGTCATGTAGTGTTTGAGCACATTAACATTAAATACCCACAACAGGTAAGTTCAGAGGCAGAACACTGACTGGTGTTATCTAGCAGCTGAGGAAAAGGAGAAAATGGGAGGGACTGCTTAACTGGTAGTAGGAGTTTCAATTTGGAGTGATGAAAATGTTCTGGAACTCGATGGAGGTAGTTGTTGCATGGCACAGAATGTATCAAACACCACCTAACTGTT
This sequence comes from Homo sapiens, assembly GCF_000001405.40. Classification (NCBI taxonomy): domain Eukaryota; kingdom Metazoa; phylum Chordata; class Mammalia; order Primates; family Hominidae; genus Homo; species Homo sapiens. Next base: position 21,907,892 of record NC_000024.10, read on the forward strand.
CACCTTATAATATTTAATTTTGTTATGTGAATTTCATCACCACAGGAAAAAAAAATCAACTGTGCTTTTTAATTTTTCCTTTACCCATCGTTAGTTGCATAACCATCATGTCTTGTTGACATGCGATCATTTCTCCAGGAAGATATTGTCGCTCTGCGTGGAGGAACTCCATAATTCTCTCTTCTTTGTGACATGGGACCTTTAACATTCAAATGATGGAACATTACGTAAAGAACACCAAATCTGAAACGCTATTTTCTCTTCTCTCAAACAACTTTTTAAAATTATTTCTTCTATGACTCCATTCTTTGTTTCCTAAATTACTAGACAGACATGACACTGTGAATATTTCTCATGGCTTTGGATAATCCCATGGCTCCCACAAGGCCAGTTCTTCTAATGAAGCTGAAGGCAAACATTAATGCTTAGGTAAAAGTTCATTTGTAATGGTTAATAACTACTTAGTTATTATTTTCCTTTCCATATAAATTACTGATGACTGTGAGTGACACAGGGAAAACACGTAAAACCATCAAACTCTTCACTGATTTTAAAGTTTACATACATTGTTCTTTCTCAGCCAAAGAAGGTAGATTTTCCAATATCATTCAGTCCATCTCACAGACACATAAATACAGCTACCTTTAAATGACTATATGCTAAATGTTTACATAAAAGTTCTTTAACTGGTTGGCTCTATCTTAAATGTTGACAAATTAAAATGTATTAGTGAAGATTTTCTAATGATGGTCAAGATTTGCTTTTACTGCAAAGAAAGCAATGCTATGCAAGGGGTCATTACAACACTGTTGCTGTTTCAAAATAGAAAGTTTCTCCTCTAATATATTCTTCACTTGCTATTCCTTAGCGGTCAGTGTTTCACATATGATACCTTCACTGGCTAATTTTCCAATGGAAATGTGTTGGCTTGGGTATCCTGAAGCCAATAAATACCTCCCTTCACCGATACTCTACGTATGAAATGTAAAATTGAAAATGGCAGTTTTTAACTTCCTCCGTATGCGGATGGAGGACTAAGAAAGAATTTTAATTTGCTCTGCTTAAACTTCCTTGCTAAGAACTTTTATTTATTGTCTTATTTTCTTCTGTTCAGTCTGCAGTCTTACAATTCTTCTCAAAAGTATTACTTGCATTCAACCCTACCGCTCACCTCATGTTGCTGAGTTCTAAATTCTCTCCTCAAATAATTTCAAATCTTACACTAAGGATCTTGTGTTAATGTTTAAACATCCCGGTACAATCTCAATTACTGATTTACATACACCTATATTTCACAACTCTGCATTTCTGTGATATCCACTTAATTTAAGAATTTTGGACTCCTACGTGTCTACCTCTCGAGCCTTAAATTTATTTTTAAATCATATTTAAGCCCAATGACTCCTTGTCTGCTAAATGCTCTTGTAGTTCTTTTGAATCTTCATGCAAGCAGTGAGTATGCCTTGCACATACGCATTACTGAGGTCTCAGAAGCTGGATGGCCAGGCTTAGCGGCTCACACTGTGAGTGAGTGTGGAAGGCTGAGGCAGCTGGACCGCTTGAGCCCCAGGCTTTAACATCAGTTTTGACAATGTAGTCAGATCCTCTCTCTACAAAAACATAGGGAAAAAAATGTAGCTAGGTGTGCTGCTGCATGCCTGTAGTTGCACAAACTCGGGAGGCTGAAACAGCAGAATTGCTTGAGCCCAGGAATTTGAGGCTATAGTAAGCCGTCATCTCACAAATTTGAGGCTACAGTAAGCCGTCGTCTCACATAGTGCACTCTCACCTAGTAAGAGCAAGACTCCAACCCAGCAAAGTCACCGAACAAGCAATTTTTAGAATGGGACACCAGGGGACTTAGGAAATGGAAGAGTTAATTAGATCAAGAAGCCTACCATCAAAGAATACTGCTAGGAACTTTTAGAAAAATTAAGGGGAATTTTCTAGCCAACACAGGATTAAAAGGAATGTTGGCCTCACTCTAATCACTTCTTTGATCTGCAATGAGAAGCTCAAGTATTTCTTCAACATAAATCTGAAATGTACCTAGTGAGATAGAAACTATAATAAAAGCTATCAATCAGTAATTATGCTCACGTATGTGTCACTTCTCTTTTGTTCAATGAACTTAAAGCTAAGCATTCAGCTAAAACGGCTCATTTTTAGTCATACAAAAACTACGGTCTTTCTGTCAGGCAGCATTTACCTTGGCTTCCCATCCAACTATTGCTTCTTGCCACAGCAGAAGGAGCAGATTTTTTCGGAGGAGGACCTCCACTTCTTGAAGATGGACCTCTTTTAACTGGAATGAGTCCCCTAGAATAACTCATCTTGAGATCAGGAGTGTATCCACCATCATCTGTATTTCAAACAAAATCTTTTTAGTTAACTGACGTCACTGTTTCTTAAATGGCTAAGTTTTAGTTGTTTACAAATATTTTCTACATTTTATAACAAATTCACATTTTGTCTAAACTAATAAAATTAGCATTCCTACAAGGTATTAGTACACTTCAAGCATTAAAAGTTCATTTAGAAAATCTAGAAAGAAACTCAAGTATCATAATATATCGGTATGAAGGAGAGATGTGGGAAAATGGGGAGTGAACGGGGGCAGAAATCTATCACTAAAATATCCAAATATAATATACATAAAAATATTAAAAGAAAAATGATAAATGACTGTTTATATCATTCTGTAATGAGGAAAAATTTTCAAAGCACATCATAAAGATAAACTAATTTCCATTCAAAGAAACTCAAATATTTCCAATACCAAGAAATCACATATCAGGAAAATACATTGTCTCTAAAATTTGTTAACACAATATAGAATTCTTAAAATTCCCTTATGAGACACTAATTTTCAGATGAGACTATGCTGAATTTTAACAGTCTTTAAGAATTGCATATTCGGTAATATAAACATATTTTTATACATCTACAAAAACGTAGATATATGCCAATTGCCAGGTGGTGTTACAGGTTAGAATTTATGTACACATTCTCGTCCGTGGCAGAGTATAATTGAAGCTCACCCTCAAGATCAGTGGAGGCAAAACAGCCGTGAAGCTACGCATCTTAAAATGGAGCAAACACTGCAATTTCAACTTGAAAACAATCTCCAATTAATTACATGTCTGGTTATTAAAACTCCAAGCTATTTGTTAGAGTTCTGAAGGTTGGTTAATAGATAATACAAGTTAACCAACAGGTTTATTTATTTATTTATTCAGATGCACTCTTGCCCTATCACGCAGGCTGGAGTGCCATGGCATAACCTTGGCTCACTGCAGCTTTTGCCTCCCAGGTTCCTGTGATTCTCCTGCCTCAGCCTCCTGAGTAGCTGGGATTACAGGTGCACGCCACCAGGCCCAGGCAAATTTTTTTGTATCTTTAGGAGAGACAGGGTTTCACCATGTTGGCCAGGCTGGTCTGGAACTCCTGACCTCGTGGTCCACCTCCCCTGTACTCCCCAGGTGCTGAGGTGACAGGCGTGAGCCACCTCGCACAGCCCATCCAATAGTTTTTTCTTTTTCCTTTTTTTTAAATATATGGTTTGTTTTTCTTTTATATGTAAAGATGGACCCCTCATTTCTATTAAGTAAATCACTCATAAATATCATTTTCAGTGACTCAGCCTCCAGCAAAGAAAGATTCATACATATCTGTGAAGCAGTGGTTTTTAGATCTTTCCAGAGTCACAGACTCTTTTCAGAAATTAAAGTTCTACATTTCTTAAATTGAAAATGCTTTACGGCAGGCCAATGTACAAACTCTCTGTATCAAAATTACAAAGCAATACATTTGCATAGATGTTTCCACATGTAGACACAAGAAAACAAATACTGCAAAATCAATCTTCAGTATTCAGTTACTTCTTCCTGTTGGAAAATTTTAAATATTACATCGTACTTTGATAATACAACTGACACGAAGTTCTGGGCCCTAAAGTAGAAAACTCTAAAGTATAATGAATATAAATGAGTTCTGCAGAAAACCGGTTGAGTACAGGCAATCAGCATTCACAAACACAACTCAGTTTCAAATGTGTGTTACTTCAGTGCAAACTTATTATAATTGTTAAACAAATTTTAGATATTAGTTCAATCATTCTTATAATACACCTTTATAGTACTTAGAAATAAGTTTGCTTATTATCAATAAGCTAATTTTCTCTTCATACAGGAAAGAAAAAAATTAAGAAATTTCAATATCGTCAAACTTATTTTCTTTCAGTCCTATGGTTCCATCTTTATATTTTAAAACATTACCCAGGTGCCCTTCTTGTGAGGGAAGCCACCCTCTTGTTCCTCCACGGCTTCCTCTTGCAGATCTCAGACTTCCTGAAGGGCTTCTGTTTCTCGAAGAAGCTGGTGGTCTCCGCCTACCACCACTTTGAAAAGATGGTTTCTTGGCTTGTTCTACTTTTATTGCTTTTCCATGCAAAGACTAGAAGTATTAAGGGTACTATCAATAACACCGGCACATTTAACGTAAGCACATTTTACAAACATTTTTACATCAACTGTAGTTCAATTTGAGGTATTTTTCTCCCAAAAGGAAACTTTTTTTTCTTCTAAAATGAACACATCTTTCGCAATGCCAAATTTGAGATAGTTACTGAGCACATGCCTTCCATTAAGGGATCAAACACAAATTCTATTATTCAAATTCCTTGAAAACTTTTCCATCATTAAAAAAAAAAAAAACTCAAACATAAAAAAAAAGTTTGACCCATCACACATTCTGTGGAAGAATGTGGCACATCTGTTTTTTACAATATATAATCCACTTCATCTTTGTAGTCACATCACTGATTTGAAAGTTGCAGTGTCCCAATGAAACTCGTGTCATTTAAAAAAAAAATGAGCTTACTTTTTCAGAGTGATTAGGCACATTACTCATTATGAGTTGTTTCTTGTTGGATTTGCTAACACTTCCATAAAATGTCCCCATATGATTTACAATTCTATATTGACTCTAAAAATGTTTCTGTAAATGTGATCCTTGTTTGATCTCATTAAGTTTTCTTGCCTTACTCATTTCTTACATTGCCTTAGACGTGCCCCTAAAAAACGAATCTTAATATAGTACTTCAGGTAATTTCTCAGAAATGCTTAACTATCCTAATTAATTTCATAATAACATTTTTCACTGTAATCTTTTCTACAGGCCACAGCAATTTTTGAAAACAGTTCAGCTAATAATGCGATTTAAAAATTACATGGCTTTTGTTATTTGGAGGAAGGACTTAAATCCCTGAACAAGACCGCTTGCAGCCACATCGCCCGTTGTTCCTACCTTGAAACTTCTTTTGTTATTTCTGGGCTCAAAATATTTTCCCCAGATTTGCCCACGGCTGCTTCCTTCCCAGTGTTCTGAAGTCAGCCAAAATTCCTTAACTGTTAATTCCCCCTGAAAACTCAAAGAACCTCCTTTATTGGCCATCTTAACATTAATGTGCATACAACATTCATAGTTATTTTAACACAATAAAATACGTGAGATGAAGTAATTTAGAAATAACGTTGGCTGGGCGCGGTGGCTCACACCGGTAATCCCAATACTTTGGGAGGCCAAGGCGGGTGGATCATGAGGTGAAGAGATAGAGCTCACCCTGGCTAACAGGGTGAAACCCCATCCCTACTCAAAGTACAAAATTAGCTGGGCGTGGTGGCGCGCCTCTGTAGCCCCTGGTACTGGGAGGCTGAGGCAGGAGAATCGCTTGAACCCGGGAGGCGGAGGTTGCAGTGAGCCAAGATGGCCCCACTGCAATCCAGCCTAGGGCACACAGCGAGTCTCCATCTTAAAAAACAAACAAACGAACAAAAACTTTACACAAATTACCTGCCCTTTTGCTTGAAAACTAGAGGGAAAAAAGAAATTATCATAGCTTCCTATACAGAAGTCAAAATTATCTCCATACCTACCACAAAGCCATGAACCAAAAGCAACTCTCGGTTTCTACCACAGCTTGAAATACTAATTTATAAGGGTGAATAAAAATGTACTTTCTGCTATGTGACAGGAAGTGTGCTAGATGTAACAGAAAGAAAAGCAACTAGCAAGACTTAAATATGCACTATATACAATTTCACGATCAATAGATTAATACATAGTACAGCGAGTAGAAAATACCTACAATACGCAATGAGGAAGAAAATTATGAAATCTAAGTGGTTTTTGAAGCATAAATTTTATTTATGAGCCATACACAGGGAAGGATAATTCTCAAGAAGTCTAAAAAAGCACTTTGGGAATAGCGTGAAGACTAACAGGACCTAAAAACAGATTGGGATAACGTTATTTATTTATTTTATTTATTTTTTGTTTTTTTGAGACGGATTCTTGCTCTGTTGCCAGGCTGGAGTGCATCGGCGTGATCTCGGCTCACTGCAACCTCTGCCTCCTTGGGTTTAACCGATTCCCCTGCCTCAGCCTACTGACTAGCTGGAACTACAGGCACACACAACCAGATGCAGCTAATTTTTTTTTTTGTATTTTAGTAGCGACAGGGTTTCACCATGTTGGCCATTATGGTTTCTTTCTCCTGACCTTGTGATCTGCCCGCCTTGGCCACCCAAAGCGCTGGGATTACACGCATGAGCCACCATGCCCGGCATGATTGGGATAATGTTATAAAGCAAAAAACACTAAAGAGCACAGAATGGAATGCTCTTGACTACAATGTAAAGGAATTCAATAATTAATATCATTACATAGAAGTTTAAAGCTTAAGTAAACACACAATCTCTAGATTTAAGACTCAACAGGACAAGAGACCATTGGTTCAATCAAAACAAGTCCTCAAACACACTGGGGAAATGAGTAATTAGCTATTCATGTTACATAAATCACTCTGGTGACAGGAAAGAAATGTCCTTAGGAGAAAAAGCAAGCATGGAGCCAAGAATGCCAGTTACTTCTTCTGTTATCTGACTTCAATGTTCTCATATTATTTTCTATTTTCAACTACTTAACCTTTCCGTAAATGTAAAGGTCTTATTTAAATACACTTTCGCAAGAATATATTTTCATAAAATATATTCTTCAAGAAGGAAAGAGTCTTTCCTTCTTGTGCGTCTGTCTAGATGTCTATCCAGTTTGTCTACGCTCTAAAAGTATTTCCATGAATTGGATGTACTTCAATTAATAGCATTTAATAAATATTGACTTATTACTTTCATTTACATGAGGGTTCCTTATAAGTTTTAAAGCTCTTCAAAACCTTTTAAAATCTATTTGCACTCATATCGAAATACAAACATAGAAAAAGGTTACCAAATATTAATTTATGTAATGTTAATTCCAATACCCTTCCAACTACACTTGCACGTATATGGCACAAAAAAGAGGATGGCTTCATGTGTCATTCTACTATCCTCAAAAGTTTAGCAATATTAAAAAGACCTAGAAATATTGTTAATTGAAGAACAGAGTTAGAATATTAGTAATAAGGGACTCTTACCTTTCCATTCATATCTTTGGCAGCATTCTTAGCATCTGCAGGGTTCTCAAAAGTAATAAATGCAAAGCCTCTGGATTTGCTGGTTCGATCCTTTATCAAAAGAACTAAAATATATGAAAACATTTTACATTCATATAATGGACTCATCAAGGTACTCACCATCTAAAGGTTACATCAAACTAAAAAATAATTGCATTTCACATCACTATTATGGTTCTCGATACTCAGTCACCCCTACAGTCAGTCTAGTTTATTCCAGTTTGTTTCGGAACTCCACAGCACATTTACTTTCCCTCATTTTCCTTTCTAAGTAGTAGGTTATCCTTTCCATAGAACCTTAACCTACTACTATGAGAATTTTCCAAATATCAAACAGATACTACAAAATAAGAGTTTAAAATGCATAAGGCATTTTAATGTAGGTATACAATGAACTTTGAAAAAATATATTTTTTCAAAACATATATATATAACATACATATTTTAAACATACCTATTGAAATATACATGTGAAAATACACACACACACACACACACACACACACACACACACACACACACACACGGTTTTAAGAGTTACCTTCTGATATGGGACCATGTTTCCCAAATACTGCTTTAAGCATCTTCTCATTGGTTTCTCTATTGAGGCCACCAATGAAAAGCTTGCCAGGATGATCTGCTTCTACCATTGTGCTGTAAATGGTAAAAAATTATCTATATTTAGATATAAATAAGCTAAAAAGATAAAATTTTATTACATACTGTGCTGAAAACCCAAGTAAAATTCCCTTCCTGAGGCTGACATCTTTTTAGTATTTCTTACTTTATATATGTAAAATTTGTAACACTCAGAGCAAAGGGGCACTAACTTCATGGACAAATGCTGCATTTTAGTATGTACCTGACAAAAATCTCATTTCTAAAAATTAGATAAGAAAAGCTATTGTAATTTTCCTCAGTTGCAATATGAAGAATGTCCCCATTTAAATAATTTTATTTGAAAAGAATCTATTTATGAGGTACAGTGTGATGTTTTGCATATTTTCTTTCTTGAGATGTCTGTCTCCTGTCGCCAAAGTGAACTGCTCACTGCAGGCTCTTCCACCCAGCCTCAACTGATCTTCCTACATCTCAGCTTCCCAAGTAGCTAGTACTACAGGCGCTTTCTACCACAGCTGGGCAATTTTTTGTATTTTTAAAAATAGACAAGGGTTTCCCCATAGTGCCCAAGCTAGTCTCCAAATCTTCGGCTCAAGTGTTCTGCCGGCTTGGGACTACCAAAGTGATGGGATTTCAAGGGTGACTCACCACACTCAGCATGATATTTGGATAAGAGATTAAATCAAGCTACTTAAAATGTTCTAGGAGGAGAATATTTTAAATATTTTACCATCTTTTAGTGATTTGAAATATACAATAGGTCAAAGATCCCCAAACCCTAGCCTTCAACCCGTACCTATCTGTGGCCTGAATGTGATGCCGGAGGATGACCTGCAATACCTGTCTGTGGAGAATGTAACGCCTGAGGATGACCTGAGGTGGTACAGTTTTATCCGGAAACCATCCTCCCTACTCCCTCGCTGGCCCTCCCTGTCCCCGTGACAGCCTCACTGCCCCACCTGGCCTCTGTCACATTGCTCCTACCGGAAGACCCGCCCCACCACGTGCCCCTCGGAGACCTGCCGCCAGCCCCCACTCCCAAACCTGTCCACCTCGCCGCCTTCTTCCCCTGCGCAACCTTTCTCTGAGGAAAAACTGACTTCCACTAAACCAGTCCCTGATGCGAAAATAGCAATGAAAGAGTCCAGTACGTTACCCAGGCTGGTCTCAAACTCCTGACTTCAAGCCATCCTCCGACCTCCACTTCCCAAAATGCTAGGACTACAGGAGTAAGGCAGTGTGCCAGGTTAACAGAATAACTTAAGCGCATCTATTTTGTTCCAGTTTTCGGCTATCTAACTCCATTTGTCTCGATTACACCCACTTATTCGGTTTAAATTATTTACGGTGCCAAAGACACATGAAACGTTTCAAATACTGCCATACAACGAAGGAGACAATCACAGGCTTTACAGAGGCAAACTGAAACTCAGATTATTTGTGGCCCCATATTTCTACATACACTAAAGTAACACAATTTATGTCAAAATTTGATAATTCTTCCAAGCAAATCAGACACGCGACATGTGCTAACCAAAAGTGTGACTTTTTAATCGCAGTGGTTAAGTGTATTGCCTGTATTCTGAATTATCACCACATTCACAGAGAAAACCCGCTTTAATAAAAAGTGCACATGAAAACCAATGGCGGCTTAGCACCATCTCCCACAACTAGTCGGACACATTAGGCAGTTAAAGGTAGAATCCTCAGGAAAAATCAATGAGTTTAACGAAAGTGAGTCTCTTAATAGCACTGAGGAGTTCTTTCCCCACTGACTCCTCCCGTAATTCAACACCCACACATAGAAAACCCATCCCCTTTTATAGACAAAATCCCAAACCTTCGCTTTCTATTCTTGCCGAGAGACCCAGCTGTCCAGAGAAACAGAAAATACCTGCGCTTTTTAGTAGGACAAAGAGCCTGAGGTTCGCCTGGCCCTCAGGCCGTACGTAACCGGCTTCGGAACACCACAGGGCCAACTGCGGGAGGGACAGCTGGAGCTTCCCTGAGAGGGAAGGACGCCGGAAGCCGTGCCCGGAAATCCCGCCTACCTCCAGCGGCCAATCATTGCGAAGGCGGTGGGCGTCAGCCAGTTACTGCAAAGGCTGTGGGCGTGTCCTGAGGCCGCTCCGCCCCAGCAGGCCTGCGGCTCCATCATCTCGCGGTAACTCTTCCGAGACCACGCTTGTGCCACGTGGCGGGCCGCGGTGGATTAAGGCACACGCGAACTGTGAGCCCTTTGCAATTGTGGGCATGGAAGACCTACACCCTAACTGGCATCCTGAGTGTGGCAAGACATTAACTAACCCACAGGGAACACATGAAACATCTCACTTCATTAGGCAGGCTAGGCTGATGGTACTGAATATTGCGGATCCAGAGGGGAGAGAGAGGGACCAGCGCTGCTGCTGGGGCGAGGGCAGCAGCGGTGGCTTGGGGGGATTGGGGCAGGGCGGGTGCGTGGGACTAAAGTCGACTGGTACGTTGCTGAGGTGGAATTCATCTGCACCAGAAGCTGAAACCCTGCAAGGATTCTGTCAGGTCTAGGCAAATACATACTCCGAGTTCCATGGTTCCTCCCTGAGGATGCTGTACTCACAGGGGCATTCCAAAGGACTTCTCATCCTGTGCCCTGGGCACACGGGAGGCCTACCGCCATGGTCGCCAATGCAGTGATCCGTGTGCACTGCTTTGCTGGTGCAGAGGCTCTCACAAGTGCAGTGGTGGCCGTGTGCCTGCTAGCGGGGCTCTGGAAGCCAGGGCCTTGGCATCCGACTCCAGGGCTGCCGTGCGCAGCTAACCCTGCTGGGTAGCTGAGCCCCAGTGTGAGTGTGACAGGCTAAGGGCCCTGTGGGGCCCCCCAGGAACCCTGTTCCACATAGGTGTAGGATGTGGTTCTCAGCAGGGCAAGGCCCGCAGGCCTCTCCTGGAGTTGCCCCCAGAGTTGACGGGTGCCGGGGGGGTGGGGTGGGAGGCACAGGCTTTGCTCTGTTGGAGCCTCAAGGAGGGCACCATGTTAAGGCTGGAGGCTGTGCAGGAGAGGATGGTCTGTGCACAGAGCAGGAAGACAACCCTGCGGGGAGAGGCATGCTAGTGGGGGATGACATCATTGCAGAGATGGAGGTGGTGGCCAAGGAGGAAGGCCAATGTGGAGCCACAGCAGGAGGACCTGCAGGCACAGCCTGGCCCTGGCCCCAGTACGCCCCGGCCAGCAACAGACTCGCTGGACGTCCTTCACTTGGAGCTCGGCTACGTGAATGTCCCAGGCCACAGGGCATCCCCGGCTTCTGGGCCAGAGCCATATCCTTGCAGCTGCCAATTCGGGATGGTTGGCAGCAGGGGATGGGCGCGGAGCTCCCGGGAGCGGAGGTGGGGGGAAACAAGGTGGTAGGCACTGGCGGTCAGCCAGGATTCAGGGCATGGGGGACAACAAGGGGAACTGAGAACAGGCTCATGCGGATAGGAGGGCAGCTTAATTGCATGTGCCCTGAGGGCATGTGGTAGGGACAGGAAGCCAAGCACAGCACTCACCAGGGAGAATAGCAGCGCCAAGGACCCATCATAACAGCAGAAAGTTGAAGGATACGATTCACCGGGAAAGTCCCTGGAGGAAGGGGAGTCTGCATGCCCATGCCAGCCACGGAACTTCCCTGCTCCCCTTGCCTGTGTCCAGCAAGCTTACCCCAGAAACACAAGGTGCTCAAGACTCGGTGTCACTGTGCACGGGGCTGCTGTCCTATGCAAGGCAGGCACTATCTCCCCAGACACAATTTCTTCCCTCTGCCAGCGCTGCACCCAAAGATGTTTAGGCCCTGAGTATATATAAGCTCCCTTGAAACCACTCGAGCTCCACGGGGAGAGCCAGGCACAGCCCCGTAGCTACTTCTACCCACAGCGGTTGCCTGGGGTGGACACGTGCACCCCTCAGGGAGACCAGGAGAAGGAGAGACGGCACACCCAGACAGCAGCAGAGCCTGTCCAGCACCCAGCACAGGAGGGCCTCCTGCAGCTCAGAAACGCCGAGCAAGTAGTCGCCTCACACAACAACACCCCGCCCCCAACCCCCTGCCCACTTCTTCAGTGCCAGCCCCTGGTCAGAGCAGGTTGTCTGGGCCTGCCTCCACCCACCACCAAGACCACCACAGCTCTGATGGTGCCCTCCACGCCAGACAGAGACAGAGGACCTGGAAGGGAAGGTGCCCTGCCCCACACTCTCCGTGCTCTTGCAAAGTTGCAGGGTGTTTCCTTGCACGCCCACCCAATCATCCGGCGGCTCCTTGACCAGAGGCAGATTGTGCGGCACACCGAGATGTTGGCCGGGATCACAAATGATGATGAAGTCCTGCTAAGCTACGTACGTGATGGATTTGCAGGTCGGGCTAAGGAGCCTGAGTCTTCGGGAGGGGTCTGGTGTCTGGGTCAGGTTGAGGTACCCCTGGGACCCGGGGGTGTCTCAATGAGAGAGTTGGGAAGGAGAAACACATGCTTCACCCCAGCTAACAGGTCACCTCACCCCAGCTACATGAAATGCTCCTTTGAGTACGTCCTCTTTCTCCTTCTTGGCCAGGTAAGGGGAGGAAAGCAACTCTTCCGGGTACCGGCAGCAGGATGAAGTTTTCCTTTTATCACAGTCTCTACTTCCACAATGAAGTGATCATTCAGGAGTACTGCCTTGGCATCCTCGGTAAGGAGCGCCTCCCAGCATGGTAGGGGAGCTGGTGTGTGGGAGGGTAGGTCTGGCATGAACCTTCCTGACTCCTCTCTCTGCAGGATACGGGATGTCTCATTCCACTGCAGTCTAGTGGTTGTGGGATCATGAAGGTCAAGCCTCCAGCTGCAGGCCGTACAGCTCCTACCTGACCTTCTTCAGCTGGTTGGCTGACCATGACTGCCCAGGTTCTGGCAGGATTGCTGAGGTGAGCGCCAGGTAGGGCATCATGGGAAAGGATCTTGCTGGTCATTCCTTGGCCTCTGGGGAACTGGCTTTGAGCCATGACCTGAACTAACCTGTACCCACTTCTGCAGTCCCCTAGATCATCAGCCAGAGCCTGTAGCTCAATCCCCTGCAGTACTTCTCCAGGGAGGGAGGCCATTAGAGAGTGAACAGAGAGGAGGCCAGGTGAGCAGTCTGGGGCTGGGGACTGAGAGGCGGTTGATTCCTGGAGTTGTGCCCCACATGGAGAAACCAAGCCTCAGGGAGGTGACTGCAGTGAGCAATCCCACGCCATCCATGGGCTGGCGGAGAAATGGCCATCAAAGAACTGTAACACCCACATTTTAGGATTGGGGCACCTTCAGCCGCCTAAGAGGAATAAGTGTCTAAGGTCAGTGGGTGAGAAGCAAGGCTCAAGTGGTAGCTGTCTCATCATCCCTCACCGGCTGAGGCCTGAGGCCGGCTACCACTTGGGGCTCAGTTTGGGCTCAACCAGGGCCCTCTCACCCTCCACGCAGATATCCTCCCAAGGCCCCTCTCTATGTCTTCCCTGATGGGCTGTCCCACGCCCATCATTTTTTGTTACAATGATCCCAGGCTTCCCTGAGATGCTTTCTGCCCTCTGCCATCATCACCCACACTTCCCTGCCCCACCCTGCCCCACCAGACAAGAGAGGCCGCTACACAGGGAATCTGGAGAACCACACTGGGCTCACAGGGGAGGAAATGTGAAGAGATTGCAAAATGGATGAGCCCTTCATTGTGTGTCCAGGGAGGGAACCTGGCTGGGAATTAAGGCCCACCTGAGTAGTGGTGTGGACACCCAGTGTTACTTATCATGATGAAGACCTGCTTTGTCACATCCCCTAATATTAATATGGAAGTTATTTTCTTGGAACAGTGAAACAATGTGTACAAAGAAATAGTGTTTGTTCAGATTTGTGTAGAAATACTGCAGACGCGTCCCTTTTCCATTACAATTCTTATGTGAGACTTGAAGTGTTTATTGAGTTGTAAGATACATTTTGATGGTTCTGCCCCCAGCAAATTTTACGATCATGTTTGCACTGTAGAGACATGGAATCCAGAAAAGTTTTGAGTGACTTTCAGCTTCTTGTAGAGTACTTACTTGTAAATTTTGAATTTTTTTCCGTATAGTTCTCTTCAGTTTATTATTTTAATTTTATGTGCAAGGTGATTCATTTGTTTTATTTGCCTTTTGTGGAAACTTTGTTTTAATGTACTTTCTGTTTTCCGTTAGATATGCGAGTTGAACTGTGAGTACAAAATTTTTATTTTCATTTTTTAGTTGTTTTGGGGTGTCTGTGTGTGTTTTGAGGAGTACTGCTCTGTCACCCAGGCTGGAGTGAAGTGGCAGGATCTCGGCTCAACCTCAACCTCCGCCTCCCAGCTTCAAGCAATTCCCCTGCCTCGGCCTTCTGAGGAGTTGGGATTACTGGTGCATGCCACCATGTGCAGCTAATTTTTGTATTTTTAGTCAAGACTGGGTTTCACCATATTTGCCAGGCTGGTCTCCGACTCCTCACCTCAACTGATCCACCCACTTTTGCCTGCCAAACTGCCAGGCTTACAGCGTGAGCCACCATGCCCAGCCTCATTTATTTGTTTCTGTATTAGAACCCTTCTTGTATACTCTTCATGTACACACATTTTAGAGTGAATGGAAGAGTGTATTTTATTTATTTAGTCAATAGTAGAATTTTAAACGCAATGTTTTTATTCAGTAAATACAGTATTGTGAATAGGTTAAACCTAGTATAGTATTGTCATTCTCTCTTTCATAAATTTTTCAAGAACGCTGATACTGTTTCCGTCCCCCCGCCTCCGAGGAGAACACGCAGATAGGTCCAAAAAATTGTGGAAGTGAGTGGGTATGAAAATATAATTTGAAGGCCGGACGGGGTGTTTCACGCCTGCAATCCCCACACTTTCGGA
This sequence comes from Homo sapiens, assembly GCF_000001405.40. Lineage (NCBI taxonomy): Eukaryota > Metazoa > Chordata > Mammalia > Primates > Hominidae > Homo > Homo sapiens. The sequence goes on from NC_000024.10 coordinate 21,922,915, forward strand.
GGCCAAGGCTGGTGGATTACCAGACGTCAGAAGTTCAAGACCAGCGGGGTCAACATGGTGAAACCCCACCTCTACTAAATATTCGAAAATTAGCTGGGCATGGTGGCAGGTTCCTGTAATCCTAGCTATTTGGGAGGCTGAGGCAGGAGAATCGGTTGAACCCAAGAGGCGGTGGTTGCAGTGAGCCAAGATCACGCCACTGCACTACAGCCTGGGTCACAAGACCAAAGCTTTGTCTCCACCACCCCACACCCCCCAAGAAAGCATTATTTTGGGAAAAACCCATCCAGCACTTGTAAAAATAAGGAATTATTAGGCATGGCCACTGTAGTGGTCTGAAACACACTTTGAAATTCTTCTCAAACCCATTTGAAAATATTCCTGATGGAACTGAACACAGTACTTGCTTCTAATGTATAGAAAACACTGCAAGCAGTTTCTGGATACTGGACCACCTCTGGCCTAGTTTAGAGACGGTGACACGGCTCTGCCTAGGTCTCCTGCTCTCATGGGGACAAACCCCTTAGGAGCCCCCGACCAGTACATCACGCAGTCTAACACCCTGATAACACTATGCAGAAGGGACATCCAATGGAGAGACTCAAAGAAACAGAACAAGATGTCTGAGCATCTCAGCAGTCCAGCCCCTGCTATTTGAGTCACGCTAGCCATGGCACCAGGGAGATGAGAAGACACCCGCCAATGTCCCCATCTTTGGCCATCACTAGATTGCATCCTCCTGAGTGCCCCTGAACCACATTCATTTGGCTGAGAGACTGAGGGCGATTGCAGAGACTGACAGTTAGTAAATTATAATTATGGTTTTAAGCCACTAAGTTTTAGATAATTCTGAAAAGCACTTTAGACTCCTAGAAAAACTGTGTCGTCTACTGACTTCATTGCAGAGAGCTGTAAAGGCCAACATCATGAATGCTAATACCCTGGAAAAGTCAAATCATCGAGACTCTTCTAAGCACAACAGATCTTTAATGTCCCTTCGCTATGGCTGGAGAATAATCTAACATGTATCTGATAGAGTTGTTGGAAAGCCTCTGTTCACATCTCTCAGCCTGGTATGGGTCAACTCTGGTCTGCTTTAATTCTAGGCAACTGCAGCAGTTCACCTTCCATTTTAGGTCGTGGCCTACACTGATTTTTTGATCACTGACTGTGTCTTTGTCTGTGTGTGTATGTTTTGTGTGTTATCATATTTTATCTGAGGAGGCTAAATAATAGTACTATAGTTTTGTAAACAGAAAACATTCCAGGAAGTCAGTATTGCTTATAAACTGAGCTTTAAAATAGATATGAAATTAGACATGGCAAGATGCCATGTCTACTATCATACCAAAGCTAGCCAAGCTTGGTGGCCCATGGATATTATCCCAGCTACTTGGAAGGCTGATGCAGGAGAATCCATTGAATCCTGGTGATGGAGTTTGCAGTAAAGTGAGATCACACCACTGTGCTCCAGCCTGGGCAGCACAGCGAGACTCTGTCTCAGAAATAAAAAGAGAATAAAATAATAAAATAGGAGAGATTACTGAAGAGACAAATGCATAAAACTGGGTGGGCATTGTGGCTCACGCCTGGATCCCAGCATTCTCAGAGGATGAGGTGGGTGGATCACTAGAGGACAAGAGTTCAAGACCAGCCCGAGCAAATATTGTGAAACCTGGTCTCTACTGAAAATAGAAATACACACACACACACACATACACACACACACACACACAGGATTGGTGTCATATGACTGCAGTTGCAGTTGCTTAGGAGGGTGTGACTGGACAATTGCTTGAACCCGTGATAAGGAGGGAGCAGTGAGCTGAGATCACGCCACTGCACTCCAGCCTAGGTGACAGGGCAGGATTCTTTCTTAAAAAAAAAAAAATCAGTGAGAGAAAAAGATACAGAGACAAAAAGAAAGAAAGACAGGAAGGAAGAAAGGAAGGGAGGGAAGGAGGAAGGGAATGAAAATTTGTACCTAACAGTTGTAGATACTTTTGGCATACATGTGATATTTTGATACAAGTAATGTGAACTGGTAAGCGAGGGATCAAAGAGGGGATGGGGGTGGGTTAAATTATACTTGCTTAGAAGGAATAATATCTAGTGTTCAGTGGCACAGGATGACTACACTTAATAATGATTTATTGTACATCTCAAAATAATTAATAGAGCGAAGGTGGAATGTCGCTGATACCAAGAAAAGATACGCCAGACTCAGTGAGGTGGAATGTCGCTCATAATGAGAAAAGATATGCCAGACTCAGTGGCTCACGGCTATAATCACAACACTTTGGGAAGCCAGGGAAGGAGGATTATTTCGGTCTGGGAGATTGAGACCAGCCTGAACAATATATCCAAAGCATTGTCCCTACCACACACACACAAACACAAAAGTTGGGCACAGTGATGTGTGTCTGTAATCCCAACTACTTGGGAGGCTGAAATGGAAGGCTTGTGCATTTGAACCCAGGAGTTCGAGGCTGCAGTGAGCCTTGACGGTGCCACTGCAGTCCAGGCTGGACAACAGAGGGAGACCCTGTGTCTAAAAAAGCAAAAAGAAAGAATAAATGCTTGAAATGAAGGATACCTTATTTATTATTTACATATTTGTAGATTTATATAATTATTTTTGATTTGGAGTCTCGCTCTGTCACCCAGGCTAGAGTACATAGTGCAATATTGGCTCACTGCAGCCTCAGGCTCCCAGGTTCAAACAATTCTCCTGCCTGAGCCCCCCAATTAACTGTAACATACTACAGGTGTGCACCACCATGCCCAGCAAATTTTCATATTTTTGCTAGAGATGGGGTTTCATGGTATTGGTCAGGCTGGTCTGGAACTCCCGACCTAAAGTGATCAGCAAGCCTTGGCCTCAAAGTGCTGGAATTAAAAACCTGAGCCGTCACACCTGGGCAGTAAGATACATAAGACTAGGGAATTTTATTTTTTCACTTCATCCTCACAATCCTACATTGTAGGTGAATGAAAACACAACTTCATAACACAAATAACTCACTTGAAAATCCAAGTTGGTAACTTCTCCCTTTAAAATTATTTGCACCCTTACCTATAGAAATTGAAGATGTTGTCAAAATTTTATCAAGAAAATATTTCCTCATTGCAGATTAGTCTGTTAATTGTAAGAATTATGGATTGTAAAACTTCTGGAACTTCATGTATTTCATTTCTTTAGGTTGTACAATGTATAATCAGAAAAATTAATTGGTTTAGTTATTTAAGTCCAAATCTTTTTATTTTTACCATTTGATGATTTATTAAACCTTTAAGCAATCCCCTGTCTGAAATGTTATGCTGCTGTTTTGTTTTATACACTTCACTTCCCAAAAGTATGAGGTTGAAAGTGCTTCCATTCATATAACCAATTAAGTCTGATAGGCTGAGAGTGGTGGCTCATGCCTGTAATCCTAGAACTTTGGCAGTCTGAGGAGGGTGGATCAGGATTTTAAGAACAGGCTGGCAAGTGTGGTGGAACGCTGTCTATACTAAAAATACAAAAAATTAGCCAGCTGTAGTGCACACTTATCTAATACCAGTTACTCAAGATGCTGAGGCAGGACAATAGATTGGACCCAGAAGGTGGAGGTTGTAGTAAGCCAAGATGGAGCCACTGCACCCCTGCTTGGGTGACAAAGCTACATCCCATCTCAAAACAAACAAACAAACAAACAAAAAACTGATAAAATTCCAACCACTCTAGATTATTCCTATTTGTAACAACTTATTACTACACCATGACTTACAACAACCATTGTCAAAACTTTTAAGAAAAAAATAACATGACTACCTCCCAAGACCAAACACTTACTTTCCACCATTTAAACTAGGAAAATTTAATTTCATTATGCTATGCACTTGAGAAACTTAGCTGGTTCACTTTTCATTTAGGTAAAAAAAAGTTTTCATTAGCATTATCCCTCTTCAGTCACAGAATGCTTCAAGTAGAATGTTCTGGATGTCTTAAATTTTAATATCAACCACATCTAATTATTTCCTTTGACCTGTACTATTCCTCTAAAGGATAAACATATGGTGAGGCAGAGAGTCTTGTAGTCTTTCTGAAGACTACTCAAACATTGTAAGCTTGTAAGTTTTTAAAGAGAAACAGCCTATTTAGAAAACTTGTGCAGCTTGCAAGGGAGACATAACATATGCCTAATTTTGTATCTATTTATGTTCAAAGAAATAAAGGAAAATGTTCAACAAACAATGCAATTTACTCTCTTATTGAATTTGCTTTTAAGCATGTGCAGCTGAGCAAAAACATTAGGCATTTTGCATTACATGTAAAATTTTATTCTGAAAATTTTAATGTAGATATTACATCTAAACAGATAGTTTTCAAATAGCATTAGCTAGTATGAAATTACTTGGAAATAAAATTCCCTTTATTTATTGGAAATAAAATTCCTTTGAATACCTCAAAAAATTCATGGAGGAAGTTAGTATCTACCTCTCTCCACAAAACATACATGTTTCTTTTAGTAAGACGCAGGTAACAATGCAGAAATAACAGGTCAATTTTCGATTTGCAAACAAGGTTTAGTATGCAATAACTATTATTTGAATACTTGCTTTCATATCTGCTTCAGCCTCTTTTGTCAGATCCACCTTCCCCACCATCTCCTGTAGATGACAAATATCTTGAGCTACCACATGTTTCACAAGGAGCAGGGTGTACCCTATCCAGAGAAGGTAGATTGCTTTGGTCTTTTCTGTCAACGTGCCCACAATCACGGGAATAAAAATCACCACAGCTCCTTGAGTAACTCTCCCGACTTATGCCATATCTATCTCATTTATTGCTATAATCATGGTGGCTGCTTCCACCATAAGACAACAGAGGCACTCCTGCAGATGGTGCACCATGAGAGGTCCCTGCAGGGGACCCTGCAGGGTTGATAAAATAATATGTTGGACTATATTTAAACATTATTACTGCTATCACTAAAGCATGATTAAGTTAAAGTACTATTTGGAAATATCTACTTTCCTCTGTCTTTGTCAGGATATTAATTATGCCTGCAATAATCAGAAGGTTTTATCAATAAGAAGTGTAAGAGAAGTTATTTTGAAGCTTAACAAATTTAATTCTAAAGTAAAAGTTGAGTCACATTTTCTGAACGTGAACTGAAGTTCTCACCTTCATATCATTCCCTATGCTTTCTTCTGTTAAGAATACTCAATATTTAGACATGTTATATTTGTCCCTCGTAATTTTCCTTAGAATTTCATTAAAATAACGATCTGGTCTATTAAACACAATTCTATAATTTACAAATCCATCCCGGACCCTTACCCTATCTCTGAAATGCATCTCTATAAGAACTTCCACTTGGACGTTCAGAATGATCTCTAACATCACCTCACCACAGCCATCACAATCACTAAATTGAAAAAAAAAATTCTTAATGTCAGAATGAACCATTTAAGAATTCTATTTGACAAATCCAGGAAATGTTGTAATACCTATATCCTCTAGAGAAATGTTCATCCCAACTAGAATGACCATAATCATGGTATGCATAGTCTCTAGACAGTGGAGCATAATCCCTAGATTCTCGGGAAAGTGGATGATTTCTGTGGGCATAAGTTTAAACAACAAATATTAAATTTTCAACTTCTAGTATCCAAAACATAACTAACTTACAACTTAAACAAAATTAAAAGGCCAAACATCTAAACAGATATTTCTCCAAATAAAATAGGCAAATGCCCAAAAAGCACATGGAACAGATACTCATAATCGGTGATTCAGAAAAAGCATTTCAAATCCAAAGTGAGATACCATACTTCCCACACACACTAGAATGGCAATAAAAAGCAGGAAATAGCAAGTGTTTGAGAGGGTGAAGATAAATTGGAACCTTGATACAATGCTAGTTGGAAGGGAAAATGATGCAGCTGCTATGGAGACATGTGGTGTTTCCTCAAGAAAACAAACATAATTATTACAGAACCAAGCAATTCCATTTATATATACACCCAGAATTGAATAAGTGTACTCAAACAAATACTGGAGCATAGAAATACTGTGGTAGAAACAACCCAAATAAAATAATGGGTTAACCGCTTGTGGAAGGATTTAAGTGCTATGATGTAAATGAAACTTCGGGACATGATACAAAAGGAAAGGAGACAGATACAAAAAGTCATGTAGTGTATAAGCCCATTAACATTAAATGCCCACAACATGTAAGTTCAGAGGCAGAGCAAAGACTGATGTTTGCCAGTAGCTGAGGGAAGGAAGAAAATGAAAGGGACTGCTTAACTGGTAGCTGGAGTTTTAGTTTGTAGTCATGAAAATGTTTTGGAACTTGATGGAGTTAGCTGCTGCACAACACAGGATGTATTTAATGCCACCTGTTTACCTTATAATATTTAATTTTATTATGTGAATTTCATCACCATAACAAAAAAAATCAACTTCTAAAAAATATTTTCTTTACCTTTCCTTAATTGCATAACCATCATCTCTTGGTGACATACGGTCATTTCTCCAGGAAGAGATTGGCTCTCTGCATGGAGGACCTCCATAATTCTCTCTTCCACGTGATATGGGACCTTTAATATTAAAATGATGAAACAGGGAAAGAACAGCAAATCCGAAATACTATTTTCTCTTCTCTCAAACAACTTTTTAAAATTATTTCTTCTATGACTCCACTATGACTCCATTTTTCATTCCCTAAATTACTAGAAAGTCATGACACTGTGAATATTTCTTATGGCTTTGGATAATCCCATGGCTACTGCAAGGCCAGTTCTTCTAACAGAGCTGAAGACAGACATTAATTCTTAGGTAAAAGTTCATCTGTAATGGTAAATAACTAGTTAGTTATTGTTTTTCCTTTCATATGAATTACTGATGACTACCAATGATACAGGGAAGACATGTAAAAGCACCAAACTCTTCACAGATTTTTAAGTTTACATCCATTGTCCCTTCTCAGCTGAAGAAGGTAAATTTTCCTATGTTGTTCAATCCACCTCACACGCACAAATGATGCTACCTTTGAATGATTGGATGCTAAATTTTTACATAAAAGGTCTTCTTTATCTCTAAGTGGTTGGCTCTACCTTAAATGTTGACAAATTGAAATATACTAGTGAAAACTTTCTAATGATGGCCAAGATTTACTTTTACTGCAATAAGCAATCCTGTTAAAGGGGTCATTACGACATTGTTGCTATTTCAAAATAGAAAATGTTCTCCTTTAATATACTCTTTATGTGCTGTTCCTTAGAGGTCAGTCTTTCACCTATGATATGTTCACTGGCTAATTTTCCAATGGAAATGTGTTGGCTTATGTATGCTGAAGTCAATAAATATCTAATTTCACCGATACTCTACATATGAAATGTAAAATTGAAAACAGCAGTTTTCAATTTCCTCCATATTGGGGTGGAGGACTAAGTAAGAATTTTAATTTGTTCTGCCTAAACTTCTTTGCTAAGAACTTTTATTTACTGTCTTGCTTTCTTCTGTTCTGTCTGCAATCTTAACAATTCTCCTTCTCAAAAATATTACTTCTATTCAATCCTACCGCTCACCTCAGGTTGCTTAGTTCTAAATTCTCTCCTCAAATAATTTCCAGTCTTACGCTAAGGATCTTGTGTTAATGTTTAAACATCCCGGTAAAATCTTAATTATTGATTTACATGACCTTATATTTCACATCTCTGCACTTCTATGATATCCACTTAATTTAAGAATATTGGACTCCTTCATGTCTACCTTTCAAGACTTGATTTTATTTTTAAATAATAGGTAAGCCCAGTGACTCCTTTTCTGCTAAATGCTCTTGTAGTTCTTTTGAATCTTCATAGAAGCAGTAAGAATGCCTTGCACATAAACATTATTGAGGTCTCAGAAGCTGGATGGTCAGGCTCAGCAGCTCACAGTGCGAGTCAGTGTGGAAGGCAGAGACAGCTGGACTGCTTGAGCCGCTGGCTTTTATGTCAGTTTTGACAATGTAGTGACATCCTCTGTCTACAAAAATACAGGAAAAAAAAATTAGCTAGGTGTGGTGGTGCATGCCTGTAGTTGCAGCAACTCAGGAGGCTGAAACAGGATAATTGTTTGAGCCCAGGATTTTGAGGCTGTAGTAAGCCATCATTTCACCAATGCACTCTGACCTGGTAAGAGCAAGACTCCAACCCAATAAAGAAACTGAACAAGCAATTTTTCAATTGGCTTGCCAGGGGACCACTACCAGGGGACCTAGGAAATGGAAGAATTCATTAGAAGAAGAAGCCTATCATCAAAGAATACTGCTAGGGACTTTTAGAAAAATTAAGGGGAATTATCTAGCAAACACAGGATTAAGAGGAATGTTGGCCTCACTCTAATCACTTCTTTCAACTGCAGTGAGAAGCTCGAGTATTTCTTCAACATAAATCTGAGTGTACCTAGTGAGATAGAAAGTATAATAAAAGCTATTGATCAGTAATTATGCCCAATGATGTGTCACTTCTGTTTTGTTCAATGAACTTAAATTTAAGAATCCAGTTAAAATAGCTCATTTTTAGTCATACAAAAAATATGGTCTTTTATCAGGTAGCATTTACCTTGGCCTCCCATCCAACTATTGCTTCTTGCCATAGCAGAAGGAGCAGATGTTTTAGGAGGAGGACCTCCACTTCGTGAAGATGGACCTCTTTTAATTGGAATGGCTCCCCTAGAAGAACTCGTGTTGAGATCAAGAGCGTATCCACCATCATCTGTATTTCAAACAAAATCATTTTAGTTAACTAGCATCACTGTTTCTTGAATGGCTAAGTTTTGTTGTTTTTCTACATATTATAATGTTACAAATTCACATTTGTCTAAACTAATAAAATTAACATTTCTATATGAAATTAGTACAATTCAAGCAATAAAAGTCTGTTTAGAAAATCTAGAAGGAAACTCAAGAATTATAATATATTGGTGTGAGAGAGAGATGTGGGAAAAATGGGGAGTGAACAGGGAGCAGAAATCTATCAGTAAAATATCTAAGTATAATATACATAAAGAAAAAATATTAAAAAATGATAAATGACTGTTTATATCATTCTATTATGAGGAAAAATTTTCAAAGCATATCAAAAAGATAAACTAAATTCCATTCAAAGAAACTCAAATATTTGCAATATCAAAAGGTGACACATCAGGAAAATATATTATCTCTAAAATTTGTTAACATAGTATAGAATTCTTACAATTTCCTTGTGAAACACTAATTTTCAGATTAGACTATGCTAAATTTTAATAATCTTTAAGAATTGCTTATTAAATAATATAAAAATATTTATATATCTACAAATCTGTAGATATATGCCAATTACTAGGTGGTGTTACAGGTTAGAATACGCACATTCTCATACATGGCAGAGTATTATTGAATCTCACCCTCAAGATCAGTGGAGACAAAATTACCATGAAGCTATGCATCGTAAAATGCAGCAAACACTGCAATTTCAACTTTAAAAACACATCTCCAATTAATTACACATCTGGTCATTAAAACACAAAATTAAAGATCGATTTTTGAAGGTTGGTTAATAGATAATATGTTAACCAATAGGTTGATTGATTGATTGATTGATTGAGATGGACTCTTGCCCTATTGCCCAGGTGGGAGTACAATGGCATTATGTCAGCTCACTGCAGCTTCTCCCTCCCAGGTTCCAGTGATTCTCCTGCCTCAGCCTCCCGAGTAGCTAAGATTAGAAGTATGTGCCACCATGCCAAGCTAATTTTTTGTATTTTTAGGACAGACAGTTTGCACCATGGTTGCCAGGCTGGTCTGGAACTCCTGACCTCCTGGTCCACCCACCCCATACTCCCCAAGTGCTGAGATGACAGGCGTGACCCACCTCGCCCACCCCCATCCAATATATATATATATTTTTAAATACATAGTTTGTTTTTCTTTTTTATGTAGAAATTGACCCCTCATTTCTACTGTGTAAATCACTCATAAATACCATTTTCAGTGACTCACCTTCCAGCAAGAAAGATACATACATATCTGTGAAGCAGTGGTGTTTTGTCCTTTCCAGAGTCATAGACTTTTTTTAGAAATTAAAGTTCTACGTTTCTTAAATTGAAAATGCTTTATGGCAGGCCAATGTACAAACTCTCCATATGAAAATTACAAAGCAATAGATTTGCATACATGTTTGCACATGTATACACAAAAAAAAACAAATATTGGAAAATCAATCCTAAGTACTGAATTACTTTTTTTCCTGTTGGAAAGTTTTAAATATTCCATTGTATTTTGATAATACAACTGATATGAAGTTCTGGGCCCCAAAGTAGAAAACTCTATGAAGTATAGTTAATATAAATGAGTTCTTCAGAAAACCTGTTGAGTACAGGCAATCAGCATTCATAAACTCAATTCAGTTTGAAATTTGTGTTATTTCAATGCAAACTTATTACAATTTTAAAACAAATTTTAGATATTAGTGCAATCATTCTTATAATACACCTTTAGTACTTAGAAATAATTTTGCTTCTTATCAATAAGTTAATTTTCTTATCAATAAGAAAATTACTTCTTACCAATGAGTAAATTTCCCAAAATAAATAAAATTGGGAAATTTTGATATCTTCAAACTTATTTTCTTTCAGTCCTATGGTTCCATCTTTATATTTTAGAACATTACCCAAGTGTCCTTCATGTGAGGGCAGCCACGGTCTTGTTCCTCCACTACTTCCTCTTGCAGATCTCAGACTTCCTGAAGGGCTTCTGTTTCTTGAAGAAGGTGGTGGTCTCCGCCTACCACCACTTGGAAAAGATGGTTTCTTTGCTTGTTCTACTTTTATTTCTTTTCCATCCAAAGACTAAAAGTATTAAGAGTACTATCAATAACGTTGGCAAGATTAAACCTAAGCACATTTTACAAACATTTCTACATCAACTATAGTTCAATTCTAGATATTTTCTCCCAAAGCAAATTTTTTTCCTCCTAAAATGAACACGTCTTTCACAATACCAAATTTGAGACATTAACTGAACACACGCCTTCCATTAAGGGATCAAACACAAATTCTATTATTCAAATTCCTTGAAAACTCCTCAATTATTAAAAAAAAAAACACCTCAAACAAAAAAGATTAACCCATCACACATTCTATGGAAGAATGTGGCATGTATTTTTTTTACAATATATCATCCACTTCATCTTTGTATTCGCATCACTGATTTAAAAGTTTCAGTGTCCCAAGGAAACTTGTGTCATTTAAAAAAATGAGGTTACTTATTCAAAATGATTAGTCACATTAGTCATATGAGTTGTTTCTTGTTTGATCTGCTAACACTTACGTAAAATATCCCCATATGATTTATAATTTTATATTTACTCTAGAAACGTTTCTGTAAATGTGATCCTTGTTTGATCTCATTAAGGTTTCTTGCCTTATTCATTTCTTATTTTGCCTTAGACGTGCCCCTAAAAAATGACTCTTAATATAGTACTTCATGTTGTTTCTCAGAAATGCTTAAATGTGCTAATTAATTTCACAGTAACATTTTTCAGTATGATCTTTTCTATAGGCCAAAGTAATTTTTGAAAACAGTTCAGATAATAAATAACTCTATTTTAAAATTACATGTTTTTTGTTATTTGGGGGAAGATCTTAAATCCCTTACAAGACCTCTTGCAGCCAAATTGCCAGTTGTTCCTACCTTGAAACTTCTGCTGTTATTTCTGGGCCCAAAATATTTTCCCCAGATTTGCGCATGGCTGCTTCCTTCCCAGTGTTTCAAAGTCAGTCAAAATTCCTTAAACTGTTAATTGCCCCTGATAACTCTAAGAACCTCCTTTGTTGGCCGTCTTAACATTTATGTGCATATAACTTCATATTTATGTTTACACAATAAAATATGTGAGATGAAGTAATTCAGAAATAACATTGGCTGGGCGCAGAGGCTCATGCCTGTAATCCTAACACTTTGGGAGGCCAAGGCGGGTGGATCATGAGGTGAAGAGATAGGGATCATCCTGGCCAACTGGGTGAAACCCAGTCTCTACTAAAACTGCAAAAATTAGCTGGGCGTGGTGGCATGTGCCTGTAGTCCCTGCTACTTGGGAGGCTGAGGCAGAGAATTGCTTGAACCCGGGAGGGGGAGGTAGCAGTGAGCCGAGATCGTCCCACTGCAATCCAGCCTGGCAACACTGTGAGACTCCGTCTTAAAAAACAAAAAAACCAAACAAGCAAAAAATCTATGCAAATTACCTGCTCTTGTGCTTGAAAACTAGGGGGGAAAAGGAAATTATCATAGATTACTATACGTAAGTAAAAATTATCTCCACAACTACCACAAATTTACTCTGGGTTTCTACCACAGCTTAAAATACTAATTTATAAGAGTGAATAAAAATGTACTTTCTGCTATGTGTCAGCAACTCTACTAGATGCAACAAAAATAAAAGCAACTAGGAAGCCTTAAATATGCACTGTAGACAATTTAACCATCAATAGATTAATACATGGTACAGTGAGTATAAAATATCTACGATTTGCAACGAGGAAGAAAATAGAAAATTGAAGTTGTTTTTGAAGGATGAATTGTTATTTCTGAGACATACATAGGAAAGAATAATTGTCAAAAAGTCCAAAAAATCATTTTAGGGGTACCATAAAGAGTGACAGGAGCTAAAAACAGATTTGGATAATGTTATAAAGCAGAAAAACAGATTTGGATAATGTTAGAAAGCAGAAAAGCTCTAAAGGGCCCAGAATGGAATGATCTTGACTAGAATGTAAAGGAATTCAATAGTTAATAGAATTACATAAAATTTTAAAGCTTTAGTAAACACACAATCCCTAGATTTAAGACTCAATTGGACAAGAGACCATTGGTTTGATCAAAACACGTTCTCAAACACATTGGGAAAATGAGCAATTAGGTATTCATGTTACATAAATCACTCTGGTGACAGGAAAAAAAACATCCTTAGGAGAAAAGAGCAAGGATGGGGCAAAAAATGCCAGTTACTTCTTCTGTTGTCCAACTTCAATGTTCTGATATTGTTTTCTATTTTCAAGTACTTAACACATCCTTAAATGTGAAGGTCTTATTTAAATGTACTTTCTCAAGAATATATTTGCAGAAAATGGGAGAGAATCTTTCCTTCCTGTGAGTCTGTCTAGATGTCTATCCACAGTTTGTATATGCTATAGAAGTATTTCCATGAATTGGAAGTAATTCCACTGATAGCATTTAAAAAATGTTAACTTAGTCCTTTCATTTAGAGGAGGGTTCCTTCTAGGTTTTAATGCTCTTGGAAACCTTTGAAAATCTATTTACACCCATATTGAAATACAAAAATAGAAAAAAAGTTACCATATATTAATTTATGTAATGTTAATTGCAGTACCCTTCCAAATACACTTGCATGTGTATGGCACAAAGAAGACGATGGCTAAAGCATTTCAGTCCATATGGCATTCTACTATCTTCAACACTTTAGTTATACTAAAAAGACCTAGAAATACTGTTAACTGAAAACCAGAATTAGTGTATTATTAATAAGGGACTCTTACCTTTCCATTCATATCTCTGGCAGCATTCTTAGCATCTGCAGCATTCTCAAAAATAATGACCACAAAATCTCTGGACTTACTGGTTCGACCTTTTATCAAAAGAACTAAGATACATAAAAACATTTTATATTTATAGAATGGACTCACCAAGGTACTAACCATCTGAAAGTTACATCAAACCAAAAAATAACTGCATTTCACATCACTACTATGATTCTTAATACTAAGTCACCCCTATAGTCAGCCTATTTTATTCCAGTTTGTTCCCTAACTCCATAACACATTTACTTTTCCTCATTTTCCTTTCTAAGCAGTAAGTGATTCTTACCCTTCACCTGCTGCTATGAGAATTTTCCAAATATCAGATAGATACTTCAAAATAAGAGTTTACAAATCACAAGGCGTTTTAATGTATGTATACAATGAACTTTGAAAAATACATACTTTAAAATACATACATAACCTACATATTTTAAATAACATATTGAAATATACATACGAAAATACACACAAACAGAGACACGCACACACACAAAACACATGGCTTTAAGAGTTACCTTCCAAAAGGGGACCATGTTTTGCAAATACTTCTTTAAGCACCTTTTCATTGGCTTCTCTATTGAGGCCACCAATGAAAAGCTTGCCATGACAATCTGCTTCTACCATTGTGCTGTAAATGGTTAAAAAAAATCTATATTAGATAAAAATAGACAAACTAAAAAGATAAAATTTTATTACATACTGTGTTGGAAATTCAAGTAAAAGTCCCTTCCAGAGGCTAACATCTTTTTAGTATTTCTTAGTTTAAATATGTAAAATTCATAACATACAGAGCAAAAGGGGCACTGACTTCATGGACAAATGCTGCATTTTATTATGTAGGTGACAAAATCTAATTTATAAAAATTAGATAAGAAAAGCTACTGTAATTTTCCTAAGTTGCAATATGAAGGATGCTCCCAGTTAAATAATTTTATTTGAAAACTATATATTTATGAGGTATGGTGTGATGTTTTGTGTATTTTTTTTTCTTGAGATGTATATCTCCTGTTGCTAAAGTGCACTGCTCACTACAGCCTCCTCCACCCAGACTCAACTGATCCTCCCACGCTTCAGCTTCCCAAGTAGCTGGCTGGGCAATTTTTGTGTGTGTGTGTTTTTTTTGTTTGTTTGTTTGTTTTTAAATAGACATGGTTTTCCTTATATTGCCCAAACTGGTCTCCAACTCCTGGGCTCAAGCAGTCCACTGGCCTGGGACTACCAAAGTGATGGGATTTCAAGTGTGAACCGCCACACCCAGCGTGATATTTGTATGAAAGATTAAATCAAGCTAATTAAAATGTTCTAGGGGGAGATCATTTTAAGTATTTTAGCATCTTTTAGTGATTTGAAATATATAATAGATCAAGGATCCCCAAACACTGGCCTTCACGCCATACCTGTCTGTGGCCTGAATGTAATGCCTGAGGATAACCTGTAATACCTGTCTGTGGAGAATGTAACGCCTGAGGATGACCTGAGGTGGCACAGTTTCATCCGGAAACCTCCCTAGCCGCCTCCCACCCCTCCTGCCCCACCCTGTCCCGGTGACAGCCCCACTGCCCCACCTGCCCCCTCTCACACCTCTTCCACCAGAAGCCCCGCCCCACCACGTGCCCCTCGGGGCCCTGCCGCCAGCCCGTACCCCTAAACGTGTCCATCTCACTGCCTTCTTCCGCTGGGCAACACTTGTCTGAGGAAACATTGTCTTCCACCAACCGGTCCCTGGTGCGAAAATGGCAATAGAGTAAAGGAGCCCATTATGTTATTCAGGCTGGTCTCCAACTCCTGACCTCAAGCCATCCTCCTACCTGCACTTCCCAAAATGCTAGGATTACAAAAGTAAGTCAGTGTGTGAAGATAGTAGAATAACAAGCAGATTTATTTTGTTTTCGTTTAAGTCTATCCAACTCCATTTAACTCCATTACACCCACTTATTCGGTTTAAATTACTTAGGTGCCACAGATACATGAAACATGTTTCAAATACTGTCATACAAGGAAGGAGACAATTACAGGCTTTACAGAGGCAAATTTAAACCGAGGTTATTTATGGCCCCAGACTTCTACATACACTAAAATACGTCAAAATTTGATAATTCCCGCCAAGCAAATCACATATGTGACATGTGCTGACTAAAGTACGGGTTTTTAATCGCAGTGGTTAAGTATGTTGCCTGTATTTTGAATTATGACGACATTCACAGAGAAAAACTGCTTTAATAAAAAGTGCCCATGAAAACAATGGCGCCTTAGCACCATCTCCCAGAACTTGCCCACATGTCAGATATGTCCGACAGTTAAAGGTAGAATCTTCAAGAAAAATCAAAGAGTTTAACAAAAATGAGTTTCTTTAGAGCACTAAGGAGTTCTCTCCCCACTGTCTCCTCCCTTAATTCAAGCCCACATATAGAAAGCCCATTCGCTTTTATAGACAAAATCCCAAACCTTTGCTTTCTAGTCTTGCCGAGAGACCAACCTGTCCAGAGAAACAGAAAATACAGGTGCTTTTCAGGAGGACAAACAGCCTCAGGGTCTCCCGTCACTCAGGTCGTATGCATCCGGCTTCGGGACACCACAGGGCCAACTGCAGGAAAGACCGCTGCAGCTGGCCTGAGTGGGAAGCCATGCCCGGAAATCACGCCTACCTCCAGCCAATCATTGGGAAGGCAGTGGGCATCTGCCAATTATTGCAAGAGCGGTAGGCGTCTCCTGAGGAGCCCCTCCCCTGGGTGGCCTGCAGCTCCATCCTCCCGCGGTAGTCCTCCTCTGAGAAGATGCTTGTGCAAGGTGGTGGTGGGTTCAGGCACACGCAGACTGTGAGCCCTTTGGAATTGTGACATGGAAGACCTATACCCTAACTGGCATCCTGAGTGCCGCAAGCCATTGACTCACAGGGAACACATGAAACATCTCACTTCATTAGGCAGGCTAGGCTGATGGTACTGAATATTGGAGATCCAGAGGCAAGAGAGAGGGTCTAGTCCTGCCTGCTGGGGCAAGGGCAGCGGCGGTGGTTTTCGGGGAGTGGGGCCGAGGGGGCATCTGGGAGGAAAGTCATCTGGCACCTTCCTGGGGTGGAATTCGTCAGCACCGGAATTCAAAACCCCGCAAGGACTCTTTCAGATCTAGGGAAATACAGACTCCAAGTTCCATGCATCCTCCCTAGGATGTTGCACTCCCAGGGGTATTCCAAAGGATCTCTTGTCCTATGCCCTGGGCACACCAGAGACAAGCTGCCGTGGTCGCCCATCCAATGACCTGTGTTCACTGCCTTGGTGGCGCAGAGGCTGCTGTGAGTGCAGCACCCACCGGCCGCGGTGCCTGCTAGCGGGGCTCTGGAAGTCCAGGGCCTCTGCCTATGGCTCCTGTATGCAGCTAACCATGCAGGGAATCTGGACCTCATGGTGACTGCGGCGGACTGTGGGCCCTGCGGGACTCCCCAGGAATCCTGGGTCCACGTAGGTGTGAGACCGTGATTCTCAGCTAGGCGAGGCCCCCGGGCCTCTCGAGGAGCGGCCCCCAGAGTCTAGGGGTGCCAGGGGCGTGGGGTGGGCGGCTCAGACCTTGGTCTGTGGGAGCCCTAGGAGGGCACCGTGTTAAGTCTGGAGGCTCTGCGGGAGAGGGCGGCCTGGGGGGAAGAGGCGTGCTCCTGGTAAATGACATCACGACAGAAGTGGAAGTGGTGGCCAAGGAAGAGGCCGACGTGGAGCAGCAGCAGGAGGACCACTGGGCAGAGCCGGGCCCTGGCCCCAGTATGCCCCGGCCCGCAACGGACTCGCTGGAGGTCCATCATTTGCAGCTGGGCTTTGTAAATGCCTCAAGCCACAGGGCATCCCCGGTTTCCGGGCCAGAGCCATGTCTTCGCAGCTGCTAATTCGGGATGGCTGGCAGCAGGGGGTGGGCGCCTAGGTCCCAGGAGCAGGGTTGCGGGGAGCCAGCTGGTAGGCACTGGAGGTCATCCAGGAGTCAGGGGATGAGGAACAATGAAGGGAGCAGAGGCCAGACTTCTGCAGATAGGAGGGCAGCTTGCTTGCAGTTGCCCTGAGAGCACGTAGAGTAGGGACAGGAAGCAAAGCACAGCACTCACAAGAGAGAATAGGAGCGCAAAGGACCCTTTATGCACTGCAGAAAGTCGAAGGGCACATTTCCCTGGGAAAGTCCCTGGAGGAAGGGGAGTCTCTATGCCCATGCCAGCCATGGAACTACCCCTATTCCCTGTGCCTGTGACCAGCAGGCTTACCCCAGAAACACATGGTGCTCAAGACTTGGGCCCAGATATGGACCAGGGTCACAAATGATGAAGTCCTGCTGAGCTACATGATGGATTTGCAGGTTAGGCTGCTGAGCCTGAATCTGTGGGAGTGGTCCAGTGCCTGGGTGAGGTTGCGGTCCCCCTGGGGCCCAGGGGTGTCTAAGCAGGACAGCTGAGAAGGGGAAACACATGCTTCACTCCAGCTAGCAGGCCACTTCAGTCCAGCTACATGAAATGGTCCTTTGAGTCCATCCTGTTTCTCCTTCTTGACCAGGTAGATGGAGGAACTCAGCCACCCCAGGTACTGGCATCAGGATGAAGGTTTCCTTTTGTAACAGCCTTTACTTCCACAATGAAGTGATCATTCAGGAGTACTGCGTTGGCATCCTTGGTAAGGAGTGCCTCCCAGCAAGGTAGGGGAGGTTGTGTGTGGGAGGGTATGTCTGGCATGAACCTTCCTGATTCCTATCCCTCCAAGAAACAGGGTGTCTCATTCCACTGCAGTCCAGTGGTTGTGGGATCATGAAGGTCAAGCCTCCAGCTGCAGGCAGTACACCTACATCTGACCTTCTTCAGCTGGTTGGTTGCCCCTGGCTACCCAGGTCCCGGCAGGATTGCTGAGATGGGTGCCACGGTGGGGCATCATGGGAAAAACCTTGCTGGTCATTCCTTGGCCTCTGGGGAACTGGCTTTGAGCCATGACCTGACCTGTCCTGTACCCCCTTCTTCAGTCCCCCAGATCATCAGCCAGGGCCTGTGGCTCAATCCCCTTCAGTACTTCCCGAGGGAGGGAGGCCATTAGAGAGGGAACAGAGAGGAGGTCAGGTTAGGAGAACCCAAGCTTCAGGGAAGAGACTGCAGTGAGCAATCCCAGGCCATCCATGGGCTGAAGGAGAAACGGACTTCAGGGAACTGTAACACTCACATTTCAGGATTAGGGCACCTTAAGTCACCTGAGAGGCATAAGTGTCTAAGGTCAGTGGGTGAGAAGCAAGTCTTAAGGGATAACTTGCTCAACATCTCTAGTTGGCTCCCTTCCCCACCCTGAGGCTGACTAACACTTGGGGCTCAGTTTGGGCTCAACCAGGGCCCTCTCACCCTCCATGCAGATGTCCCCCCAAGGCCTGTCTAGGTCTGCGTCCTCCCAGAATGGCTCTCCCAGGCCCATCATTTTCGGTTACGATGAACCCAGGCTCCCCTGACGTGATTTCTCCTTTCTGCCGTCTTCACTCACACTTCCCTGCTACCCAGACAAAAGAGGCCACTACACAGAGAATCTGGAGGACCACATTGGGCTCAGAGGAGGAAATGTGAAGAGACTGCAAAATGGCTGACTCCTCTGGTATGTGCCCAGGGAGGGAAACTGGCCGGGAATTAAGACCCACTTGGGTACTGGTGTGGACACCCAGTGTTGCTTATCATGATGAAGACCTGCTTTGTCGCATCACCTAATATTAATATGGAGGTTATTTTCTTAGAATAGTGAAACAAAGAGTATGAAGAAATAGTGTTTGTTCAGATTTGTGTGGAAATACTGCAGACACATCCATTTTCTGTTACAATTCTTATGTGAGACTTGAAGTGCTTACTGAGTTTTAAGATAGATTTTGATTGTTCTGCTCCTGCAAATTTTATGATCATTTTTGCAATATAGAGACATAGAATCCAGAAAATTTTTAAGTGACTTTCAGCTTCTTTTAGAGTACATACTTATAAATTTTGATTTTTTTCCCCTTGTGGTTCTCTTCAGTATATTATTTGTACTTTATATGCAAGCTGATACATTTGTTTTTTTTAAATTTGCCTCTTGTGCCACCTTTGTTTAAAGGACATTTTTTTCCTGTTAGATATGTGAGTTTGCCTGTGAGCTCTTTTTCTAGTACAGATTTTTTTTTCCATTTTTTTAGATTTGTGTGTGTGTGTATGTGTGTGTGTGTGTGTTGAGACAGAGTCTGGCTCTGTAACCCAGGCAGGAGGGAAGTGTCATGATCTCAGCTCACCTCAACTTTAGCCTCCCAGCTTCAAGCGATTCCGCTGCCTCAGCCTTCCCAAGGAGGTGTGATTACAGGCGCATGCCACCATGTCCAGCTGATTTTTGTATTTTTAGTTGACATGAGGTTTCACCATATTTGCCATGCTGGTCTCAAACTCCTGACCTCAAGCGATCTGCCCGCCTTGG
This sequence comes from Homo sapiens, assembly GCF_000001405.40. Classification (NCBI taxonomy): domain Eukaryota; kingdom Metazoa; phylum Chordata; class Mammalia; order Primates; family Hominidae; genus Homo; species Homo sapiens. Next base: position 21,942,958 of record NC_000024.10, read on the forward strand.
CCTCTTAAAATGCTGGGCTTACAGGTGCAAGCCATGATGCCCGGCCTCATTTGTTTGTTTATGTATTTTAACCCTTGTTGTATTGTCTTCGTGAACACGTATTTTAGAGTTATTGAAATAATATGCTTTATTTATTTACTCAATACTTAAGTAGGATTTTAAAAGTAATGTTTTCATTCACTAAATACAGTATTGTGAATAGGTTAAACCTTGTATAGTATTGTCATTTTCTTTTTCATAAATTCTTCAAGAACTCTGATACTGTTTTTCCCCCACCTGAGGAGAATATGCAGATAGTTACAAAACATTGTGTGAGTTAGTTGGGATAAAAATATAATTTGAAAGACTAATATTCACAAATACAATTCCACATTTGTATTTCGCATCATTTTGAAAATTTTTTTTGCTGATAAATAAAATCCTGCATTCACGTTCATGTTAAATATGAACTTTTGAATCATTTTCAAGAATGAAAACAATCCAAGGCCATGCATTAGTTCAGGAAGTAGTAGAAAGCAGTTATTACGAAGAAAAGCCATATTTATTGAAGGTATATTTAGATAGATTTTGGAAGGCTAAGTCAAAATTTTCCTTGTTGATGCTCTGGCGTTTTATCATACTGTGACCAGACTGTGGCATCAGTAGTTATAGTCACTAGGCTACCAAAGTCCCTGGGCTGCCGTAATTATTATTGAGGAAAGTGGCAGTGTGGTTGGTTGTTTAAGGAGACTAGAGGAGTTCGGAGTTTCTACCCAAGGCACAAGGGCCTGGTTTATTGAGTGACCTTCTTTTGCTGAAGTAGATAATATCCAGGAAAAATGTGGACTCACTGTAGTAGCTAGGGCTTTGAGACTGGTGAAGCCTATTTGTCTCCAACTGCCATTGTCAGATACTGGTCTGCACATAAATGCTTTTCGTAGGCTCACTGACTCCTGTAAATTCCAACATAGAATTTGGATTTAAATCCCTATTCCAAATTATTAATCATAGATTTAATAAGTAGATATTAAAACATGTATTCAGAAGAAAAGGAGACATCAGATAAGTGCATAATAAATCATCCTGATGAAATACCTTCAAAAATATTACTACAAAAAATCACTGAAGATTAAATGTTAAAAAGTTATTTTAATTGGGGAAATAGAAAAAGGTGAGACTCGTTTTAAACTCTGAGGTGTAAAGATACTATTATTAGAATAAGAGAATAATATAGAATGTCTGATTTGTGTGTACAGCAGCATAATAGCTATACAGTATGGCTAGAGATTGAAATCGTATGTAAGAAAACTCAGAGATTAAAAACAGATTTTTTTTAGAGACTTTGTTCTGTAATTAAAGAATTTTAAAATGGTTTCCTACTGATCAATAATTCACTTATATTTATCATTTAGGCATATGCAGTATACACCCCTTTGTATAGGAACAAAGTTATAGTTTCTATCATGTAGTAAGAAAAAAATTGATGATGTACCACAATTTCATCAGAGTTTTTGTCCTGAGTAATGAAGCAAACAATGGAACTGCCTATGTCAGGGTACAGGTGGGCACAGCTGGAAGCTTTCATCACTTGTGCCTAACATTTCTGGATTGTCATTGGTCCCTCCTAGAAAGACAAATGGACTATATCCTTAAGAATATATGTTAAATTTAAACCCTAAGTATTAAGATAAGACTACGATTTGTCTCATCACTTCTGTCTCGTCATTACTTTAAACTTGTATCTATAACTTTTACACAGAAATTCAGTTCATTTCATCACCATTAACATTTTACATCACACAATTTTTCTATTTCATTATCTTTTTGGTCACTTTTCTTTTCTTTTTTAAGGTAGAGTTTCACTCTGTCACCCAGGCTGGAGTACAGCGGCCTGATCTCAGCTCACTGCAACCTCTGCCTCCAGGATTCAAGCAGTTCTCCTGCATCAGTCTCTTGAGTAGCTGGGATTACAGGCACACACCACAACTCCTGGCTAATTTTGTATTTTTAATAGAGATGGTGTTTCCCCATGATGGTCAGATTGGTCTTGAACACCTGACCTCAGGTGATCCACCACCTCAGCCTCTCAAAGTGCTGGGATTACATGCGTGAGCCACCATGTCTGGCCTTTTTTTGTTTGTTTGTTTGTTTGAGACAAGTTCTTCTTTGGTCACCCAGGCTGGAGTGCATTGGCACAATCTTCACTTACTGCAGCCTCGACCTCCGGGCTCAAGCCATCGTCCTGCCTCAGCCTCCCACATAGCTGGGACTACCTGTGTGCAACATCAACCAGGCTTTGTTTTTGTTTACGTGTTTAGTGATGAAGTCCTGCTATATTGCTGAAGCTGGTATCAAATTCCTGGACTCAAAGTGTCCTCTTAGTTTAAGCTCCCACATTGCTGGAATTACCGGGGTGAGTCAATGAAGACAGACTTGTCACTTTTTAATAACATTTTAAATTCTACTCTGCAAAATTAACAAGTCAATTTTTACCTTTGAAATTCAAAATTCCAAGTCAAGTTAAGCTACATTTTCATAAAGAAGTAAAAATGAACAAAACAATACAAAACCCTTCTTTTTCCTTTGTACCGAAGTGAGAAAAGAGTTGGGAAGGAAGTCATCTCTACCTTGCTTTACAAATCTGGACTGTACAGAGAAAGTTCCTCATATAATTTTTGTTAGATCTAAAATCCTGTGAAGTCATCATCAGAACCATCATCTTATAAAACAAAAACAAATCTCCTAGTGGGTCTCTGATGTGGATTAAATATCTTATAATTAATAATGTATACAAATGTGATTACACTTATGCCTTGAATCATAATATTAAAAATATGAACCTCATTTTTTTAGAACAACTACGCTAATAAGAAAAATAACCACTGACCTGGTGTAACAATATGTGGCCTAGAGAGCCAGCATTCTGAACTATTCAGGTTCCTCAGATAGCCCAAGAGTGATAAGAGCCAAATGGGAGTCTGGACATCGTGGAGGAGTAGCAATTCCAGAATATTTCTTGCTGCCTCAGTCACCAACCAGAATCTGTCATGCAGTAGAATGGTAGACACCTTCACAACTCTCAGTGGTGCCTCAGGGTGCCTCAGGCCCAGTATCACAGCAGTGTCTTCAGGATCCCTGAGTGCATAGGCAAAGATTTATTACAGTACAATCATTAGAAAACCTGAACCTTAAACCTACATCAGGCTTTCCGGAATATCGCTTTTGTCATGATACACAAGGTTCCTAGCTCATCTTCATTGAAATCAGAAATCTATGAATAAAGAGTCCACAGACAATGGGGTTGCAGAGGAGATAACTAACAGAGGTACTAATAAGCCAAACACAGTGAGGCAATTTCTTTTTAGCCTAAAACAAAAAAGTTATTGTATAAGTGAGATGGTCATGCATTATAGAAGTGAATTTGGACAGATAAACTTCCAGCAATGTAATTATGGGATAATGAATTATAGGACATGGGAAGAGGCAGGCACAAACTTACATGTTCCTGACACAGTGGGCAGCTGTGAGAATCCAAGAGCTGCCAACTATGGAACCACTGCAGATCTGACTCCCACAGATGATGATGACAGCCTTCCAAGGCATGGCATATCGCAGATAAATCTGATCTGCCAAAGCCAAGGGGAAAATTCACACAATTAATTTGAATAGAATTGCCACATGTAGACCATTTAAAAAAAAATTTAGATCCCTCCTATTTCTGCTAACCAGGTCAGCATTGTTAAATATGACTAGCAAACACAAACTTCTACCTCTTTTCTGTTTTTCCTTTGTTTTTGTTTTTACATTTTTCTGAAAAAAAAAAAAAAGTTTTCCTTTTACTATTTTTCTAAGTTCACAGTTTCTTTATGTCCTAACTTAAATTTCTTCAGTCAAAGTACTGGGAGTCATTCCAGCTTTCTCCCCATTGCAACCTTTACATAGCTATGATTTTAGCTACTTAAAAGTTATCAAAGTAGATGGGCAACAAAAAATTATTTGATTTGGAGATATTAGATAAACAAGGAAAAATTTGGAGATAAGGCTCCTGTCTCTAAATTGGAGGGAGCTTATCTTCCTGAACTTACAATCTTAGTGTGATATCAGAATGACAGTTTAAATAGAACATTCAAGTTTGGGGTTAAGGAAATAGCTCATATTTTAAAAAACATTTGAGAGTTTCTCAGAAAACTGAGTTGAAGCAATGCCAGTTAATGCACATATTACAGATATAAAAACGATGAAGATAGGCTCTCTCTAGAAGAGGTGAGGAAATATAGATGAAATTAGAAGCATAACTATGATCTTAAGTGTAGTTGTCTTTGAATCAGACTTTGCAGAATGTGAGCAAATAATTGTGGCCTCCTTTGTGTTTTAATGTGTTATTCACTGTAGCTATGACAATAGGTGTTAGCTATAATATAGCTGTGGTTAAGTGCACATTTAGTACATGACACCAAAAGAGATCCCTCAGTTTCTAAGGAAATAAGTGGAAGTACAGTAATGTGAAATAGCCATTGCTAATATTGTGATAGGTTTTCTGATAGCCAAGGGAAGGAGGAAACTGATAATCACAATGTAATACAGTCTAGTACACCAGCACCTAAAACACATTACTTACCAACTGCTATGCTGTTTCCAAACATCATAATGTCTTTAACTTAAAATATATTCAATTCAAAATAATTCTATTACACATGTAAGATACTGTGTGGTAGAAATGACTTTGTGTTAGGAGAGTGTGTCTTAATGTTAGTCCTATTCATCTTTTGCCATAAGAACTTGAACAATCCATTCTACTTATCTAGTATAAGAGTAAGCAATTAACATAACTATAGTAATCATGTTTCATGACCTATATTATACAGTAATCTATATCATACAGGGATACAATGGAAATTGAATCATAGATCAAGTGTGAAATACCTTTGTAAACCACAATAAAAATAATTTCTGTGATTTGGTAGATAAAAAACTCATATATTTTACAGGAAGAGCTTTCTTTCCTCTCTGCTTCCCTCTCTTCTTTTCTAATTCCATTCTCTTCTTCCTTTATTACCTCTACCAAGTTTTTGAGCCTTACTCTGAGGCTGTGGCAGAGAGAAGTGTGGCCAAAGAGAAGCAGGGGTGGAGGTAAAAGCTGAAGCATTTGTAGAGGTAGAGACTGAATGGGACATAGAAGCAGAGGTAGTCATGGGCCCTTGCTTGTACCAGGGAGCATAGCTAGACTGTGTCACTCCCTGGAGTCAGAAAAGGAAAGGGTGCACTTGGCTGAAGACCTAGGGCTTTGTGCAATGGTCCTCAAAGTGACTCAAGATTCCCACTTGCACCCAAGTGTCCTCTTGCTGTAGATGGCATACGAAAGGTGCTCCCAAGTCACCTTGCAAGAAACAAGAGGCAAGATATCAAACAATATTTTAAAGGAGGGCCAGAAGTAACTTTTGGTTTTCAAGATATTCCTCTTTCTCCCTGATATTTATACCCCATGAATTTGTCACCTGATAGTCAGCCATCCACATGGCTTTCTTGGCCTCCACCCAGAAAGTGAGTTCATTCAGCTTGAGCCAAAATTGGGCACAAGTGCTGACTTGTAGGATGCTCAGGTGCCGTTTTTGCACAATTCCAGGACTTTCTGATAGAAAACAGAGAAGAGGTGTTTGTGTTTGTCTTCAAATTTTAGCCCACATTAGAGGGAGAAGTATGGTGAAGGGAAAGACAAATCTTTTATTATTCATGAGAGGATACTATTCTCTTCCTAAACATGCTTCTCTTTCATTCCAGTGTCTTCTTCTTTAGTCACCCCCTCATAAGGGACCAACTACGTAGCCAACAGTCATATAGTTGTATATTTTCTCTTGTTCCAGACATTGCTCCAGGCGTATAGGAAGGAACCTGGGTTGAAAATGTAGTGGTTGCTTCAGGAAGATCAACCCAGGTCCTAGAGGTCCCTTGGGACCTAAATAGGGCATGGCATGCTCAAAGGTTACAATCTCAGCTTGGGCAGGATCCTGGAGGTCAATAAGCCCCACTCGGACCACAGCCAGGGCTTCTGCATTTTTTTGGGGGAAAAAAAAATCAAGGAAAAAATCTTATTATTTCCACATTTCAGTGTGAAAAAACCCTGGAGTTCACGTGAATCACATGAAGTCCAGGTAAGCACTCAGTTGCAAATAGTACTTTAGAAACTATTTTCAAGGATCATTTGAGACCAATTGGTCAACATGATGAGAATTTTTCCTTACCAACAGCAAGAACAACAACAACAAAATTATCCAGATGCAGTAGCGTGTGCCTGCGGTCCCAGGTACTCAGATGGCTGAGGTGGGAGCATCCCTTAATATTGGGAGTTTGAGGCTAATGTGAGTCACACCACTGCATTTTAGCCTGGACAATAGAGGGAGAGTCTCTCTCTCTCTCACTCTCTCTCTCTCTCTCTCTCTCTCTGTCTCTGTCTCTATCTCTCTCTCTTTCCCTATCTCTGTCTCACACACACAAACAAAAATAAATAAATAAATAGAAAAGAAACATATTCAGTAACAGTCTCAATGTTTTACTTGCTTTATAATGATATCATAATCTTGAAATGAATTGCTCAGACTTACATAAAATTGACACATCTAGCTGTGCTAATGATCCACTGTTCATGTAGTATGGAGCCAGCACAAAAATGGGAGAAAAACATTTGTGCAGAAATCACCCAACAGAATTCACCAATTTCTGCCTCCCAGCAGTTGGGACAGACAGGGATAATGCCAGGGCATAATCCACACTCTGCAGAGGAACCCACACATGGTATAGAGTGATTAGTGTTACTACCCTTCCTTTTCTAAAATCTAAATTTAGACTTTTAGAAAAATGCTTGGAAATTCATTATCTTCAATTCTGAGAAAATACATAGAAATATACATATATCTAAAATATACAATTTTAGATATAGTACAGAGGTTATCTTCATACTTCCCCTTCTAACAATAAAGCGTATATATATATACACACACACTATTACATATATACTATATATATACACATATATACTATATAGATGCTATATATAAATATATGTATATATAGTTTATATATGTAGTATATTATTATTTATATCTGATACTAGTATCCAAGATGTTATACTATTATCCAATAGTGTGTGTATATATGTATATACCTCAAGTGAAAATAATAAAACCTTTCTAAGGAGTAAGGCTATCTTTAAAATACTGCTGTCTGAATAGAATTGTGTTCATAACACATAGCTCAAACATCCTGTTTGGCAAAAAAAAAAAAAAAATATTCTCTCAATATTTACACATCTCTGCTGATTCACACAATAACCTAAATTTTGGTTTTGCAACGGTCTGAGAACATAACCTCTGTTGCTACAAACTCTGGTTTTAGGGTTCAACAGGAGTCTTCATACCAAGTACATTAACTCAAATATCTGACTCGACTAAAGCTGCCTGTGGTTTCATGGGAAATAAAAGCTGTCCTGAAGAGCCAGAAAGCCTGGAAACTTTCTTTCCAAATCACAGCTAGTTGACACTCACCCAGGGAAACACTGAGTTCTGAATACCTAAGAGGTTGTTGTTCAGGCTTGGGTCCAGACTGAGATCCAGGCATCAGGAGAGGTTGTTTTGTTAAAAATGCGGCTGGAGCAGTATGCAAGGATGAAAAAGAATGAGAAAGAATTGACTCTTTAGTAAATGCTGAGGGAAATATATTCTGAGGAGGATTAGCAAAAGAGCCTATGGATAGCAGAATAGGAGAGGAGACCAGAGGAGAAATACCTGAGCAAGATGGGAAAATACAGAATGAAAGGAAAGTACAAGAAGAAAAGACTGAACAAGAAGGGGTCAGTGTACATACAGATGGAAGAGAACAAGAATGAATAAAGAAAAAGCATAAAGAGAGATAAGAGAGGTACTTGGGACATGAGGGCTTTCTTTTGTCTTGATAATTTTTAATTTCCTGCCATAGAGCTGGTAAACAACTCTTCCAGGAAGCCAAATGCTTGTAAACTGGCTTGGTTGGATAGAATTGATTTTATATTGGCTTTGTGTGGCAGTTATCTCAGTTGACAAAGCTATAAAATACCGATCTGGGGAATAAACAGTTTTTACTGGCAAAAAGGGTACACGTTTGGACAAGCAGCCAAAATGACTCGTTAATAGTGTTTCTCTGTTCGGCTCAATTTCAGGAGGAGAAAATGATCAATTATAACAGCTTTATAGGGTTCTGGGTCTTAGTATTTCTGTTTCAGGCTGGATCCAGGTTCTCACTTTGCCGGCTTTAAAAACACCGAAGGATTCAATAAGATGAACTTCAGACTGGATCCAGTGTCTGCTCGGGTTACAGGCAGTATCCAAGATATGAGTGTTCTTCCTTTAAGCAAGATCCATGGTTTGACTACTGGAGATAGAACCTTGGGCCAGAATCTTAATAGGAAGGTTTCAGACTGGATAAAAGAGTGAATTACATCAAGTTCAGGCTGGATCCAGGCGCCGACTATTTGATATTTCAAATAAACCCATGGTCTGCCTTTATTCATTTGAATGTAAAACGAAGATCTGTCTCTATCTTCAGTTTCCTGCTTGATCCAGAGTCTCTCTGCTTGGGTTTCAGGGTGGGTCCACGAACGATTTGTAGTAACTCTTTGCTGAGTCCAGGGCTGAAATATACAAACTGTCTCACGTGTCCGTGTGAAGAGACCCCCAAACAGGCTTTGTGTGAGCAACATGGCTGTTTATTTCAGCTGGTGGCAGGCAGGCTGAGTCCAAAAAGAGAGTCAGCAAAGGGTGGTGGGATTATCATTGGTTCTTATATGTTTTGGGATAGGCAGTGGAATTAAGAGCAATGTTTTGGGGACAGGGGGTGGATCTCACAAAGTACATTCTCAAGGGTGGGGAGAATAACAAAGAACCTTCTTAAGGGTGAGGGAGATTATAAAGAACCTTCTTAAGGGTGGGGGAGATTACAAATTACATTGATCAGTTAGAGTAGGGCAGAAACAACTCACAATGGTGGAATGTCATCAGTTAAGGCTATTTTCACTTCTTTTGTAGATCTTCAGTTGCTACAGGCCATCTGGATGTACACGTGCAGGTCACAAGGGATATGATGGCTTAGCTTGGGCTCAGAGGCCTGACACCAGCTTCAGTGTGGGGCCAAGGAGAGAGTGGCTGACTTTCAGGATGAACCTAGGGTCTAATTGTATCACACTGAGTCTGTAAGCAAGATGTGACTGTATCAATTTCAATGAAGTTTTGGGGTTTTATTACTTGGCTTACAGTCCAAATTTGGAATACTTCAGTTTCAGGTTGGTCCCAGGATTTAATGAACTCATTTGAGTCTGGAACCAGTATCTTATCACTGTATTGGCTTCAGGGTGGGTGCAGGGTTGAATTTCAGAGTAAGTCCATGGTCTGATTGCAGCAGGTACATGCTGAGTCCAAGGGTAATTTATACTAAGTTGATTCTGGGTCCAGGAGTGGGTCATTTGTGATTCCACTTGGGTCCATGGCCAAACTGCATCGTTTTGTGTTGGGGACCAAAGTGCGAACATATCCTCTTCAGGCCACATCCTAATTGCTTGAGATTCAGGCTCAGTATATTGTTTTATTTTATCAGTTTCAGAATGGGCCCAGAGTCTGACTGTATTGCTTTCAGCATAGATCCAAGGTTGCAGAACATCACCTTCAGACTGGGTCCAGGGTCTGACTGCATTCTTTTCAGATTGGTTCCATGGGTGGATTATTTGCCATTCTGGCTGCATCCAGGTAGTACCTGCTCGAGAATGAGGTTGAGTAACATTTATTCTTACATTGTTTTGAGTCTGAAACCAAGAACTCACAGTATTAATGTCAGGCATGGTCAAGCATTTTGCAGCTTGCATTTCAGCCTGATACAACAGTGTATCAGACAAGGACAGGGTCCAGGGTCTGACTGCTTGAAATTCACATGAGTCAAAAGTCTGATTGTATTAGTTTTAGGTTGAGTCCAGGGGTGGATTGTGCCTGCTTCAGTCCAGTTCCATAGTTTTACTGTATCTTCTTCAGAAATGGTCTGGGATCTCATTGTACCTACTTCAGATTGGGTGCACGGGTAGAAGACATCAGTTTCGGATTAGATCCTTGTTTTCAATGTAGTAGTATTATGTTTGGCCCAGGATTCTAGTTTACCAGGTCCAAATGGAGTAAATGTGCTCAGTGTTTGAAATTCTGGTTGAGCCCAAGGTTTCATTTTCTTCTGATCCAGTTTTAAACAAAGGTGTGCTAAGCAGAGCTTCAGGCTGGGGCCATGGTTCTGCTGCTTGTGGTACAAGCACTGTCCAAGATATAAGTGTTCCAAATTCAGACAACGTCCATTCATTGATATTTTCAATTTCATGATGTGTCCATAAAATAGATGCTTGATTTTCTTCATGAATCACAGGTCATGAGTATCAGGTTGAGGTGGTAATGAAACTCTAAATATTTTAGCTTCAGGCATTGTTCAGAGTTTCTTAGCTTCATTGTTTTTTTTTTTTTTTTTTTTTTGAGATTGAGTCTCGCTCTGTCACCCAGGCTGGAGTGCAGTGGCACAATCTCGGTTCACTGCAAGCTCCGCCTTCTGGGTTCAGGCCATACTCCTGCCTCAGCCTCCCGAGTAGCTGGGACTACAGGTGCCTGCCACCACGCCCAGCTAATTTTTTGTATTTTTAGTAGAGATGGGGTTTCACTGGGTTAGCCAGGATGGTCTCGATCTCCTGACCTCGTGATCCGCCCGCCTCTGCCTCCCAAAGTGCTGGGATTACAGGTGTGAGCCACTGCGCCCAGCCTCTTAGCTTCAGTTTTACCCATTGTCCAGTATGTGCCCATTTCGCTCTGTGTATAAGCATTTGCATCTGGAAAATCATCATGAGTCCACTTTGAGAGTGTGGAAGCTGCAGCCTCTGTCCATGTGTTCATTACTGGAGACTCAGACTGGGTCTGCGGGGTGATTGATTCTGACACAGGTAGATGTCCAGGTTTTTCCTGCTGAAGGGATAACTGGTTGCATGGTAACACGGTGGAAACTACAGCCCATGCCCCTGAATTTTCTGTTGAGATTCATCATTGTTTCATGATATAAGAAGATATAAGAAGATCAGATCAGTCTGTATCCAGGTAATTCCTACTGGAGGCCTGCAGCATGCAGCCACAGTATAATTGTGTCAGATACTGCCTGTGTGGAGGTAATCGCTGCAGAAGATTCAACCTGGGTCCACAGCATAAGTATATCAGATACAGGATGTGTCCAGGGTTTTGTTTCTAAAAGTAAAGCTTTGGTCCAAGGTATGACTATGGAAGCTATTGCCTCTATTCACAGATTGACTGCTAGAGATACAGGCTTGGTCCACAATGATAATATATTAGATATAGGCAGTCTCCAGGAATTCACTGGTGAAGATTCAGATTGGATCAATCCTATGTATGTATCAGATGCAGGCTGTATCCATGTAATTAATGCTGCAGATTCAGATTGGTTGTATTAAATACATAAGTTGGTTGTATTAAATGAAGGCTGTGGCCAGATCTTTACTGTTGAAGATACAGCCTGTGCCAAAATTGTTACCGTATGAGCAAAAGGCTCTGTCTAAGGATTTACTGCTGGAAATTCAGCCTGGGTCCAGGGTATAATTTTGGAAGCTACAGCCTCTGTCCAGGTATTTACTGGTAAGCATTCAGTTTGAGCCCATGCTTTCAGTGTATCATGAAAAGTTTGTGAAAAAACGATTAATGATGGAGTTACAGGCTGTGTACACAGTGTGAGTGTATCAGCAACAGGCTTTGTCCAGGGATTTACTGCCAAAGATTCAGTCTGGGTCCATGGTATGACTGTATCAGTCTCCACCTATAACAGAGGACTTGGGGCTAGAGATTCAGACTCTGTTCAGATCTTTACAATTGGAGGCTAAGATTGTATCATGGGATTTCTAGCTGGAAATTCAGCCTGGTTCCAAGTGATAACGGGTGTATATTTTGCTTGGGTCCATAGTTTGACTGTGCCAGGCAGAGGTTACAACCAGAAACTGATTGCTGGTGATTTTGTCTGTGTCCATATTATGACTGTATCAGCTAGAGCCTCTCTCCTGGGAATTATTACTAGAGATACAGCCATGTACTGCAGTGTGACTATACCAGGTACAGCCACTGTTAAGGGATTTATTGCTGGCAACAGATCCTGGGCCCATGATGTGACTATTTCAGTTTTAGACTGTCTCCATGGGTTTACTGCTACACAAACATCCTTAGCCAATGGTTTCACTCTATCAAGTAGAGTATATGTACAGAGATTGTTGATTTTAGAATGAGCCTGGGTCCACAGTATGAGTATTTCTGTTTCAAGCTTTGTGGAGGGATTTACTCCTACAGATTCAGCTTGGTTCAGTGGTATAACTGTAGCAGGTATAGGATGTGTCCCCTCCTTTACTTTTGGAGATTCAACCTCAGTACACCATGTGAACATATTCGTTTCATATTGTTTCCAGAGATTTATGGCAGGTGATTTGACTTGGTTCCACAGCTTGATTGTATAAGCTATTGCCTGTGTCAAATGCTTTAGTGCTGAAGACTCAGCCTGGGTCCATGGTATGAGCGTATCAGATACAGATTGGATCCAAGGCTTTACTGTTAAAAATTCAAACTGAGTCCACGGTGTGTATCAGCTACATGTTCTGTCCAGCAAACTACTGCTGGAGATTCAGCCTGAGGCCATGGTGTGTCTGTGTCATACACAGACTGTGTCCAAAGATTTCCTGCTGGAGATTCAGACTGTGACCACAGTGTGACAGTAGCAGCCCAAGGCAGTATCCATCGATATCCTGCGGTTAATTCAGCCCCTATCCACAGTGTGATGGCATCAGCTATGGACGTTCTCCAGGTATTTACTGATGGACATTCAACCTGGGTCCAAGGTACGACTGTGGAAAGTATAGGCTGTGTCCGTGGAATTACTGCTGGAGATACAGCCTGGGCCCATGGTGTGACTGTGGAAGTTCCAGCCTCTGTGAACGGATTTACTGTTGGAGACTCAGCTTGTGTCCACAGGATAATGGTATCAGATTCAGGTAGTGTACAGAGATTTACTGCTGAAGAGTCATTTTGGGCTCATGGTTTGATCATATAAGATACGTACTGTGTCCATGGATTTATTGCTGGAGACTCATCCTGTATCCATGGTATAGTACTATCAACTACAGACTTTGTCCAGGGATTTACTGCTGGAAATTCAGGTTTGGTCCACAGCTGGTCTGCATCAGCTATTGCCCATGTCCATGAATTTAGTGCTGGAGAATCACTCAGGATCCTCTTTGTGATTGTATAAGTTTCAGACGGTGTCCAGGCATTTCCTTCTACATAAATTCAGCCTGGTTCCAGGGTAGGACAATGTCAGCTGTAGCCTCTCTCCAGGGATTCATTGCTGGCATTCTACCCAGAATCCATGGTTGAATCCAAGATACTGCTGGACTTTCAGCCTGGGTCCATGGTAGGAACATATCACGTGCCCAGGGACTTAATCCTAGAGTTTCAGCCAGAATCCATGTTGTGAGTATATCAGTTTCAGAGTATGTCCAGTGATTTAATAACTGATTCAGCCTGGATAGGTGTTGTGACCGTATCACATATAGAAGAATATATCCATGAATTCATCACTAGTGATTCAGCATGGGTCCCTAATGTGATTATATCAGTTCCCAACTGTTTCCAGGAAAGTATTGCTGGAGACTCAACGTGGGTTCACAGTGTTATTGTTTCAGTATGGAACTGTGTAGAGTAGTTTCCTACTGACAAATAAGCCAAGATCCACAATGAGACTGGGTTAAATTCAGATAGTGCCAGGTATTTACTGCTAAATATTCAGGCTGTATTTTTTCCAGGGATTTGTTGGTGGCATTTCATCGAGGATCCATGGTATGGCAGTTTCAGCTATAGTTTTTGCTCAGGGATTTATTGTTGGAATTCTATCCTGGATCTATGTTGTGACTGTCTTAGCGATAGGCTCTGTCAAGGGAAGTAAGGCTGGAAATTCTTCTTGGTTCCAAAGTGTGACTTTACCAGACACAGAATGTGTCCAGAGTTTCACTGCTGCAGATTTGGCAATAGTCCACAGTATGATTAGATAATCCTCTGGACAGGCTGGGGTGAAGTGACAAGATCATAAGTTACAGCAACATCAAACTCCCTGGTTCAAACAATTCTTTCACCTCAGCCTCCCAAGTAGCTAGGGCTGTAGGCACACTGCAAAACAAGCAGCTAATTTTTAAATTTTATTTATTTTTTCTAGAGACAGCATCTCACTCTATTTGCCAGCCTCCTCTGGAATTCCTGGCCTCAAGTGAGGCCCTGTCTCAGTTTCCCAAAATACTGAGATAACAGGCAAGAGCCACTGTGGCTTCAAAGGCTTTTTAAATAAGTTCCCTATTTCTTAATTTTTTTAAATCACTGAAAATTCTTCTGGTTTATTTATTTGTGATTAAGGAAAATGCATATCTTTATGTGTATTTACAGAACTGTTAACGTGTTTCTACACCTGCCCCCCCAACCCAAAAATGCTAGCTTTGCCTTTATGTAGTAAGTACTCAGCAGTCTACTTGTGGCTGATTCTAGATACATAAATTATTATTTCTAGTCATGTGACTATGTTGATGGTGGCAGATGGAGGGATCTAGAAGCTTAACTGACAACATCTCGATATTGCTGCCAAAGCTACTGTGATCTGAAGGAATAGAGATGAGAAGGATATGAGATATGCATTACTCCATCAGGCAATTGATAGCATGTTTTTCCTAAGAGATTTTATAGCATAGCTTTCAATCATTAAAAAATATCCCTGAGATAGTTCAAATTCTCCTTTCCTTCCATCCTATCTCATACAAACTTACTTCATAGACTCTTGGATTGTGGCAAATCACCTTACACCAAGTAACAGAATACAGAATAATTTCAATGCCTGATATTGTGACTTTACTTCCATTTTTACCCATATAAAGTTGAGTAATATGGACTCATTTGTTTATACATGTTTTATAAATTTCTGCTTTTATTTCTCCATTAATTTTCTTTTTTATTGTCCACCTCTAAATTATATTAATGATGTAGAGGACATGACTTTTGTGGCTTACTCTGATATTGGTATATAGCCAGCAGTGAGATTGCTGGATCATATGGTAGCTCAAATTTCAGATTTTTGGAAAAAATAAAAGATTTGGAAGCAACCTAAATGTCCATCAGCAGATAAAGCGATAAAGAAAATGGGGGAGGGATAGCATTGGGAGATATACCTAATGCTAGATGACGAGTTAGTGGGTGCAGCGCACCAGCATGGCACATGTATACATATGTAACTAATGTGCACAATGTGCACATGTACCCTAAAACTTAAAGTATAATAAAATAAAAACAAAAGAAAATGTGGTACACATACACAATGGAGTATTATTCAGCCGTACAAAAAGAATGAGATCCAGTGATTTCCAACAGCATGGTGGAACGGAGATCATTATGTTAAGTGAAATAAGCCAGGCACAGAAAGACAAACATTGCACGTTCTCACTTATTTGTGGGACAAGAAATAAAAATAATTGAACTCATGGACATAAAAAGTAGAAGGATGGTTACCAGAAGCTGGGAAGGGTAATGGGGGCCTGGTAGGGAGATGGGGATAGTTAATGGTTTTAAAAAAACATAGAAACAATGATTGTGACCTACAATTTGATAGCACACCAAGATGACTGTAATCAATAATAACTTAATTATACATTTTAAAATAATTACAGAGTGTAATTGTATTGTTTGTAGTTCAAGTGATGGGTGTTGAAGGAATGGATACCCCATTCTTCATGATTGGCTTATTCCAGATTGTATGCCTGCATCAAAACATCGCATGTACCCCATAAATATACACACTTACTATGTCCCCACAAAAAAAAATTAAAAAAAATAATATTATGAAGAGACTATACCAAGAGGGAAATAAGCCGTATCTTCCAAAGCATAATTTTTCTTTTACCAGGTTTGTTTTATTTATTTATTTTTTATTTCTCTATCTTTCTCTCTGCTACAAACACACACACACACACCCCTTCATACACACACCCCTTCATACACACACATACACAAGATGATAATCTGGCCAAATGTAAGTTTGGAGATATTGAATTACAGTTTACCATCCAGATTGTCAGGTCTGAAAGCTATTAGAAAATGAAGTATCAATCATCTAATATTTGGAAAAAATTTGTAAGCACATATCATGGAAGTTATTGATAATATGTTCTTTAAGTACTGTAGATTTTAATGCTGCTTTTAATGTTGGTTAAGTGGGAATTTTTATAATCTTGCTGTTTTATAAGAACAGTTAAATCAGAGATAAAATATAATGTATTGCTGCACTAATTTAGAAGGTGTCATGAATACCATACATATGTATGGATGGATATATAGACATAGACCCTTTTTTTTTTACAAACTTCACTGAATTATAGCATTTATTTTTGATGTTCTTTTACTCCAAGTGGTAAAATTACCTTTTTTAAAAAATCACTAATTATGGTAAGTAAATACACTGTAGCCCAAATGTAGGCCCAGCACATTGCTGGTGTCTAGGCAAATTATTCCCCAAACTTACTAATTAGTAGAAGTAGCTTTAGACTTTTACTAGGATAAATGCAACTTTGATTTTATGATGAGATTTATATTTAGTGTTGAGGACTTGTTTGATTAACGAGACTGGTGAGTCTATTAGGAAAAATAACCAAGACCCTCAGGGAGAACTACAAGCCTGAAGATCTAGATCAGCATAATTAGGGAATCCAAATGAGCCTCAAGCCCTAAGTGGGAATCCAAATGAGCCTCAAGCCCTAAGTTAGACGATATTGCTCCCAGACTTTTATCACTGCCTTCATATTCATCTCTGGACTAGTCATTTTCAATGCATGGAAAAAAAATGGGTGCATGTATTTTTAAATTATTGAGGACAGTATCCTACTTAAGCACAATACTGTATTCATGCATTTAAGTGTCATGTAAGGATTAATATTTTGATTTACTCTAAAACAATAAGTTACTGAACTCCTAGAGGCCCATCCTAAATAATATAAATAAGATACAGTCACTATCTGTTGTTCACCTAATAAGTACCTGACACTATGCTAGGAAATAGGAGGTGGGTGGTGGGACTTAATGAGTCTGTCAGTCCATTGTTTTTATATATTTTATATAAATATATATATATTTATATATGTGTGTGTGTATAATTGCTGTTTTAATTATTGAGCATCTGCTATGTGTCAAGCACTGTAATGGACACAACAGACTCAGTAGTATGCAAAACTAGCACACACTTTGACCCCATGGAGTTTGCAATGTAACTAGGAAAGTATATGTGAAACTGAATATTACAAAGAAGAATGCCAGAAGAGCAGGAAATATTTCAGGAAAAAAGAATTATTTCAGATGTTTATGAACTTCACCTACAGTTTCAATCTTGTAAATATAAACATGCTGTTCTTTATACAAAATCCCACTGTGGACTCACAAGCACAGATAGGGTACACGCAGGGATGGTTTTCCCAAAGCTGAGATAAATTGAGATTGAATATCAGCCACCCTCAGCTAATCTCTTAAATAGACACGCATACTTAAGGAATGCTTGGACTAAGTAAGCCTATGACACAGGGTGAAGGCAATGTAACCCCAAATTAAATCAGCAACTTGTTCCCCCTTGGTTCACTTTAATTGTGCTAATTATCAAAAACCTGAATATGTGGTCAAGCTGGGCACAGAAGGCGGTAGAGAACTTCCACGTATTATTATTTACTTTTCAAGTCTCTACACCTGAAAAGCAGAAAAGGCAGGTGCTATTAATACCATTTTATGGATGAAGACACCAAGACTTATAGCTAATAGCCCACCCAAGATCAAAAATACATAACAAGAGCTATTTCCAAACCTCAAAGCACGAATCTCTTGGGTATGAACTCTTGTCTCTTTGCTGAGTCAGATTACTTACTATTCATATACTTTGCATCATTACATAAAAGAAAATTGCTCAGTTACATGCACTTTAAGCCTTTTAGGTATATTCTATCAAAAACACAAGATCAATTCAAAAATAAAAATTGCTTTAAAATTTATAAATTTGAGCTATTTACTTGGTAGTATTCATGTATTCATGACTCAGCAGGTAGCAATATAATGCATGCTTGTCAGATATTATTCACTATAAAATAATAAAATAGTGCATCCCTGGGTAAAATTAAGAGCAAGACTCCATCTCAAGAAAAAAAAAAAATTCTACTCCCAGGTCTACAGAAAAAACGCCAGTTTAAATTAAATTCTGCTTGCTCCCATAGAATAAAATAGCCCTGTGTATTTAAATTACAAAAACAGTAGCCTTTCTGTTATATAAATTTATGTCCCGAATGAGTGTAGTAGATAGTGCATATACCACCACTGATATTTGTAGCTGGGCAATTAGAAACATGTAACTTGCAAACATCTATAATATTTATATTTATAATATCAAATATCTATAATACAGAAAGCCAAACAAGAAGTACAGGTTGACCAAAAAAAAAAAAAAAAAAGAATAAACAGGCCATATGCACAACTGCAGCTCAGTAAAGCATGCTGCTGTCATTTTGTGGTAGATTATAGTTTTACTGTAACTAAGAACCAAACAACTCTAGAAGTAGGTGTGCATTCATGTATGAGTGCACACACACATATTTTTGTTTTCTCATTTTTACTGATAATAACAGTAATAATTATTGCAGAAAATTCAGAAATGGAGTTTTTAAAACTCTAAAAATTGTACAACCATTCAGAAGTAAATGCTACTACCTTTTCCCCACATTTTCTTGCAGATCACCAATTATACATCAGATTTTTATGTATTTATTATGATTATTTCCTCACTGCCATCTATTCTTTATAATGTACTTGAATCACTCTACTATAATTCATTTAAGTATTCCCTTTTTAAAGGAGGTTATGAATTTGCCAGCTCTTTTTCTTTTAAATGTTTGCAAATTCGATAGTTTGAAATAATAACTCAATGATTTATTTGCATTGTATTTATTTGATTACTAGTGACAGTGAACAAGCGTCTCAATGTTAATTGACTATTTTTATCCCTTTATTAGTTCGTTATTTGAGCATGTTCTTTATTTTATTGAGAACAGTATCTTCTTTCTCTAAAAACAATAACAATCAAAAGTACATTACTGAGGAAACATATTCATATTTGGCAAATAAAATAATGTGATGGTCTCATAACAACCCTTTCAATGTGATAACATAGAAATAGTTTTTTTTTTTTCTAAGTTGTCTTAAGTAACAAATGTTGTCTTTCCAAACCTAGCTTCAGGGGTAAAATAATAATAAAAATGCATTTGAATCCAAAATATGCAAGAATCATTGTGTCCAGCTCCTGTAGGTAGACAATATAAGCTACTGAAATCTGTCTGATGCATAAAACGGGTCCTTTTTCCTCCTTAATGATTCAGTCTGCTGGATTTCCATATTCATATTAACAGTTAAATATTTCTAAGTCATCCAGACAGGACTTATGAACCAGAATGTGATCTTTGTACCAGCGATTCATTTAATACAATTATTTATGGCACTACAGAATTGATATTTTGAAAAAGTATGAAAAAATATCTTAGCATATATAAAAAATCTTTAAATGATATGAAATACTCCATTTTACCATTATTACTTCTAATAATAACACCAAAATTTGCATTTATCTTATTTGATCCTCACAGCAATCCACAGACCTAGAAAGAAGAGGCGTTTTCATCCTATTTTTATAAAGAAAGAAAGCAAGGTGCAAAAGACATTGAGTAAAAACCCAAGGTGATATGCTTAATTTGTAGCAAGGAAGAGGCTGAAAATTTACCCTTCGGTTTCTAAATCCTTTACTCCCTTTTCCTTAACACTACTGACCCTCCTTCCGCATAATTATAGCATCATTGTCAGAGTTCTAGTTTTCTGTTAATACCCTATTTGGTCTACAGGTGATGTTCAACTGCACCTCTCTGTTTACCACCAAACTATGAAAGCGGAAGACAGGAGCTTTCCAGTGAAAACTTCTTAAGGAAACTTAGAGGGTGAACTGTCCTTTCAAATAATGTCTGCTAAGGATAAGTCTCTGGGTTAGCCTGATCTATTTTGTACTCTCATTCACCTGTAGCGTTATTCATACAATTCTCTGAGCCTGGAAGCCTGGAATGAATGCTTTTGTTCATTCTTTCTCTCTCCTTTCTTGCTTTTCTCTCTCCCTCTCTCTCTCTCCCTCCCTCCTTCCCTCTCCCCTCATCTCTCTCATCTGTCTCCACCCACCCCATTCTCCAAGGCCCACCTCGTATGCCATCAATCTTTCTCATTATCTTCCACAAATTGAATGTGATAATTCTTGCCTCTGAACCAATGCTACTAAGTAAACTTATCTTTTAATTCAAACCTATACAAGTTGTCTTACTCCCTTATCTGACAATAAAATGCTTTATGGTTTTGCCTCACATATGAAAGTGTTCAATATCATTAAGAAAAATAATGTACAGATACACATCTGAGGAGGTATTGGCATATACAATTGATATAGGCATAGAAGTCTCGAAAATGGGTTTATATCACAGAACAAGAACTACCCATTTGTATTAAAGTACAACCTACTTGCCTAATTGTAGCATGTAGCTGAGAACAACCTCCAACGATGTGAATAGTTTGCACTGGGGCCCTTCAGAAATTGATTACCCTTCCAAAATGCATCCAGCTTTGACTTTAATGACAAGTTCAATTATTTTTTCTCTAAATTCATTGATGGCAATGTGTGTTATTGCCACCTTCTAATTGTAGCTTTCTGCCTCTTTGAATATGTCCCATGGCATAAGTTATGTGCATTTCAGCAATAGAAGCAAAAAACACTTGTGCCCAAATGACATTTGGGACTGACTTCACAATCTGCTCCAGGATTTACTCTAGGTGTTGTTTCCCTAATGTAGATCTTCCAAACTGAACCGCTTCAATCTTTTTTAGTACATAGTGCTGGAGTTGTAAATAACTGCTCAAAAGTCAACTGTGGTATGATCGAGACCCTAAGCAAGAAATTATGTGTAAAGAAAAGATTTCTTCTCTTTCCTAGGCCTGTTAATTCATCAGCAAAAGTAAGCAATTATAAAATAGGAGGGTTTTCCAAGTCTTACTGTGCAGAATCACCTGGGAAGTTTTTATTTGTATAAAAAGCACAGTTTTTTATCCTCATCCCAGTCCTATAGAATGAAAATTTCCAGGGATCGTTCTAATATATCTAGTCCATTGATCCCTGTTGAGATACAATAGGTTATACGGTCTCTAAGGTCTCAGGCATCACTAGACTTTTATAATCCATGAATATTTATGAAATCCAAATGATAATAAGAAAATGCTTTTTCATCCATCTAGACGCATCAGGCAAGGCAAAGAATGCTCAACTGAGTATCAGGAGACTTGGAATAAATCGTGGCTTTTTCATGACTTTGTAATCTCAGAAAAGTCCTTTCCTCTTAGGGCTTCAGTTTTCTCATGTATAAAATAAAATAATTGGATCAAAGCATAATCTAATCTGTGATGCCTTGTGAGTTGTGCCTGCAGAAGTTCAAATAAGATAGATGAGGATAAGGCTAACACAAAGACTTGTGCCACCAGGGGAAAGGCTGTTGACTATCTCACACGGGTATATTCATTATCATGATGCCAAGGCCTCAGATCTCTGCAGCCTTTTTGACTCAGTTATCTAAGTTATCAGCACTCAGAGAGTGGGTAGATTCACATTGTGCTGGCTCACAAGACTGATCAGAAATACAAATAATTAGTTTGCAGTGAAAAACAGGACTATGATAATAACTGTAGGCACTGTAGATGAGGCATCTTTTTTTCTATGGACTTTATGTAAAAGATACAGCATGGAAAGCTACCTGTAATGAAAAGGCCAGGAACTTATTTATAATGAAAAAAAAACATAACTGAAAGAGAAATAGGCAATATATTACTTTGGTGAGAGCAGTCTCTTTTTGAAAGTAAGATCTACCTAGAAAGACCCATAACCGACAGTATTCTTTTGGTGAGCCTAGAGCCATAGCAAAGGGAGTTAGGGGAATTAGCAAAAAAATTTGAATACATCTCTTACTGTTTTGATTTCAACTCCCTTTACCCTTTCCCAAATTCACTCAGAAACTTCCACGAACCTAGACTTGCAGGAAGTATTCAATAAGGATCTGCCTTTCAGAAGCTGAAAAAGACAAATAGGGCAGCAATGAGGTAGGGTAAAGTAGTAATGAGAAATAAGTTTAAGGACAAATCGTGGAGAACTCCAAATTCCATAACAATGAGTATAAACAGAATTCATAGGTATGAAGAGTGATAGAACCTCAAATTTCAGTTAAGTGACATGTCTGACATAGAATTGAATTGGAGTTAATTGGTGATATCTTGAAAAGTTAGAATGAATATTGAACACTATCCAATATGTGGCTAGTGATTAGAGGATTCAAGTGTATTCATGTGATATTCCAACAAAGTCTTGTAGCAACATATAGTATTTTAAAAGGGAGAGATGTTGGGAGTGAGTATAATTCAAAGAGGCATCTCAATTTCAAGTTAAGCAAAATATTAACATACATGTTAACTTAGTGAACTCCCACTGGACAGAAAAAGACATAATTTGAGCAATAATAACTTCAATCGTCAAAAACACATCACAAGTATAAAAGTAAATAAATTCAGAATGATAAAAACTTATTAGATATCATTGGAAGTTGCTAAGACATCAACCCATTTTTCTGAAAACAGATGAAGGGGAAATTTTAAAGCATTCATCGTCACTTTCCAGATGAAGGGCATTTTAAGATAAGCTAATAATTATGGAGAGAAAGTTATTCTTTGTTGAATTGATAGATTCAAAAGGAATGATAGAAGAAGAAAATCTCCATTTTGCATCCCCTAAAAGCATAATGTACCTTGACAACAATAATCAATTAATTCTAAAAACCTTAGTTGAATTGTTGGTGAGAAATTTGATGATGGAAGGGTCAGGTTGACATCATCTGAACCCACAGTGACAGTTTCCATTACTGGAAGTAGGACAATCAGACATTATATGCCTCCAAGGCAGTGTAATGGAAAGTATACACCACCACTCACTAAATATTATTACCTAAAATTGGAACAAAATACAATTAAGGCTCTGGGGCTACACACAATTTTAAGGGAAATACCAGAAAAAGAGGAGTATATTAAATGAAGTCATAAGGAACCAATCTGTGATATTCAGAATGTGGGATGGTCTATAGGACAAACAGTCCGGTTTCTCTCTCAATCAATTGCATGATCTGAGGGATTTTTGAGTATAGATGATATTAGATGGTGTTAAAGAATTTAATTAATTTTCTTAGCATAATAGGTTAATGTTATTAAGTATGCCAGTGACATGGTGATATGTAAAATCTATTTAAAATATTATTGTCAGAGATGTGTATTTAAGTATTTTCTGGTAAAATAACATAATGCTGTAATATTTTATAAACCCCTCTCAAATAAAATTAAAAAGAGTAGTTGGGCGATAGAAGTCTCAATATTCCAAAGTAATGATGGTTGTTGACTGTACGTGATGGATACATCGCAACTAATTACTGTTCTCTTTACTTTCATATGGAATTCAAAAATTTGCATAATAAAATGCTTTTTAAAATTACTGAATATGAATTGATCTGACTAGAGCAGAATTGGTGGACAACACCTGTCCAAGAGGTACTGCAGAGTAGCAAATCAGGGATGCCCCTTCTAAAAGTTGTAATGCTATGCAGAACTTCCTCTAACATAGCACTTATCACTCTGTATAATACTTACCTACTTAAATGCCAGTTTCCATATATTGTGTGCTGCTTATTCTTTAGTTTTTGCTACAGATTGATTCTCTATCTGTTTCCATGTTGTACTATTTTCCATAAATCTGGCTTGCTTGGGCTTCTTTACCCTCTGGCTTCCAACTAGATTTGGCCAAAGGAAAATACTGGCTAGATATCTGCTATAGATTGATTCTCTATCTCGTTCCATATTGTAGTGTTTTCCATGAAGCTGGCCTGCTTGGGTTTCTTTACCCTCTGGATTCCAACTAGATTTGGCCAAAGGAAACTACTGGCAAGATATCTGAGGGTGGAAGGAGAGAATGAAGTACTAATTCCTTTGTTTCCTTCCCTTATAGGCTGCAAGTTGTCTGGGCTGATTTGTCTATCTGTTAATAGCTCCTGTGGTCAAAACTTTCATACAGATAGAACTTTCACTGTGGGTTCCAGAAAGGATTTCCTCCCCTTGACCCTTTAGGCCTAGGAGTAGTAGTAACTTTTCAGTATGCCATCTGTTATTTGCTAAGACCCTGACTGATAAAGACTATAAGCTTCATTAAAGCTTACAAATTGTCTCACTGTCTTTTGTTCATTGTGATACCTACAATATATGACTGCCTGTCATCTAGGAGACAAAAAATTAATATTAGCTAAAGGAAAAGAAAAATAGAAGGATATGAATAAAATCCCACATTAATTTCCAATTTTAAAAAAAGTAACGGAGAAATAGAAAATACATGCTTATTGTGTTCTTTTAAAAAGAGTCCATTCATTAGTCAGTTTCATGTACAATGAATTGGCCATGCAGACGGCCAGTGCTGAAGAGAAATGTTTGAAATATCTGCTCCTGTAACTACCAAACCTTTAAATTTATTTTCCTGAATACTTATTTCACAGGTAGAACAATTATCAGTAATTTGATTTACCCAATAAGCTGCTTTGCCTTGTTTATTTGTGCTTCCAAATCCTCCTCTTCATTTAATTTCACTTTTTCCCATTCCCAAATACAGCACAATCAGGAGCTGTGCTATACACTCTCCTGGCTCTGCTTTCCAGCGAACAGAAGTAGATATAACAATTTGAATTTCCCCATTGTAGTCTGAATCAATGACTCCTGTATGTATTTGTACCTCTTTTAAACTTAAACTAGACCTTCCTAAAAGTGATCCTATTGTTCCCACTGGCAAGGGTCCACAGACTCCTGTTGGGACCTTATGTGGGTGTTCCCCAGGCGGAAGGCTCACAGCTTTTGTGCAGCATAAATCTACTGCCACACTACTGGCTGTGGCAGGGGACAGATATTGTACAGAGGTGAAGGAATGGCCTGAGCTGGAAATGCCCCAGTCTGGAGTGGGGGCCGGGATGGGCTGGCACCTCATGGCATTTCCTGAAATTGGGTTCCCATCTTTATCAAACTTAGAGTGACACTGACTAGCTCAATGTTTTCCTTTTTTACATTTTGGACACATTTCAGACTCAGCAGTTACTTTTTCCTGCTATCTGGCAGCCTGACTCACTGATTTTTTCTACATTCTTTTTTAGTATGAATAGCTTGTTTAAATTCTTGAGTAATTTAAAAGGAAAAGCCTCAAATATTTCCCTGCTGATCTGGGGGTTGTATTCTAACAGAGTACTGCCAAGCCTCTAAATCACCCTCTCTTCTAGCTTGCTGAATTACTGCCTGTATAGAACTGAGAGCACTCAAGGCGCTGCTTGAACACTCACTGGGGCAAAAAGTTTTCACCCAGGGTCCTCTGGAAAAGAAAGATCTGGAGGGCCTTTTTCTTCAGTATAATAATGAGGGGGTGCAGAAGGGTAGGGATGAACCTCTCCCTCCTTTGCCGCTTTAGCTTTAGTTGGCAAATAAACCTGCTCTGAAACCTCCTGTGTTACTTCGTTATACTCTCCTTCCTCCCCATCATCAGTGTGAAAAAGTTCCAAGGTGGAACTAACCACAGCCCGCACTTGTCCCATTGTTACCCTGATGCTTCTGAACTCCCCTTCTTACTCACCAAGGGGATTGCTTTAAGAGTACTTGGGTGTCCTCCAGCTGGTTCCACATTCTCCAACCATCACTCCAGTGATCCTTTGACCTGGATTCAACCCCTTGCGTATGGGTGCCCCTTGCCGAGACCAGCTCAGCTGGGGAAACCCTAACCCAGCAGTGCTAGAGGAATTAAACCACACACACACACACACACACACACACACACACACACACACACACAAATATAGAAGTGTAAAGTGGGAAATCAGGGGTCTCACAGCCTTCAGAGCTGACGGCCCTGAACAGAGATTTGCCCACTTATTTACTAACAGCAAGCCAGTCATTAGAATTGTTTCTATAGATATTCGATTAATTGAAAGTATCCCTTATGGGAAATGAAGGGATGAGCCAAAATAAAGGGATGGGTTTGGCTATTTATCTGCAGCAGGGGCATGTCCTTAAGGCACAGATTGCTCATGCTATTGTTTGTGGTTTAAGAATGCCATTAAGCAGTTTTCCACCAAGGGCGGGCCAGGTGTTTTTTGCCCTCATTCTGGTAAACCCACAACCTTCCAGTGTGGGTGTTATGGCCATCATGAACATGTCACAGTGCTGCAGAGATTTTATTTATGGCCAGTTTGGGGCCAGTTTATGGCCAGATTTTGGGGGACTGTTCCCAACAGGTGGTATTTACAAATATTTTACTGTGTACCTATTTCCTGCAGCTATTAGTAGGTTGGCTCAAGATCCAGGAATGAGATGATACAATTGAGGTAACAAGGCCCCAGAAGAGCAATAGGAACTGGGGTCAACATTGCAAAGAAAAAGGAGAATGGGCCTTGAAACGTAAACACATTTGCTTCCTCTGGGACAAGTAGAAAAGGAAGAATGTCAGAGGTAAACAGTCAAGTTGGGATAATGAGAAGCACACTCTAAATAAGCTCCATCTTCTCAGGCAGATTAGAGGGTTAGATCATGGGTTTTAGGAGCAGCTCAGAGGTACAGAGCAGCTCAAGTGTGTAACGGAAGAACAGCTCTTTAAGGCACAGAGGACTGATCACCTGTATTGAGGGCCCAGCTGTAGTTGGGGGAGCCTGAAATTAAGTAAGCCCAAACCATGTGCTTGGAGGGGAGTTTATTTTTTATTTTTATTTTTACTTTTGGTAGGTCCGTGGAGGAATTCTAAGCATCCATCTCTTCTTCACCTTTCAGTGAGGGTGGAAAGATGAAGATGTTTAAGGATTGGAGGTTTGCAGAGCCTACCTTATTTGATGTGAGAATGGCAGCCTATTTAACTGAAGATTCTGGGCTTATCTTGCATAGTGAAGGGAAGCAGAGGAGGGGCAAGTGGCAGCTAACCCAGGGGGAAAGGGAGGGTGGATTAGCGGTCTCAGGGATCAAGGACTAGATCTGGAGAGACTGGCAGGTGGAATTATAACAATTGTCCAAGAGTACAGAATTGCAGGATTAGGTTTCAGGTGGATACTGGAAAGCAAATGCACTGTGCTGCCATTGGATGGAGTCATGGAAATGAACAAAGTTCAAGGTCCCTGGGGTGAAGGAGTCACCAGGGCTGCAAAGGTCATCCATGTGGCCATTTGATCTGGTCATCTGGGAAGTAACTGGACAAGAGAAAGTGAGGATGAGGAGTGGCAGGGAGTCTATTTCAGCAAGTGGGATTGAATCTATTTTTTAAGAAATCATATTCTGTTTCTAAGTGTATGTCTTAGACCACACTGGATTTACAGCAGTATTTTTGGCCTACATCGTGAACTGCTGCTGCCAGATGTTAAAAGTAGCAAGGCTTTACCCTAGCATTAAGTCTTGCTTGGGGCTTCTCAATGAGACCTACTTGTTTAATGTTAAGTGCACACCCTTTACAATTTTATATAGCATTGATAGGAATTGGGCTTGCTCCAGCTATAAAAATGAGTGTTGGAAGCACAGTTTTTTGAGATGTTTGGATTGTGTTTAGACTAATAACTTCATCTGCAAGATACGGGACTGGCTAGATTCCTGTTTATTTAACTGTGAGTTTCTGAAGGCTTTGAGGAAGATTGTCATCCTCACACAAACCGCCATGGCTGTATTTCCTCACCTGGAATGTCAATCCTTTTCTCTTCCTGATAAAACCATACTGTCTTTCAAGACACAGCTGGACTGTCACCCTGGTGATATCTTCCCTGACTCCCACTGAGCAAATGATTTAGGTCTCGTTCCTGCATGCAGTCTTTATTTACCTCAGTTATGAAGTTATACCTTATTGTGATTATTTCTCCCTGATTAAATTGTGAGGTCTTTAGAGACAGTGACTATATCTGTCTACATTTGTATAACTTGTTCCCAGTATGCTGCTTGATATGTGTTAAGTAGTAAATTCTTGCTCTGTGAAAACATAAATGGAAGGATGGCCCATTCATTTAGGAGTTCATAAGAGCTTGCTAACTCTGAGTCAGAATGACCCATGAACTGAAACATACAGAGAGCACCATCACTAAAAACTGTGGGATTATATTCTTTTGCAGTTTTATTGCTGAATGCACATTTTGTTCAATGGTTCTTCCTGAAGAACTCATCAATTTTTAGTTAACGGGACCAGGTGTGGTGGCTTATGCCTGCAGTCCCAGCATTTTGAGAGGCTGAGGTGGGCATGTCATTTGAACCCAGAGGTTCAAGAGCAGTCTGCGCAGCTTGACAAAGCCCATCTCTATAAAAAACACAAAAAATTAGCCGGACTTGGTGGTGTGTGCTTGTAGTCCCAGCTACTCGGGGGGCTGAGGTAGGAGGATCCCTTGAGGCCAGGAGGCAGAGGTTGTAGTGGGTCAAGACCACGCCAGTGCACTACAGCCTAGGCAATAGGGCAGGAACCTGTCAAAAAATCTTTTTTAGATAAAGGACTGGGGATTTTAAAGCACTAAGTAGCATATATTACATAAGGGATGTTAGGAACATATGAAAATACAGGTAAATAGTAATTAGGAGAGTCAATTTGTATGCAGCTAGAATATCTAGTTGTATAAGTTTGAAACTTTGCTTTCCAATAGGTTGAAAAAATTCAAACTCAAGTCTGGAATTTTTTTTTTTTTTTAGATGGAGTCTCACTCTGTCACCATGGCTGGAGTTCCATGGTAATTATCAGGTCACCACAACCACCTTTGTCTCCCAGGTTCAGGTGATTCCCTTGCCTCAGCCTCCTGAGTAGCAGAAACTACAGGTTCCCGCCATGATGCCTGGCTAATTTTTGCATTTTGTTAGAGATGTGGTTTTACAATGCTACACAGGCTGGCCTTGAACTCCTGACCTCAGGTGATCCTACCACATTGGCCTCCCAAAGTGCTAAGATAACAGTTGTGAGCCACAGTAACCAGCCAAGTTGGAGTCTCTTGAAGGTGAAATTGTTGCTTTGTGGAATTTAGAAAACAGTATATTCATTTACATCAGTTTGGCTTTCATCAGTTTTCTTGCGAAAAATTAATAATTTTCTATGTAGATTGACATAAAAGAAATTTATGGCCAAAGGCAACTTTAAGTAAAAGCCATGGATTTGCTAAGAGGAAGAGAAGTAGTGCTGAAGCACTGGGTTGAAGCTTTTGAATTTTAAGTATGCATGTTTATTTTTGAAACTCAGAATTATGAGAGTAAAAAAATTACTATATATATGCATATATAGTATATATGTATACACAGTAACCGTGATATATATATATATATATATATAATCACAATATTCTAATGTTTATTGCCAAGTAGAGTTCTTCTTTATAAAGGTGATATCACCTATAATTAGAAAATACAAATTAAGAGGAAAAAACACTAGGGTTTTGCTTTTGACATATTAAATATTAAGATGAAAAAGAGACTGAGATGCTATCACCAGCTTACAGTAAGACCAGACAGAAAATTTTGAGAGGCCACCAATACTTGAACAGATCATACATTTTGCAGTTAATTTCAATCCTTCAGTTCTGATAGTTTTGTTTGTTTATGTCCAGTAACTGAGTTCCATATGTCCAGAACTGAGTTCTACACCTGCAGCTTTTACCAGCTCTATGCTCAACAAAGAAAGTATGGTAGTCTGACTTTATTTGCATTGGGTGAAATTATTTCTTTTGTGTTATTCACCTTTTTTAAGTGCTCACAAATATTTCATTCTTCAGATCTTACCTGGGATTGACTGAAAGCTCATCTGTCTGTAGTTTGTGCAATAAGCCTTATTTTCAACTGGGAATGTTTTGTTAATTGACAAAAATAGATATGCCAGGAATCTTCGTTCATTAAAAAATGTGCCTCCATATTCTTTAATATTGTTTTCTCCCTTCTTTAGATTTGAATTGTTTGATTCTAACCTCTGCCTACCTTACTCTTCTTTTGGCAATAATGAAAAAGTAAGTTAATCAAGAGAGACAGAAAAAAAAATAAGGAGCAACATTTTGGCAGAGAGTTTATCACTTCCCTACCTCAATTTCCTCTACTGCTATTTCCTCTTTCTCAGGATACATACAAAATAAATGTAGTTTTTACCTCTCTATGGCCTTCCAGATTGCCAGCAGAGGGAGGTAATACCTAGAGCCTTTAACTTTCCTTAGAGTAGTCAGTGCTCATAGAGTGGCCCTGTTACTATGTAAGGGAACTTCCCCAACATTTGTGGGCATGCTGCATAAGTCACCCTTTATTAAAGGACTCTTAGATGACTTTGTCTGTAGGAGCCATCTGCTTTCTGCCTGGATCCCAACTGCTGCTGACAGATGCACAGATTATTTTGGATGTTGGGGATGTCATCAACAGGTAGACCAGACAGAGAGCTCCTTCTGTTCATGGTATAGGAGAGAAACAGCTATTTAGGTTAATCTGAGGATTTGAAAGAGTTCTTTTACTTGGAGTAGGACTCCAAGAGTAATAACGTTTGCAATAAAATGCACTAAATACTTTTGTTCTGAAATTTGAGTGTTAGGACTACTCTGAGATCATTAAATAGAATTAATATTATATTTATTGCATGAGTACCAAGAAAAGAAACAACAATGTAAAAGCTGTTTAAATGTTTCTGTTAAATGAAATAAGAAAACTTAAGGTAGATAATGACTAGGATTTCTTTTGGCCTTCTTATATCTGGCTCCACTGGCTCATGAAATTGTGGTATTTCAGAAAGAACTGCAGAAAGCAGGAAATGCTATCATAGCTGAGCATGAGGAGTTCAAAAATCACAGGCCAGCTCTGCAGTACAACTGCAAGATGCAGTGAGTCTTGCTCCTTGCCAGTTCCACTTTGATACAAATACACTTCTTCAGTATGTAAACTTGGCCCAAGTCACACCTGTGCAAATCAGATTTATTTTAATATCAAACATTACTCCCCCAAATATAGTAAAGTTTCTCTTTGTCATCTGAGAAAATTCTCTAGTGATAATATGATCTTATATTCATAATAGCAATAACATGGAGAAGAAAGCAAACACACCTAAATGTAAAATTTTCAGAGTGCCAGATTTTTTCCACTGTTATCTCTGGATTCTCACCCTAAGGATTACAAACATTCACCGTGTCTTCTGCCCACATGCCCTAGAATGTTTTGATATGACTGAAAAAGATGGTGAAATCTGTTAAACCCACCTAGTTTGTGTTCTGTTTGTCATTTTTAAAATAGGGACCCTGTTGTTTACTGGCATAAATATTCTCAATTAAAAGAGTACAAACAGGATAAGAAAACGTCTCCTTGTGAAGCAAGCCGTGATTTGTTTTGCAATAATTTCTTTTCTGATTCTGAATCTTTTCAGAATGAGCATTCTGGGTGGCTGAAGGCCCAGATACTAGATTACAAACTTCCGTAAAAAGTTAAGTATTCAGGTGACCGATTTTGTATTGCAACTGAAGCAAACTCAGACAGGTTAGAGACATTTTAAATCTATGAATATTTTTCTGTGTGTAAAGCTTCTGATGCTTGTGAAAATGTAATGACCCTAATTTATTGAATATTAAGTAATTGTTATGTTAGAGGAAAAGCCACAGAAACATGTGTCATCTTAGAAGTAAAACTCCCTATCCACTTTGGTAATACCATCTGGATCATCAGCAAAAGTCACTTGTTTCATAGGTGCCTCATGGCTTGGGAGAGCCTTGTGTCTCAAATGGGAAAGGCGTGGTGGTGACATAGAAGTCTCCAGGTTTATCTTAGAAATTTCTTTTCTATTTGTTACCTCAATGTTAACAGCAGTTCAGTAATTTTATGGATTCCTTGATAGATATATGCACACACGGGAGGAGCAAGGCGGTTTAGCAAAGAGAACATTGCTCTCAGAATCAGACAACTGTTCTTTTGGATCCCTGTTTTGAAGTTAGTTGTTTAATCTTGGACATGTTACCTTAACTTCATTGGGCCTCAGTTTCCTCATTTTTAATGGGGAAAATAATGCCTATTGAGCCATGATGAAAGTGATGAAAGGAGATGGGTTACAACGCAGTGCCTGGGACATAAGAAAACACTCAATAAGTGGTGATTGGTATGATTGGTATGATTTTATTATTGTGTGTTCACTGTGGATACATCTGTGCCCCTTCCTACTTCATAATAAGGATATTGAAGCTTAGATGCTTTCTTCTTCAGTTGCTTTCAAGCTCAAAGAAAGTGTGTTTGTGTTACCAGTTAACTGGTTTCTCAAACTTGTTCTGAGCCTTCCTCGTTCCCCTTTGCACTTTTTCCTCATAAGTTCCTTGCTCTCTTCTACCAGCACTTGACTTATTTTTAACTCTTTACACATTTCTTCTCCTTTCTGGTCTCATTTTCCTTTCAGTTCTGTTTGTGAAACTTCTCACAGCTGAAACCATAGTCTCATGTTAATAAAAATAGTTGAATGGGAATAGAACTTTTGCACTTGCATGCAATGAGGAGGGCAAGCTTCTTTCTCACAGCTTCATTGGAAGGCATTTCAGGACAGTGAGACACAGGCACTGGCTTTGCCTTAGGAAAGTGCAGTAGCTCTTGAACCTGCTAACGGTGTGACCCAGGGTCAATAAGCTTTAGTCTCCCATCTATAAAACGGAAGCTGTGAGAATTCCTTGACCACAGTGTTTTTGTGAATGCAGGTTCTTACTTTTTGTCTGAAACTCATGCCGTATGCTGTGGATTTCACAGCACACGAAATCCACAGCATGTGAATTCTGTAGGACCTGCTGTAGTGAAATGCATTAGTTATTTTCCAGTCAACTGTATGAATATTCATGCCGGGGCAAATAAAGATAATAAATGGGTTCACGTCATTTCAGGTCATAGTATTTAACCAAATGAGTTCATGTCTGGCTAGGCTATGCCCCTAAGTTATGAATAAATTTTCAATTTTCAGAGCTGTGGGGATGTGGAAATTGTGCATAATGGATTCTGAAGTTGTACCGTGTTACAAAAGACACATGAAGCTGTAGCTGGTACAATAAGCCCTCAATAAATATTAGTGGTTATCACTACCATGGCATCAGAAACTGTTTAATGTGGAAGTTTGTCCTTATTATTGCTCTCTTCAACTTTTCAAAACAGTAATATTCTCAATTACATGAATTTTCTTCTCTTCTGTGTCCACTCACTTTTGAAATTAGCATTTTGTACTCTGCAGCCCTAGAGAATAAAGTGTACTGTAATCCAAAGCAGCATCTGATCCATCATTCTGTCAGTGGATTAATAAGTGGCAATATGGTGCCTTGCAATGGTGCTATACATCAGGATTTCTTGAACGATTCTCTTAAACAGAAAAGAGGTATGGTAACATCAAGGATCCCAAATTTTCCAAATGGAGCTGTGGAGGGTAGTCCTTCCAATTCTGACCTTGAGTTTGTAGTTAATACTAAGCAAGGGTCAAAGAGCTTAAGCAAGAGGCAAAGAGCTTAAGTAAGAGGACAGACCCTTGGAAAAGGCTTTCAGAAGTTGCTATCTGAGAGTCGTTAACATCATACCAAAAGCCCACTACCAGCAAAGAGCTCACCATCTCTGCACTTGCTGAAAGCT
Source organism: Homo sapiens (assembly GCF_000001405.40). Classification (NCBI taxonomy): domain Eukaryota; kingdom Metazoa; phylum Chordata; class Mammalia; order Primates; family Hominidae; genus Homo; species Homo sapiens. The sequence continues at coordinate 21,976,812 of NC_000024.10, forward strand.
TTCAAAAACATTACTTCCAGTTCTCTAGAAAGCCATATATTTGCAGAGGACAGAGTTGTCTCTGAGCAGCCTCAAGTGAAAAAACTTAAAGATTAAAGGAATGGCACCTGGAAGCACTCATGGGCAGTGCAGTGTTGAGGCTACACAGTGGCATTTCCTCCAGACAAGTCTTCTCTACCCCTTTTCCGAAAGCAAAAAGGAACCTTAAAGTGAAATGTATCTGGAAGGTTAGCCACCTGGACAAAGCGTTGTGTGCTGCTCTGGAGTTGGGTAGCTACCCTCCATCTCTCCACCCATGATAGAGGGTTGCTGTGAGAGTCAGCAGGACAGACTGGCAAGGTCTAGTGTCTCCTTTACACACAGAGGTGTTTAGATACTAAGAGCTGTCTTTCCTTTGCTGCCTGTTACTTTCATGCATTTTATTATTGCCAGTGCAATTAACTTAGGTGTTTGAATCATTAGTTTTGTGGATCTTATGCATCATAATTTGCTATTTGCAAGGATAACAATTTATTTTTGAACTAATAGAGCTCTTTAGAAACCGCTTGGTATCTTCATGCACCTGGTAATATTCTTGCCTTGGTTCCTTCTGAACCTTAGGTCTGGACAGATTACATGTGGGTTCCCCAGTCCTTGTTCTGACAGAATGCCCCAGCAGTCACCCACTGAGTCAAGGCACAGCCTCTCCAACCCTCCAGACCAAAAGTTTCGGTAAGTACAACTTTCTGATTGATTAGCTTCAGCTGAATCACGTTACTTACTCTGTCAGCCTTCACTTATTTTGTTCGTTTTTTTTTTTTTTTAGGTTAATTTTGCAGACCATTTGGCAGTATAGAAGTTAGAATCAGATTGCAAAATGATGTGTGATATTTGAGAATCATCTAAATTATGAAGAGAAAAAAGGATGGCTTTTAGCAAATAAGTGGATAATGCATATTTGCTAAACTGGACATGTAGAACATGAGATATGGTATAAATAAGCATCTTCATAGTTCTGTCAATAGACTCAGTTTATTAAGATAAAAACAAATGTACAAAATATGTGAAAGCAAACAAATGGAGGTTATTTCTAAACTTGGAAAAATTATACACATCATTAAAAAGTCATTTAAAATATTTTGGCATTGAAATATAAACAGATACATTTTTGTTTTTTGTTTTTGTTTATGTTTTTGTTTTTTGGTGAGTGAGGGCAGAGTCTTACTCTGTCACCCAGACTGGAGTGCAGAGACATGATCTCCACTCATTGCAACCTCTGCCTCCTGAGTTCAAGTGTTTCTCCTGCCTCAGCCTCCCAGGTAGCCTGGATGACTGGAGTAGGCCACAACACTCGGCTAATTTTTGTATATTTAGTAGAAATGGTACTACACTATGTTGGCCAGGCTAGTCTCAAGCTCCTGACCTCAGTTAATCTGCCCAGCTCTGCCTCCAAAAGTGCTGAGATGACAGGTGTAAGCCACAGTGCCAGGCCTAGATAAAATTCTCATTTCCATAACATTGCAATAAATTCAAATGTGGCAGTGGACTCTAGAGCGTGATTCTTGAAACACTAAGGAGTGGGTGTTTTTAGGAACTGGACTAGTGGGTTACCAAGGCTGTGATTTGAGTCATGAGGAGACTTCTACCCATACATGGGCCCCACAGCAGAGAGAACTGGCTCCACAATTCCAGGCTCAAGCTTCAGTGTCTGCACTGAAAAGAAAAGAAAAATAAATATCTATAACGTCTCTTCTTCTCTGAAACATTAATTATGACTATGTTTCCCAATGCTTGTATTTAGTAAGATTTGAAGCTTACTGTTTTTTTTTTGTCTTTTCAATGCAGCTACAAGGCTACAAGCTATGCAAGGCTAAAGTTATGCTAACTCAACAGTTATGCTATAAATTATGTAACCTGTCATTGTCAAATTAGCTTCTGTAGTTCTGCTTTTGTAATTTGGCTTACAAATATCCCCCTCAGTCTTTGTTCAATGCTCAGCATTTTTGGATATAAGTCTGCTGAGCCAGGGCACCTAAATACATCCTCCTATTTCCCCATATGAATCTCTGTGGTCCTCTGCTTCCCACAGCATTATTGGCCAGTCAGCCAGGAGTGGAGATGACAGGTTTCCTGTCTCCTTTGCCCCTGGGGCTTAAGCCCTGGGTCTCAGGAGTCCTGTGACCCAAGGAGCACCACTGGGAGAACTTCAGCCTGGAGGGGAGATCAGCCATTTTGTGACCTCGTGCCCCTACCAAGCAGTGCAATGGTACCTAATGGGTTATAGGACGATTCCAGGAACAGCTCACTTCAGAAACCACAGTAAGGTATTGGGACCCAAGGCAGGACACATCCCACAAGGACCAAAAGGGAGCCTAATCACCTCCTAGGTTATAACCGGTAATCCAACCCAGAGGTGCTGCAGGCCGCAAGAGTGGTTCACCAATTCAGAAGAAACTTATACCTCAACCAACACAGCATGTGACAGTGGCTCACTAAATCAGCTCAGAAGGAAACTGGAGGTGGTGAAAGTGACTCGCCACCCCAACCAGGAACATGAGAACTGGTAGAAGGATGATGTGTGAGTGGTGAGGCCTAACTAGGCTAATCGGCCATAAAGTGAGGAACCACAAGTCTCTTAGTGAAGAATGTGTTCCAAGCCAAGTGTGGGGCTGATCAAGACTAGTGGTGATCCACATATGGCTAAAAGAAGCTACCCCACAACTTCAGCAATTGTGTTGGGCTTAAGAAACTCTCCAAAGCTAAGTAGTATCTAAAAACCCCCATAATAGGAGATGGTCTAACTGGCTGGAAACAAAGGTAAAAAGTGAGCACGAGTACACTGCATCATAACTGAAAAGAAATGGGAAGAGAGTTGTCACAACATACATCATTCAAATATATGCTAAAAAAAACTTTAAGAAAGGGTTTACAGGAAACTATAAAATTAAGCTAACCCTGCAAAGGTAAAAAGCTCTCTGTAAACTAAAATGGCCCCCTTTTGGTATTAAATAGGTGACCCAAAAAACTATACACATAGAAAGAATTGGTCATGAGTTTGAGGTAATGACAGGGGTCTGAGTATAGCCAGGGTACCCAGACCAATTTTCTTATATTAACTCATAATTAAATATAATACAAACAAGAACAACATGAATCCAGCCCTGCTTCACAGCTTATTGCAAAACACTTGTAGCGCAGGCCGAGCCAAAAGTGAAAATAGAAGCAGCTTCACCAGCAAACACTGAGTTAAAAGGAAAGTCCCAAGGACAGAAAGGAAACCCAGTTTTAAAAAACTACAAAAGGAAAAAAAAATTCTCCTCCATTTTTCATAGCCTACCTCCCTTTGCTGAGGCAAACAGCCCCCCAGGAGCTAGGTTCCATTGCCAGTACACCCCAGGTTTCACCCCAGAGGGAAGAATTGGAGCCTTGAGAGGCCAGTGATGGAATTCAGGATAGTGAACCAGGCTGCCTCAAATCTGATCATGGTCAAGCTATGTAAATACCTCTCAGGGAAATGCAAGGACTCATCTGTTATAATGACCAGTGCCACATCCTGGTGTGGGGGGCAGCAAACCTTCCTCTATCAGCCCTTTTCAACCACTAATCTCCTAAATGTAAATCAACACACTAACTCCTACAAGGAAAAGCCCCAAGCTCTCATAAATCTAACACAGTCCACCTTTCTAACACACAATCCAACCTGGCTAAATTGAAGATAACTTATCTTAACATTGTTTAACATGGAGGAGTGCCAGAGGATAACTCAGGCATCCCATCAAGGGCTAGAAGCCAATGCACCAGCTGCAAAAAGTACATGGTTTTGCAGGCACGAATACAACCCAGCTTACAGAAATGGCCACCAAAATGTAGGTTAACCATCACCAGGAAGCAAAGAAAAAAAAAAAAGCAAATCAGAGGTTTAAAAAAGGCCAATCTCTTAGCAGCAGCTCTCATTAAAAAAATGACTAGCAATATACAAGAATGTGGATGTGCACGTGCGTGTGAAAGATGTCAATTTAGTCAAAAATTTAAAAGCCAGCCGAGGCTAGAGAGAAAACAATGTGTGTGATGGAAAAGAAAAATACTGAAAGAATAAATGTCCAGAAGGTAATAAAAAGTATAATCAAGACTGTGGTATAAAAGAGTCCAGCTAAGGGCTGCCTCACTGTGGGAAAACCAAATACGAATCTAAACAGGCTGGCCGGCACTAAAGGATATGGGTACTAGGACAGACCAGGCTTTTTCTTATTACAACTCCATTGGCCCATGGTCACATTAAAAGTTGAAGGCCAGCTGATGGACTTTATGTAAACACCAGGGCTACACATTCAGTACTGACTCAACCCATAGGGCCACTATCTGAAGCTATAAAACTATTATAAAAGCCACAGGAATCTCAGAGAAAAAAGCTGTTCTGGTAAGGAGGTGTGTCATCAAAGGATGGGAAGTTCAACATAAATTCCTATACCTCCTGAATTGTCCAGTTCCCTTGTTAAGAAAAAAAAAAATTACTCCAAAAACTGAAAGCACCAATTACATTTCAGCTGCAAAAAAAAAAAAAACAACAACTTTTTTTCTGACTCTCCAAAAAAGCATGGTGCTAACCCTTATCATCCTGCAGGCTAAGGAATGGAAACTTTATACAAAGAAAGTGCAAGCAGCAAATTAGAATTGCAGGTGGGATAAAAAAAAATTATTTCACTTAGTTAATAACATTTCTGGAGTATGGGTTAAAGGCAACCCACTTGGATTAGCTGTACATCATGCACAGGTGGTAGTCATGTTAAAACCAAAAGAAACTCCGACTTGGGTTCATCAGTACCCAGTCCCCTGAGAAGCTATTCCAGGTATCTGTAAATATTTAAACTGGCCTTACCAACATGAAGTCTTAGTTCGATGTCAATTGCTCTAAAACACTCCACTTTTGGAACATGTGTATTTTAATAAATCTCATTCCAGCAAGTGCTACCTGATTTGCAGTCCTAAATTTAAAGAATGTATTCTTTTATATCTGCTTAGCCCCAGTTAGTCACCCTATATTTGCATTTCAATAAAACAAATAAGTTGTTCAACTCACCTGGGCCAGGCTCCCGCAAGTTCAAAGACTCTCCTACAGTCTTTAGGGAAGCACTGACCTTGAAGCCTACAACCTGCCAAATGTTAACTGTGCCTTGTTGCAGTATGTGGATGACCTTCCTCTAGCAGCCCCAACCCAGGAGGACTGTTATCAAAAAACTCAAGACCTCCTCCATCTCCTATGAAAAACAGGCTAAAATTATCTTTTAAAAAAGGACCAATTATTCTTAAAAATGTCAAATATGTAGGTTTCATAGTAAGCCATGTGGAATGCCAGCTTGGCCATAAGCAGAAACAGGCCGTTTGTACACTCCTGACACAAACCACTAGGCATTACATTAAAAAATTCTTAAAAGAAGAAAAATTCCACCATATCTAAATCATAAATTTTTCACTGATGGCTAAGCCATTATATAATATTACAAAAGGGGTAAAAACGAAACCCTCCTCTGGCAAACTAAACAGCAAATATCATTTAAAAAAATCAAAAAAACCCTTAACTCAAGTCCCAGCCTTTGGTCTGCCAAATGTAACTTAGCCTTTCTTTCTGTACCTGCATAAATGAAAAGAAATGGCTATGTGGTTCTTAACTGAAATTATAAAATTATAGCATTGTCCAGTCAAATACTAATCTAAACAATTAGACTCTGTGGCACTAGGATGGCCTCCTTGCCTTAAGGCATTAGCCACCACTGCCTTGCTAATGCAAGAGGATAACACACTTACTTTGAGACAGCAGCTAACAGTCCATGTGCCACACTCAGTCAAAACTTTGATGAACAAATAAGCCATCATTAGTTGTCAAATCTGAGAATAACGCAGTACCAAGGACTTCTATATGAAAACCCTTACATTACTTAAAATACAGCAAACAACTTAAGCCCAACCACCCTGCTCCCAGTCAAATTTGATGCTCCCCTCCATAACTGTGTCTAAACAGTGGATCACGTATTTGCTGAACCAGGAGATCTTACAGATCAATCCCTCAAAAACCCAGATGTTGAATACTTCATAACTGAAAGAGTTTTGAGCTAGAAAAAAATCCAACAAGCCGAGTATGCAGTGGTAACATTAAACTCAATGATAGAAGCTCAATCTTTGCCTACTGGAACATGAGACCAAAAGGCAAAATTAATAGACCGAACAAGAGCCCTTTTGCTGCAAAAGAAAAAAAGGTCAATATTTAAACACATTCTAAATATGCTTTTACCACACTACATGTTCATAGAACTATATATAAAAAGAAAATTTCTTAACAACTGGAGGCAAATAAATAAAGTGGACAGAAAAAATCCTACAGCTCTTAGCAGCTGTATATGCTCCAGAAAAAGTGGCAATAGTGCATTATCTGGAACACCAAAAGGCAGGGAAGTCAAAAGCCAAAAGAAACAGGAAAGCTAACACTTTCCCCACATAACCTTGATATAAAAAAGCACCCAAAAAATGATGCCCACCCTCTACTCATACTACATAGCCCCAAAACAACATAGCCAGGCCCACTGCTACTCAGTTAATAGCTCTAACTAAATGTCAACCTGTGCCAAAAGAAGAAAACATGCTTTCCCATAAAGAATAAAATGATACTAATGCCTTCGATTAAATTTATCCTATAAAATGATTTTTTAAAAAAACAGAAAAATTTGGCAAGACAAGGGTTCAAATGAAAAGAAAACATGTTTTTCTCTGTGTAGCTATCTCACTCCAAGACAGTTATAAAATAACACTGTCTAAAAAGTTGAGGCCAAGGGAATGGGTCACAAATACCCTACACTGAAGCAAAGTTCAAAAGGAAAGCAAATTACTTTACTGTCTCTCCTTCTCTGAAGCATTAATTATGACTATGTTTACCAATGCTTGTATTTCGTAAAATCTGTATGTTCCTGTTTCTCTTTCAACCTAGCTGCAAAACCCAGCTATGCAAGGCAAGAAGTTATGCAAGTCAACAATTATGCTGTAAATTACATAACTGTTCATTGTATAATTAGTTGCTTTAGGTCTGCTTCTGTAAGTTTGCTCATAAAAACCCTGCTCAGTCTTTATTCAATACTCAGCCTTTTTGGATATAAGCTCACTGAGCTGGTGCACCTAAATAAATCCTCCTGTTTCCCCATATCAGCCTCACTCATACTCTGTTTCCATCAACACCAGTCATATTTCCAAAGTTTTTATCTTTTTTTGAGACAGAGTCTTGCTCTGTCACCCAGGCTGGGGTGCAGTCTCACCTTACCGCAGCCAGTGCCTCCTGGGATGAAGGAATTCTCCTGCCTCAGCCTCCTGAATAGCTGGGACTCCACACACACCACCATGCTTGACTAATTTTTGTATTTTTATTTATTTATTTTTTCTTTTTTTATTATACTTGAAGGTTTAGGGTACATGTGCACAATGTGCAGGTTAGTTACATATGTATACATGTGCCATGTTGGTGTGCTGCACTCATTAACTCATCATTTAACATTAGGTATATCTCCTAATGTTATCCCTCCCCTCTCTCCCCACCCAACAACAGGCCCCAGTGTGTGATGTTCCTCTTCCTGTGTCTGTGTATTCTCATTGGTCAATTCCCACCTGTGAGTGAGAACATGCGGTGTTTGGGTTTTTGTCCTTGCGATAGTTTGCTGAGAATGATGGTTTCCAGCTTCATGCATGGCCCTACAAAGGACATGAATTCAACATGTTTTATGGCTGCATAGTATTCCATGGTGTATATGTGCCACATTTTCTTGATCCAGTCTATCATTGTTGGACATTTGGGTTGGTTCCAAGTCTTTGCTATTGTGAATAGTGCCGCAATAAACATACGTGTACATGTGTCTTTATAGCAGCATGTTTTGTAATCTTTTGTGTGTATACCCAGTAATAGGGATGGCTGGGTCAAATGGTATTTCTAGTTCTAGATCCCTGAGGACTTGCCACACTGACATTCACAATGGTTGAACTAGTTCACAGTCCCACCAACAGTGTAAAAGTGTTCCTATTTCTCCATATCCTCTCCAGCACCTGTTGTTTCCTGACTTTTAATGATTGCCATTCTAGCAGGTGTGAGATGGTATCTCATTGTGGTTTTGATTTACATTTCTCTGATGGCCAGTGATGATGAGTATTTTTTCATGTGTCTTTTGGCTGCATAAATGTCTTCTTTTAAGAAGTGTCTGTTCGTATCCTTCGTCCACGTTTTGATGAGGTTGTTTCTTTTTTTCTTGTAAATATGTTGGATTTCATTGTGGCTTCTGGATATTAGCCCTTTGTCAGATAAGTAGATTGCAAAAATTTTCTCCCATTCTGTAGGTTGCCTGTTCTCTCTGACGGTAGTTTCTTTTGCTGTGCAGATGCTCTCTAGTTAAATTAGATCCCATTTGTCAATTTTGGCTTTTGTTGCCATTGCTTTTGGTGTTTTAGACATGAAGTTCTTGCCCATGCCTATGTCCTGAATGGTATTGCCTACATTTTCTTCTAGGGTTTTTATGGTTTTAGGTCTAACATTTAAGTCTTTAATCCATCTAGAATTAATTTTTGTATAAGGTGTAAGGAAGAGATCCAGTTTCAGCTTTCTGCATATGGCTAGCCAGTTTTCCCAGCACCATTTATTAAATAGGGAATCCTTTCCCCATTTCTTGTTTTTGTCAGGTTTGTCAAATATCAGATGGTTGTAGATATGTGGCATTATTTCTGAGGGCTCTGTTCTGTTCCATTGGTCTATATCTCTGTTTTGGTACCAGTACCATGTTGTTTTGGTTACTGTAGCCTTGTAGTATAGTTTGAAGTCAGGTAGCGTGATGCCTCCAGCTTTGTTCTTTTGGCTTAGGATTGACTTGGAAATGCGGGCTCTTTTTGGGTCCCATATGAACTTTAAAGTAGTTTTTTCCAATTCTGTGAAGAAAGTCATTGGTAGCTTGATGGGGATGGCATTGAATCTATAAATTACCTTGGGCAGTATGGCCATTTTCACGATATTGATTCTTCCTACCTATGAGCATGGAATGTTCTTCCATTTGTTTGTATCCTCTTTTAATTCATTAAGCAGTGGTTTGTGGTTCTCCTTGAAGAGGTCCTTCACGTCCCTTGTAAGTTGGATTCCTAGGTATTTTATTCTCTTGGAAGCCATTGTGAATGGGAGTTCACTCATGATTTGGCTCTCTATTTGTCTGTTATTGGTGTCTAAGAATGCTTGTGATTTTTGCACATTGATTTTGAATCCTGAGACTCTGCTGAAGTCTATCAGCTTAAGGAGATTTTGGGCTGAGACAATGGGGTTTTCTAGATATGCAATCATGTCATTTGCAAACAGGGACAATTTGACTTCCACTTTTCCTAATTAAATACCATTTTTTCCTTCTGCCTGATTGCCCTGGCCAGAACTTCCAACACTATATTGAATAGGAGTGGTGAGAGGGGGTATCCCTGTCTTGTGCCAGTTTTCAAAGGGAATGCTTCCAGTTTTTGCCCATTTAGTATGATATTGGCTGTGGGTTTGTCATAGATAGCTCTTATTATTTTGAGATATTCCCATCAATACCTAATTTATTGAGAATTTTTAGCATGAAGCATTGTTGAATTTTGTGAAAGGCCTTTTTTGCATCTATTGAGATAATCATATGGTTTTTGTTATTGGTTCTCTTTATATGCTGGATTATGTTTATTGATTTGTGTATGTTGAACCAGCCTTGCATTCCAGAGATGAAGCCCACTTGATCATGGTGGATACACTTTTTGATGTGCTGCTGGATTTGGTTTGCCAATATTTTATTGAGGATTTTTGCATCGATGTTCATCAGGGTTATTGGTCTAAAATTCTCTTTTTTTGTTGTGTCTCTGCCAGGCTTTGGTATCAGGATGATGCTGGCCTCATAAAATGAGTTAGGGAGGATTCCCTCTTTTTCCATTGATTGGAATACTTTCGGAAGGAAAGGTACCATCTCTTCCTTGTACCTCTGGTAGAATTTGGCTGTGAATCCATCTTGTTCTGGACTTTTTTTGTTTGGTAAGCTATTAATTATTGCCTGAATTTCAGAGCCTCTTATTGGTCTCTTCAGAGATTCAACTTCTTCCTGGTTTAGTCTTGGGAGGGGGTATGTGTCAAGGAATTTATCCATTTCTTCTAGATTTTCTAGTTGATTTGCATAGAGGTGTTTACAGTATTCTCTGATGGTAGTTTGTATTTCTGTTGGATCGTAGTGATATCCCCTTTTTCATTTTTTATTGCATCTGTTTGATTCTTTTCTCTTTTCTTCTTTATTAGTCTTGCAAGATGTCTATCAATTTTGTTGATGTTTTCAAAAAACCAGCTCCTGGATTCATTGATTTTTTGAAGGGTTTTTGTGTCTCTATTTCCTTCAGTTCTGCTCTGATCTTAGTTATTTATTGCCTTCTGCTAGCTTCTGAATGTGTTTACTCTTGCTTCACCCACTTTCCGACACTCCCCAGTGAGATGAACCCAGTACCTCGGTTGGAAATGTAGAAATCACCCATCTTCTGCTTCACTCACACTGGGAGCTGCAGGCTGGAGCTGTTCCTATTCACAATCTTGGCTCCACCCCCAGTGTGGTTTCTTTTTCTGTGTCAGGTGTTCTCAGTGTTCAGCTCTGACTCATGAGTGAGGAAATGTAGTGTTTGGTTTTCTGTTCCTGTGTTACTTTGCTGAGGATGATGGTTCCATCTTTATCCATGTCCTTGCAAGAGACATGATCTAATTGCTTTTTGAAGCTGCAAAGTATTTCATTGTGTATATGTACTACATTTTATGTATCTAGTTGATAATGTTCTCTGAGTAAAGTCGGCATTTGAGTTGATTCTATGTGTTTGCTGCTGTTAATTGTACTGCAATAAACATACACGTGCAGGTATCTTTCAAATATGAAACATTTGTATTTTGGGGGTAGATAGCCAGTAATGACATTGCTCGGTCAATGTTGTTTCTAGATCCTTGAACAAATTACCACGCTGTCTTCCACAGTGTGGACACTAATTTACTTTCCCACCAACAGTTTAGAAGTCTTCCTGTCTCTCCACAGACTTTCCAGCATCTGTTATTTCTTGACGTTTTAATAGTCACCATTCTGACAGGCCTGAGGTGGTATCTCATTGTGATTCTGATTTGTATTTCTCTACTGATTAATGATGTTGCCCTTTCTGAGTTAAAAAAAAACCTTTTAAGAGAAAATAGGTCAAGAAAAAAATCAAGATGATTACTCAAAGACACCACATACAGGGTTTAATTAGATAGATTTGATAACAAACATTTATAAGGCCATGAGCAATAGTGTTAGTGCCAAAGCTAAGAACTCTTTAGAATAAGATTAGCTCCTGTTTTACAGTACATGTGTCATATCCCTCTGAAGTTTGAAGGACCAATAACTCTTTTCTTACTCTAACCTGGTCTTCCAGTATTAGCTCTTCAATAGCCATTTCACCTGAGTTTTTAACACTATTCTGAAAGAAAAATATTATTTGCCCAATTTATAAGATGGAGATACAAAGGGGCTGGAAAGTAGAACAGGAAACAGTTGGTGAAAAATCAGCACTTCTGTAAAATTTCCACCAACCTTTCTTTTCAAGTGGTTTCTTATTTCTTCTTCAGAACACTCCAGAATAGGAAATTTTAAAGTATTTTCATTGACAAGACACAAAGATATTTGCTCTCATTTTAGGCTGTTTCAATTTTTATGTCTTCAGATTTACTGAAGCTCAATCTGTTGTTAAAGTTATTTAATAGTTTTTTTTTAATCCAAGTAATTGTGCTTCTTATCTCTAGATTTTTCAGGTTTTCTTTTTTAATTTGTCTTCTGGAAGGACTTTTTTAAGGAGTCAGAGGGACCGATGGGGTTGAGGAGGATACTTATTATGTAGATGCACCGGCCCACTCAGATTAACCTCTGAAGGACTGAGCCCTGAACAAAGAGTTAAGTTACCTTTTAAGCATTCTGCCTTTTCCCATCAGGCAATACAAGACTTTCCAATTATGGAGATTTGCAACAAGCAAACACTGGCTGAGACTGCTGGCTTTATTGGTAGGGTTTGGCGAAGTGAAGTTATCTTGTGGCATTAATTCCTTTGCCCCCCCATGGCCACTGGTCCCCCGTATTAGTTCCTACACTTACATAGCATGAGGAAATTCCTCAGCCGCCAGCTATGTTTTCAGCTAGTTGAACAAACACATTTTTGGTTGATGGGGAAAGCTCAGGCATTGACTGATCAAAATGCTTACTTCTAGCCTTTTTGACAGTTAGTAGCAGAATTCCAGAGCCAGCTCCTTGTCTATCAACTTGTAATAGTGCTGTGCATCCTTTAGACCAAAAAGGTAGCTCTGGCTTTAAGGAGCTGTGTTAGTATAGATCACTGAATGTTACAGTCTGGGTATCCGATTTGTGGTCTCCATCTAGATATTTGAGACTGCTGCTGTTAAACCTTTCTTGTGTCAAACCACCGCGGACTGCTTCTGTTTCTGTTTTGTTTTGTTTTGTTTTAAGATTATGATCATCCCCAGCCTGGCAGGCATCAAAGTACAAGAGAATAGGCCCTTTATAGGAGGGAGGGGCTTCTTCATGTTGACCTATAAACTCTCCTTCTTTTTCTCCCTCTGATTTAATATGTACCTCAAACCAGAATTCACAGGGTAAGCACTTAGGGTCATAACATACATATAGCTGATTATTTCCTGGGTCACAGGCTGAATAAGGGGTGATTGGTTTTCTTACATACAACTGAGTTTCTGCTTACACATTCTTTAATTTCTTTTAATTCCTGTTCCAATCTCACTGATATTCCCATGTTGATCTTTTATCTTTCATCTGTCATTTTTTATTTGTTCATACTTAAAACTGCAGGTTTAAAGTTTTTGTCTAAAAAGTTTAGGACAGTTTCAGTTTGTGTTTTTACTTCACATTAGCCATAAATTTGTGGGATTTTTTGTGCTTTTATTTTTTAGAATGCTATATTTAAAATATTATAACATGTTAACTCTGATAGTCAGGTATTCTTTATTTATTCAAGATGTGCCCTTTGTTGTTTAAGGCTTAGCTGGAATTCCAACAGCGTTTTGACAGAGTGTAATATAAAAATATCAATTTTTAAAATTGGGTCTGTATTAACACTCCCCTTTATCATGTAGGGAGATAGCTTAAAATTCTGCGTTAGCCTTCACTTTCTTCTCACATTAAAATTATAGCTAATTTTCTGAATTAATGCTTAGAGTTTTGCGCATTTTTGAAAATATCTTCTGTTATGTTTATGTAACTAAGTTTTTAAATACCTCAGGTTATTTTAATACTTTTGAAAGTCAAGATTTTTTTTGAAATAAAGATCTATTCATCTTTTACTTTATTTTACACGTTGTCTATTTTATACATCAACGGTATCCTTTGCTCCCAGGACTTAAATGTTAGTTACCTGTGCTTAACATTTTTAACTATAAATCAGTTCTGCATCAGACAAAACAGAGATAAGTGTGCCTCATCAATAATTTATGTAACCCCTAAAGGGTAGAACAAACTCAATAAATTAGCACAGACATTATTCTTCACACCTTCCTAGATCAGAAATCCCAGCCTCACTTTGCGAATGTGGAATTTAACTTTTGAAACGTCATCTGTGCCTGGATGGTTGAATGCAAAGACCGCAAAAAATTTCCCAGCGGTTTCAACTTGTCTTTCTTGATTAACTCTTTGATTGGTTGATATAAATAATTATTGGTTTCCAAGGTCTAGACAATTTTTTTAATTACTTGTTATTTATGAAGCGATAATTGTATTTTCACATGAGTTTATTTATATTTAGAAGATTTATAATTTTACCTGTTACTAACGTTGAGTAAAATAAGTCAATCTACTAATTTGGATTCCTGAATATTAGGTGGTAATAGTATAAAGTCGGCTTTGTTTTGCTTTTGCTTTGTTCTTAAGTGAGGTTATCAATTCCATATAAAATACATTAGGCAGGATTCTATATTACCAAGTACGTTTTGGTTGTATATAAAAAACTTATAAAATAATTTGCTTACATGGAGACTGTCAATACCTAAATGAAAGAACAAGAGAATAAGCCTGTAATTATGCAGTAGGATCAAAAAGTGTAAAGACTCCTGGCATAAGCCTGCTTATCGTGTTAGGAAAAATGGCAAGATCACCGTGGCTGAAGCATAGTGTGGAAGGGGAACAATTATTGATGAGCTCATGGAGCTGACACACATTCCTTGTGATTTTCTAGGGTTTTCTATAGATCAATAGATTTTACTCTAAGCCTGATTCATGACTGGGAGTGGAATTCTTAAGGTTGCTTTTAGCATCTAGTGGTTAGATGCTACAAATGAAGATAAATATTCTAAAATCTAAGTATTTTAATATCTAGAGTCTCAGGTGCCTATAAAAAATTGATAGCGTTGGACTATATCTTCTGAAAATTGTAAAGAAAGGCGTACATGTAGAACTTTCTGATATTATATTTTCAAGGTTTCTTAACCCAATCTGTGTTTTTTATAAATCAGAGATGTTAAGAAGCTTTTGAAAAATTTGGTTGTTCAAGTTGAGATAAATGGGGTGAAGTCAATTATGTTGATTTATGATTAGAAGCTAAACCATAGAGTTTATATTTCTCCCCTTTTCTTTCTCATTACATTTTTATAATTTCTGTGCAACGCTAATATAGCAAATGAAACTGTAGACAGTCTAAGTTTCTGGGGTCCCAAGAAAGAAAATTCAGTCACTGATGATTGGTGAAGAGCTAAATTTCACTACAGCTGGAAGGCATACACAATACACATCAACATATGTATATTGGCACACCACATTATGCATACACATTATGCCTAACGTTTTTATAAGACAGATACTGAATGTGTCTTTTTGTGTGTGTGTGTGTGTGTGTGAACATTTTTCTTTTTTTATTATTATACTTTAAGTTTTAGGGTACATGTGCACATTGTGCAGGTTAGTTACATACGTATACATGTGCCATGCTGGTGCGCTGCACCCACTAACTCGTCATCTAGCGTTAGGTATATCTCCCAATGCTATCCCTCCCCACTCGCCCCACCCCTCAACAGCCCCCAGAGTGTGATATTCCCCTTCGTGTGTCCATGTGATCTCATTGTTCAATTCCCACCTATGAGTGAGAATATGCAGTGTTTGGTTTTTTGTTCTTGTGATAGTTTACTGAGAATGATGATTTCCAATTTCATCCATGTCCCTACAAAGGACATGAACTCATCATTTTTTATGGCTGCATAGTATTCCATGGTGTATATGTGCCATATGCAGCCAAAAAACACATGAAAAAATGCTCATCATCACTGGCCATCAGAGAAATGCAAATCTAAACCACAATGAGATACCATCTCACACCAGTTAGAATGGCAATCATTAAAAAGTCAGGAAACAACAGGTGCTGGAAAGGATGTGGAGAAATAGGAACACTTTTACACTGTTGGTGGGACTGTAAACTAGTTCAACCATTGTGGAAGTCAGTGTGGCGATTCCTCAGGGATCTAGAACTGGAAATACCATTTGACCCAGCCATCCCATTACTGGGTATATACCCAAAGGACTATAAATCATGCTGCTATAAAGACACATGTACACGTATGTTTATTGCGGCATTATTCACAATAGCAAAGACTTGGAACCAACCCAAATGTCCAACAATGATAGACTGGATTAAGAAAATGAATGTGTCTTATGATACAAAAGTTGCTAGAATCTTGTAATAAAGAAGCCAAGCAAATACCAGGTTTTCAAGAATTATAGTTGGGGCTAGATAATTCTTCTTTTGCAGAAGCTGTTAAACAGAAATAACCGTCAAGTACTCTCTACTGTTTAAGAAAGATATTTGATAGATGATTTTAAAGTAGACATCCAGGATTCAATATATTTATGCTCTTTCTTGTTTTAAAAGAATCCAAACAAATAAGCACCTGACGTACAGGTTCTCTTCTTAATGCTAGAGAGTAATCCACAAAGCAAAACCCCTACAGAGACAGACTTTGCTTTCTCCCTGAGATTAAAAGATTGCTGCTCAATACAAAAAAAAAAAAAGTTATTTAATATATGAAGGAAAAGCTATGCTAGTTAGGCACATTCTTGGGACCAGGCAGACAATGTGAAATCTAGACATTAGCAGACTTTAAGTGGTGTATGTGGGCTGGCATTATTGATAGAATTCAAGTTATTCCGGGCTAAATTGTATGTAGAGAAATATATTTGTTGGAGTTTTTACTTGGCTCAGTAATTTTTCAATGAGTCAGAGATCCAGATATTGGTACATTTTAACTGGTGTAAGTGCATTGGCATTATTTATGGAAATCAAGTTATTCAAATGAAACTTGTAGCTAGGGAGGTGTATTTCTTAATGTGTGTCATTTTCCTCTTCCTGTGTCCCTGTGTTCTCATCGTTCAGTTCCCACCTATGAGTGAGAATATGTGGTGTTTGGGTATTTCTCCTTGTGATAGTTTGCTGAGAATGATGGTTTCCAGCTTCATGCATGTCCCTACAAAGGACATGAATTCAACATTTTTTTATGGCTGCATAGTATTCCATGTTGTATATGTGCTACATTTTCTTGATCTAGTCTATCACTGTTGGACACTTGGGTTGGTTCCAAGTCTTTGCTATTGTGAACAGTGCCACAATAAACATACGTGTGCATGTGTCTTTATAGCAGCATGTTTTGTAATCTTTTGTGTATATACCCAGTAATAGGGATGGCTGGGTCAAATGGTATTTCTAGTTCTAGATCCCTGAGGACTTGCCACACTGACATTCACAATGGTTGAACTAGTTCACAGTCCCACCAACAGTGTAAAAGTGTTCCTATTTCTCCACATCCTCTCCAGCATCTGTTGTTTCCTGATTTTTAATGATTGCCATTCTAACTAGTGTGAGATGGTATCTCATTGAGGTTTTGATTTACATTTCTCTGATGGCTAGTGATGATGAGCATTTTTTCATGTGTCTTTTGGCTGCATAAATGTCTTCTTTTAAGAAGTGTCTCTTCATATCCTTAGTCCACTTTTTGATGGGTTTTTTTTTTTTTTTTCCTTGTAAATTTGTTGGAGTTCATTGTGGCTTCTGGATATTAGCCCTTTGTCAGATAAGTAGATTGCAAAAATTTTCTCCCATTCTGTAGGTTGCCTGCTCACTCTGATGGTAGTTTCTTTTGCTGTGCAGAAGCTCTTTAGTTTCTTTAGATCCCATTTGTCCATTTTGGCTTTTGTTTTGTTTTGTGTGAATTTGATCCTTTCATTATGATATTAGCTGATTATTTTTCTTGTTAGTTGATGCAGTTTCTTTCTAGCCTCAATGGTCTTTACAATTTGGTATGTTTTTGCAGTGGCTGGTACTGGTTGTTCCTTTCCATGTTTAGTGCTTCCTTCAAGAGCTGTTTTGGGGCAGGCCTGGTGGTGACAAAATCTCTCAGCATTTGCTTCTTTGTAAAGGATTTTATTTCTCCTTCACTTATGAAGCTTCGTTTGGCTGGATATGAAATTCTGGGTTGAAAATTCATTTCTTTAAGAATGTTGAATATTGGCCCCCACTCTCTTCTGGCTTGTAGAGTTTATGCTGAGAGATCAGCTGTTAGTGTGTTGGGCTTCCCTTTGTGGGTAACCCAACCTTTCTCTCTGACTGTCCTTAACATTTTTTCCTTGTTTTCAACTTTGGTGAATCTGCCAATTATGTGTCTTGGAGTTGCTCTTCTTGAGGAGTATCTTTGTGGTGTTCTCTGTATTTCCTGAATTTGAATATTGGCCTGCCTTGCTAGATTGGGGAAGTTCTCCTGGATAATATCCTGCAGAGTGTTTTCCAACTTGGTTCCATTCTCCCCGTCACTTTCAGGTACACAAATCAGATGTAGATTTGGTCTTTTCACATATTCCCATATTTCTTGGAGGCTTTCTTTGTTTCTTTTTATTCCTTTTTCTCTAAACTTCTCTTCTCCACTTCATTCATTTCATCTTCCATCACTGAGACCCTTTCTTCCAGTTGATCCAGTAGCAGATTCAGTGCAGATCCAGTAGTAGCTGTATCTCATACAGCAGTGGTCATCCAGCAAATTCCAACTGATCTGCTACTGAGGCTTGTGCATTCATCACATAGTTCTCTTGCCTTGGTTTTCAGTTCCATCAGGTCCTTGAAGGACTTCTCTGCATTGGTTATTCTAGTTAGCCATTCGTCTAATTTTTTTGTTAAGGATTTTAACTTCTTTGCCATGGGTTTGAACTTTCTCATTTAGCTTGGAGTAGTTTGATTGTCTGAAGACTTCTTGTCTCAATTGGCCAAAGTCATTCTCCATTCAGCTTTGTTCCATTGCTGGTGAGGAGCTGCATTCCTTTGGAGGAGGAGAGGTGCTCTGATTTTTAGAGTTTCCAGTTTTTCTGCTCTGTTTTTTCCCCCAT
Organism: Homo sapiens; assembly: GCF_000001405.40. Taxonomy (NCBI): domain Eukaryota; kingdom Metazoa; phylum Chordata; class Mammalia; order Primates; family Hominidae; genus Homo; species Homo sapiens. The sequence continues at coordinate 21,995,249 of NC_000024.10, forward strand.
CTTTGTGGTTTTGTCTACCTTTGGTCTTTGATGATGGTGACATACAGATGGGGTTTTGGTGTGGATGTCCTTTCTGTTTGTTAGTTTCCCTTCTAACAGTCAGGACCCTCAGCTGCAGGTCAGTTGGAATTTGCTGGATGACCACTCCAGACCCTGTTGGCCTGAATATCAGCAGCAGAGGCTGCAGAACAGCGGATATTGGTGAACAGCAAATATTGCTGCCTGATCGTTCCTCTGGAAGTTTTGTTTCAGAGGAGTACCCTGCTGTATGAGGTGTCAGTCAGCCCCCAGTGGGGGATGTCGCCCAGTTAGGCTACTCGGGGGTCAGGGACCCACTTGAAGATGCAGTCTTTCCATTCTCAGATCTCCAGCTGCATGCTGGGAGAACCACTACTCTCTTCAAGCTGTCAGATAGGGACATTTAAGTCAGCAGAGATTTCTGCTGCCTTTTGTTTGGTTATGCCTTGCCCACAGAGATGGAGTCTACACAGGCAAGCAGGCCTCCTTGAGTTGCGGTGGGCTCCACCCAGTTCGAGGTTCCCAGCCTCTTTATTTACCTACTCAAGCCTCAGCAATCATGGGTGTCCCTTCCCCAGCCTCGCTGCCCCCTTGGAGTTTAATCTCAGACTGCTGTGCTAGCAATGAGTGAGGCTCCTTGGGCATAAGACCCTCTGAGCCAGGCACAGGATATAATCTTCTGGTATGCCATTTGCTAAGACCATTGGAAAAGTGCAGTATTAGGGTGGGAGTGACCTGATTTTCCAGGTGCCGTCTGTCACCCCTTTCTTTGACTAGGGAGGGAATTCCCTGACCCTTTGCACTTCCCAGGTGAGGTGATGCCACACCCTGCTTTGGGTCATGCTCACTATGCTGCATCCACTGTCCTGCACCCACTTTCCAACACTCCGCAGGGAGATGAACCCGGTACCTCAGTTGGAAATGCAGAAATCAGCCATCTTCTGCATCGCTCTTGCTGGGAGCTGTAGACTGGAACTGTTCCTATTTGGCCATCTTGGCTCCACCTAATTTTTATATTTTTAGTAGAGACGGGTTTTCACCATGTTGGCCAGGATGGTCTCAAGCTCCTGACCAAGTAATCTGCAAGCCTCAGCCTTCTAAAGTGCTAGGATTACAGGCATGATCCACCACACATGGCCAGGTTATTTTTTTTTTTGTACTTGTGATAAGCGAAAAGGAAGGATAAGACACACACATATGCTAAGTAGGGCACTCTGTTCACTCAATTTTTTGCTAATGCCTCCTCATCTGGCTCATGCTGATTATATGCAGAAATTGTTTTGGAAATGTTTTATCATTATTGAAAAAGTAAACTCCTAGGAGTAGCATTCAGAGTCCAACATTATTCTTCCTTAACAACTGTAGTACCCACTTCACAGTATAACATAGTTACAGTGAGTAACTGAGTAAGCAGGTATTAATTGCTGAGAACAGTGCCTCATGATGGTGGTGAGGTGGAGTAATCTTTACAAAAAAAAGAGAAAAGAAATTTTTCAGAGCATTTTCTTGAGTAACAGAAGGATTTTTGCCACCTGATGCTCTTGGGTTTTCCATTATTAGAACTTCATATTCATGAATTTTATTTTTCCAATCTAGCCTTTACCACAGACAGAGGGAACTTCAAGACAAAAGTGAATTTTCAGTTGTCAACAAGCTAAATTTTAAGGACAATGACTAATTTGACTCACCTTTTAAAGGTAAGTTTCAACATAAGTATCAGTTTTTATAAGTTGAAGTTGTAGAAAAATTAGTTTTGGTGAAACATATCTATTGGTATTAAAAAAAAGCAGCTACAAATTGGAACATTTTTATTCTGTGATAAAACTACAAGTACAGCTGCATCACCTCATTTTCCTATCATGAAACTTTTTATGGTTGTGTCTGTTTACTTTTAAAAATCTCAGCATGACAAATTTCAGAGTTTGAGCTAAGCTCATAAATACATCATTAACTTATCAGATTTAAAATGAGTGATTTTAGAGAATGTATTTCTTCTGAGGTGGGCAGATCATGAGTCAGGAGATTGAGATTATCCTGGCTAACACAGTGAAACCCCATCTCTACTAAAAATACAAAATATTAGCCGGGCATGGTGGCAGGCACCTGTAGTCCCAGCTTCTCTGGAGGCTGAGTCAGGAGAATGGCATGAACCTGTGAGGTGGAGCTTGCAGTGAGCCAGGATCACACCACTGCACTCCAGCCTGGGCTACAGGGTAAGATTCCATCTCAAAAAAAAAAAAAAAAAAAAAAAGGAAATAAAGGGTATTCAATTAGGAAAAGAGGATGTCAAATTGTCCCTGTCTGTAGACTACATGATTGTATATCTAGAAAACCCCACTGTCTCAGCCCAAAATCTCCTTAAGCTGATAAGCAACTTCAGCAAAGTCTCAGGATACAAAATCAATGTACAAAAGTCACAAGCATTCTTATACACCAACAACAGACAAACAGAGAGCCAAATCATGAGTGAACTCCCATTCACAATTGCTTCAAAGAGAAGAAAATACCTAGGAATCCAACTTACAAGGGATGTGAAGGACCTCTTCAAGGAGAACTACAAACCACTGCTCAATGAAATAAAAGAGGATACAAACAAAAGGAAGAACATTTCATGCTCATGGGTAGGAAGAATCAATATCCTGAAAATGGCCATACTGCCCAAGGTAATTTAGAGATTCAATGCCATCCCTATCAAGCTACCAATGCCTTTCTTCACAGAATTGGAAAAAACTACTTTAAAGTTCATATGGAACCAAAAAAGAGCCTGCATCGCCAAGTCAATCCTAAGCCAAAAGAACAAAGCTGGAGGCATCACACTACCTGACTTCAAACTATACTACAAGGCTACAGTAACCAAAAGAGCATGGTACTGTTACCAAAACAGAGATATAGATCAATGGAACAGAAAACAGCCCTCAGAAATAGCACTGCATATCTACAACTATCTGATCTTTGACAAACCTGAGAAAAACAAGCAATGGGGAAAGGATTCCCTATTTAATAAATGGTGCTGGGAAAACTGGCTAGCCATATGTAGAAAGCTGAAACTGGATCCCTTCCTTACACCTTATACAAAAATCAATTCAAGATGGATTAAAGACTTAAACCTTAGACCTAAATCCATAGAAACCCTAGAAGAAAACCTAGGCATTACCAATCAGGACATAGGCATGGGCAAGGACTTCATGTCTAAAACACCAAAAGCAACGGCAACAAAAGCCAAAATTGACAAATGGGATCTAATTAAACTAAAGAGATTCTGCACAGCAAAAGAAACTACCATCAGAGTGAACAGGCAACCTACAAAATGGGAGAAAATGTTCGCAACCTACTCATCTGACAAAGGGCTAATATCCAAAATCTACAATGAACTCAAACAAATTTACAAGAAAAAAGCAAACAACCCCATCAAAAAGTGGGCGAAGGACATGAACAGACACTTCTCAAAAGAAGACATTTATGCAGCCAAAAAACACATGAAAAAATGCTCATCATCACTGGCCATCAGAGAAATGCAAATCAAAACCACAATGAGATACCATCTCACACTCCTTAAGCTGATCACCAAGTTCAGCAAAGTCTCAGGATACAAAATCAATGTGGAAAAATCACAAGCATTATTAGACACCAATAACAAACAGAGAGCCAAATCATGAGTGAACTCCCATTCACAATTGCTTCAAAGAGAAGAAAATACCTGGGAATCCAACTTACAAGGGATGTGAAGGACCTCTTCAAGGAGAACTACAAACCACTGTTCAATGAAATAAAAGAGGATACAAACAAATGGAAGAACATTCCATGCTCATGGGTAGGAAGAATCAATACCGTGAAAATGGCCATACTGCCCAAGGTAATTTATAGATTCAGTGCCATCCCCATCGAGCTACCAAGGACTTTCTTCACAGAATTGGAAAAAAAAACTTTAAAGTTCATATGGAACCAAAAAAGAGCCCGCATTGCCAAGTCAATCCTAAGCCAAAAGAACAAAGCTGGAGGCATCACGCTACCTGACTTCAAACTATACCACAAGGCCACAGTAACCAAAACAGCATGGTACTGGTACCAAAACAGAGATATAGATGAATGGAACAGAACAGAGCCCTGAGAAATGATACCACACATCTACAACCATCTGATTTTTTACAAATCTGACAAAAACAAGAAGTGGGGAAAAGATTCCCTATTTAATAAATGGTGCTGGGAAAACTGGCTAGCCATATGTAGAAAGCTGAAACTGGATTCCTTCCTTACCCCTTATACAAAAATTAATTTAAGATGGATTAAAGACTTAAATGTTAGACCTAAAATCATAAAAACCCTGGAAGAAAACCTAGGCAATACCATTCAGGACATAGGCATGAGCAAGGACTTCATGCCTAAAACACCAAAAGCAATGGCAACAAAAGCCAAAATTGACAAATGGTGTCTAATTAAACTAAAGAGCTTCTTCACAGCAAAAGAAACTACCATCAGAGTGAACAGGCAACCTACAGAATGGGAGAAAATGTTTGAAATCTATTCATCTGACAAAGGGCTAATATCCAGAATTTACAAAGAACCCAAACAAATTTACAAGAAAAAAAACAAGCAACCCCATCCAAAAGTGGGTGAAGGATATGAACAGAAACTTCTCAAAAGAAGACATTTATGCAACAATCAGATATATGAAAAAAATGCTCATCATCACTGGCCATCAGAGAAATGCAAAGCAAAACCACAATGAGATACCATCTCACACCAGTTAGAATGGTGATCATTAAAAAGTCAGGAAACAACTGGTGCTAGAGAGGATGTGGAGAAATAGGAACAATTTTACACTGTTGGTGGGACAGTAAATTAGTTCAACCATTGTGGAAGACTGTGTGGCAATTCCTCAAGGATCTAGAACTAGAAATATCATTTGACCCAGCCATCCCTATTACTGGGTATATACGCAAAGGATTATAAATCATGCTGCTATGAAGACATATGCACACGTATGTTTATTGCGGCACTATTCACAATAGCAAAGACTTAGAACCAACCCAGATGTCCATCAATGATAGACTGGATTAAGGAAATGTGGCATATATACACCACGGAATACTATGCAACCATAGAAAAAGATGAGTTCATGTCTTTGTGGGGATATGGATGAAACTGGAAACCATCATTCTCAGCAAACTATCACAAGGACAAAAAACCAAACACCACATGTTCTCACTCGTAGGTGTGACTTGAACAACGAGAACAGTTTGACACAGGAAGGGGACTATCACACAGCAGGTCCTGTCTTGGGGTGTGGGGAGCGGGGAGGGATAGCATTAGTAGACATACCTAATGTAAATGATGAGTTAATGGGTGCAACACACCAACATGGCACATGTATACATATGTAACAAACCTGCACATTATGCACATGTACTGTAGAATTTAAGTATAATATTTAAAAAAAGTAAAAAAAAATAAGGAATTGGGGAAATAGATTTCGTATTTCAATTTTTGGAAAAGCTGTAACACTGGTTTAACTTAGCACTATACAAAAACTGGCCATCAGACTTCTCTTGTCTGTCCCACTTTCTTATTCCAGCCTTCTTTAAGATTACCAACTTTCCTTGCTGGAGATGGAGGGAGATGGGAAGAGAGATGTTGGAGCTTTGCACTTTTGTTCCAGGGCTGAGCAAACATCCAGGATCCTTTCTTTTGGGATCAAAGTGTTTAATCCTCAAATATGAAAGATAATTTCTCAAGTTAAGCCACCTCTTTGTTCCCCACAAATATTGAAAATACATCTTCTTCAAAACATTACCAAAACGTCTGGTTAGCAGTTTTTTGGGTGTATTCATGGCACTGAGGAACACATAGAATTACTTAAATAGGCAAGGGATTTTGAGAAATTGTGTTTTGCTGATTCCCGAGTAAATCTGCTTTGGAAAGCACTCAGTGAGACTTGATCTAGAGCCTCTGTCTGCTGGGCACTTTCCTTGGGGCTGAACATACAACAGTGAACCAAACCAAGCCTTTGTCTTCCTGATTTCTAGACATTGAGGCAGATGGTCAGCAAGCCATTACCCAGGACTGCAGAAGAAACCGGTTGCAGCTGATGCATAGGTGACATGGCCACAAGAGGGAGTTTCTGACAGGCAGCCATTTTTCACAGGCCTAAGCAAGGGAATAAAAATAACATGATAGAATAAACGAAATCAACTGAGTAACAAGGTGTTCTACCTCTCAGAGAGAATGTACATTATAATATTTGCCTTAAAATTTTTAAGCAGCATAGCGAGTAACATAGTTGTTATTGAGAAATTTTTATATTCATCATTTCACCTCTGCATGGGCACAGATGATATGGAAAAGGCTGAAATTTGTTGTCTCTGCTATGAGGTACCCAATAAACATACTTTATTTCTTTGCCTTTGTGTCCAAAGACATTTCTGTATTCCACCATACAGGTGCAAAATACACACCAGAGTAGAAAAGTAGTTTGTTCTTCCTATTTATTTCTCAATATAAATGTGCTTAAACAACATTGCTATTTTGAGAATACTATTCCACATAAGAAAGCAATCTCACTTTAGAGTAACTTTTGTTTCTTCTTTAAACAAGGAGGAAGTTGCATTTCTGTCTGCAGAAATTGTCCCTTTTTGTATTTTAATTTCATCAGAAGTATTGAGACGAGATGGGTGGTAATGAGAGAAAAAATTGTGTTGCTTCTCTCTTATTCATGAAACTAACTCCCTGCTGATGACTTTAAAATAAGGAAGAGCAAAAGGGTGCAGAATCCTCCTGTAAGCCTATGAATTTTTCTTGTTATTAGCATTGCTAGCTTTATAAAAAAATAAGTTACGTGTCAGAACTTGAAGAGAAAGGTCAGTAAAATTGTTTCTGAGCATGAGATGTAATTAAACATGTGAGATGCAGAGATCTGTGCCAAGATGCAAAGGGAAGAGACAATTTATTAAAACATGGGCATTCCCTGGATAAAATAGAAGTGGACGAAACAAGTATCTGTAGGTTTTCAAGAAGCAGGTGCAAGATATCGTGCAAGTAATGTGCTGGACTGGTTTGGTTACTTGTCCCTTCAGAAATAAGGAGGAGATGACATTTCAGTTAGGTTTTATCATTTCAGTTAGGTCATATCAGGCTTTATGACAGCATGGGATTAATACAGGCTGAGGATACAGTAAAGGCAAATGACAAGCAAGGAAGACACAGCCATGGCCAGGCCCCAGTGAGTGGGTTGAGAGAGATGAAATATTTCTAGTACAAAGCTGGTGGTGTTACAGGAAATCGATATGGAAAGATAAAGGCAGATTATTGGAGCCCATACTACCATGGTGTTGAATTCTACCAGAGCAGAGACACTGCACAGCAGATACACAGGAAATGCCTCAGGAAATGCCTGGTAGAAATGATCACAAGTTACTAGAAGGTACAGACTGACTTCAAGGAGAGTCCTGACTGGGCTGTTTAAGTATTTCAGGGAGATGGTGTGGAAGACCCCTGTTGCAGCTGAAATACAGGGAATATGAATGTGCCAGCGCTGGTTGCTGGGCAGATGGAGGATGGAAAGAGCATGACAAAAAAAAAAAAAACAAAAAACAAAAAAACAAAACAAAACAAAAAACTAGAATGATCACACCCATGATGAAGCTGGTATTGTGGGGATTTCACATGTGTATAGTAGAAAACTATCAGAACTGTGGATGCAAGGGTAGGTGAAGAGAGCAGGAATAGAGGAAAAGATATGGAAAGGATCCTTATCTGAATAATAGTGAAAACCCCAGGAAGGGCTGCTGTCCATTTGGAGGAAGTGGGAAATGAACAGTGAGATGGCTAGAATGGCTGGGGGAGTGCAGGGGTTTGATGTCTGTTCTGTTTTTCAGAGTAGAACAGAGTTGAGCATCTTTATGGGAGTAAGAATTATAAAACTGATCTGTATAGAAATAGGGATCAGTGGCTCAGTCAGGGTCATACAGATAGGAGAGGTATTATAATGAAAGGCAGAGGTTGAAATGTAGGCTTTGCTGTCAAGAAGAGAAAGGAGATCTGTGTAAAGGACAAGAACCTGTGACATGGAGGGAGGATATGTCAGTTGGAGTCGGCCATGATGAGGGTGACTTGTATTCATCTCAGCCAAGTGAAGTGGAATGCAGTGGCAAGGAGTGGGATTGGGGGCCTGAAGTCAATGAACAGGGAAGAGCAACTTGAAGCAGGTCACATGTCAACCAAAAGCCCAGCAGAGTCTCTCCGGATCTTGGCAAGGACTCCTGCAGAATGGTCCTGCATTCATTTGAACAATGTGATACAGGCAGCAATTCTTTATTTTCTGTTCTATTAGATCTAGATCAGAAAGAAATTGAAGAACAAAAGGAAGAAGAAAAAAATGTGGAAACAGCAAGTGAAAGAATGAAGGCAGAGAGAAGAAAAAAAGGCAGAGTAACCTACATTTTAGAAAGGGAACAGAGGGAACTAGAAAAACTGGATCAAGAAAGGGTAATAATTATGACTTAATTCTCTGTACAAGTTGCTGCATTGTTCACCTTTAGTAACTACATTGAGGTGAGTGAAGGGAGTCAATTAGTGTCCAAATTCAGAGGAGTGGCAGGTGCCCGAAAAGGAATCCCTGTCCTCTTCTTGTCTTACAAGCAGTGAGAAATGCTGTGTAGAATATGCAGCTTAGGAGTTTGGTAGTAAATGGTTGTTTTTGAAGGTAATTTTTGTGCATTCTCATCTGATCCTTAAATAAGGCTGTAAAAAAGTAGACTGTGCTTTGCTTCAGAATGTTGCTTTGAAATCAGAGTTTAAGGAAGAGGCTGTCAGTGTCAGCTAGCTGGTACTAGAAGAACCCAAAGGTGGAGATGGCTGCCAGTCCAAGTTTGCTTCCAGGGGCGTATGCTGCACCCCTTTTTCCTCAGGTTCTCTTCTTCACATCTGTATTCTGATTCTTGTCCTATCAGATGGATTACTCTGTCCACTTAACAACCTTGTTAAGTCTTGCTTGAATTACTGTAACATAAGAATGTTCCCTGGATTCCTGGTTAATTCAAATCTAAAGCGCAGGACACTTGAGGGAAATTAATGGCTTCCTTCATTGAGATGATCTATTTGTTTTCCATTGATGATAGGAATGACTTCCATTATGAAAAATTAGTTCACTGGCACACACACTGTGGGCGGGGACACACAGGGCTTCTGTGGTTTATTTTTACTTCTCGAAACAAGAATGCACATCCAAGTAATCTTTCTTCTCCGTTGAAGACAAAAAGGTGAAAAGCATAAAAAATCGAAAGTTCAGATGGAACCTCGAGTCTTTTAAAGGTATTACTCTTCCGATAAACATTTAAGATAAAATATTTCATTCTTAAGATAAAATATTTAAGAGATTTTAGTTTGTCAAAATTTGTAAGGTAGGGTGGTTCACTGTTTTAGGACCAAGAGAAAAAAAACTATTATCATATAACAAGGACATTAGTACTGACATTAATATTTTATATGTCAGAAGCATCATGGTGTTAAATGCATACCTTATGGTTTATTTTGATGTGCTTGCTAAATTTTGTGTTTATAAATCACTGCTTTTTTAGGCTTTCAAATTACATGTATGTTTCAAAAATGGTTCTTAGCCAAGTATTTCATAAAATTAATGCATACCTAATTTCAAAATTCTTCCCTTTCCCCCAGGTAATCAGAGCTCAAGAAAGGTGATTCAGGAAGGCTCCCTATAGACATGCTTCAATCTAGTGACAAAGTTGAAATGGACTTGGTTTCCCCACACTGTGTTTTATGTGTGAACGGTTAATTGCTTATTTTTTCAGCCAAAAGAAATGGTTAGAAATTTGAGGTTGCCTGTAAGAAGTTATTGAATCAGTCAGAATTACTGACTATAAAAAGAAAGGATTGGATTTTCTAACTTGTGAAATTGATCCTAATATAATTGATAAGCAAGACCAGAAACTCCCCAGAAAATAAATTGAGAACATTACAAAGATACCAAATAAATCTGACACAAATTTTCAAAATTTTTACGTTTTAATTTTTGTCTCCCCTTTGGTAATTGAACAGGATTTTCTCATGAAGGACCAGATCACTCTTGAAAACCAGGTTTGCTCTCCAGCTTCTATTGCAAATATAATGAGAAGATACATAACATTTACCCCTTTGTAAATGTTTCTCTGTCATCAGACAAAACTCTCGATAGAAATCACTGTGTAATCCAGTGTATTTGTTTTTTCCTAATTGCATTTGATACTATAGTGTATGAACCAAGAATAATCGAGTCAAGTGAAACCCCTTTTCCAGTCATAAAATGTCTCATTCATTACACTAAAAGGAGCTGTTCTTTTTAAAAAACATTCTTATTTTGGTCTCAAATTTTTAAATGTGTTTAACCTATCTTATTTGTCAAATCTAGGCCTATATTTGGGAAGGGTAAGCTGTGTTCTTTCCTCTGAAGAGCTGGGCTGCCTTCTGTAAAACAAGAGGCCATTTTTCCCAGCACATTTCTGTTTTCTACCTGAACACTAAAATACAGATTTTTCTAGGCATTAGAAATAGTACAATATTGCCTCTGGTCTTTGCATTTGATGCCTGTGGCTTTAGTAATTGTGTCCCTCCAGAATTTATATGTTGGAATTTAAACACCCCAGAATGGTAGAAGTAAAAATTCAAGATTTTGGGAGGCAAATAAGAGAGCAATTAGCGACCTTATAAAAGAACTCAATGGAACTAACAAAGCTTTTTAGCCCTTCCACCATTAGAAGACACTGTATTTGTCCTCTCTAGAGAAGGCAGCAACAAGGTGCCGTCTTGGAAGCAGAGACCAGGCCTTCACCAGACATGGAGACCATCAATGCCTTGATCTTGGACTTCTCAGTCTCTAAAACTGTAAGAAATTTACTTCTGGTTTTATAAGTTACCCAGTCCAATGTATTGTGTTATTGCAGCAGGAAGGTACTGAGATAGCATCTTTATTGTGGAACCATTGGTCCTCATACTTAATGAATGGGCTTCAAGTGTTTCATTAATTTTAAAACACACGGCTCCTTCTTTACAATTGATTTCATTTTTATTTTCTAAAAATCAACGTTTACAATGCAGAACTGGAAAAAAAAATCTCTACTGAAACCTGTAGATTGTCCTAGGTTTTTTGGCAGAATCACTGTGGATAATTTAGAGGCTGCCTGTGATCACATCTATGTATTATTTAGTTTCCTGTCTATTCATGTGACTTAAATAATTGCACAAAATGCTACTTAAAAGTAGGAAGAAAAGAAGGTGACAAATAGCACACTAATTGAACTGTTGACTGTTTTTCTGTCATGTATGAATAAAGGATGATGATCCAGAGTCAGCACCTCAATGAAGAGTAGGCATGTGTCAATAGTGACAAAGGCTAGGCCTCACTAAAAAAGGTCAGATGCGGACAATCCAAATTCAGAATTATATTGACAAATAAGGAGTTGAAAAACATTATATAATAATACTCTGAGTAACATATTTAGCTCTGCAACTCTAGAGAGTAATTGTTAGAACTGGTTGCTCTATATTTCTGAGTAAATCTTTCAATTTTTATACCATCGATTTGAAAAATAAACAACTACACATGGGCACTGATTGCTTGTAATTTGCACAAGTTTAAGCCTTGTTAATCTCATAGGTAGGTGGCTTTTATTTGTTTCAAAACTAGTCAGGAAAGTACTTACTATATACAGAAAACTACAGAAGTGCTTTTGGCACTTTTATACCCAGTACAGCCCGGTAGATTATAATATTTTCTTAAATGGCTGAAGAAAATTTTCCAGAAATAAACCAAGTAGCACTCACAGACTTGACTACCACACCAGTGTGAAATCTTTACTATGCACATTATTCAAAAGTCACAGCATACTAGGGAAAAAGAAAGATAAGATTTGTATAAAGTAAAAAGGCAAGTGAATGAAGCTATACTTTTATTTCATTTCTCTTAATATATCCACAACTATTTTCACCAATATAGATCTTTAAAATAAGCATAGACAAGGATTAACTATTATCTACAAATACTTATTGTAACACTTGAGTAGAACAATAGGAAGCCCTTGACACTGATTGACAATGTGGATTAACTGTTAGATTACAAAAAATTATACATAGCAAAATTTAATTCTCTTTACATAAAAAATAAGGCTACATAAACAAAGCTTTCAAAAGTTTCTGACAATAGCTACCAGAATTAGAAAGTTAAAATTAGACTTGAGGCACTACATCTTCTGCAATACTGGACTCTGAAGGCACCACCATTGCTGGAAATAATAGTTAATTTTGTCATGCAACAGGAAAACAAAACACGTAACTATTTTGGAATATTTGTTCTATACAGAAGAGAGCTTCTCTCAGTTAAAATTAAAAAATCCCAAACAGGCATTTTTATAGAGTAACCAAAAAAATAAAAATAAAAAAAAAGAAAAACCCACTGATACATGTGATACTTGATGTTCAAATTTAATAGCATCCATATAAAATTGTACTTCCTTTCTTAATTTTGAGTACATTTCTGCACATGTGGTGCTCTCAAATCCAGGAAACAGCCAAATCACAAGTTAAATTTTAAGGTGAATATACACAATGGATCCTGTATTAAGCAGCCCATTTGAAAAACACTGATGTACCTAACAGTTATGTAGAGTATTTCATAAAGAACTGCACAGAATTTACCATCACTAACACACTGTAACTATAGTCACTGAATATCTGGAATACAATAAGGCAGAAGGCAAATTTCTTTTGAAAATGTCTTAAACTCAGGAAGTTTTCTTATGCAACACCAAACTTTGTTATTCCAAGGAATTAAGATTTAGATAAGAAGAAAATGAAATACCAACCCTAATTTAAATTACTTACATCTTCAAGTCTATAGAAGTCAAAGGTTACAGATCTTTGGCCAATTTGAAATTAGGTTTTAGATAGTGGATGTGAAACTGTTTACCCAGAGCACTGAAAAATAGTTTAAACTGGTGGTTGTTTTGGTGAGGTAAAAATTCTTAATTTAAAAAAATACATAGAACGAAATTCTGTGAAAGATATTTAGGTCATTGGTTTTGATATAAATTCTGAAAAATGTATACCAAATACTCTTTAAGGCAGAGATGACATTTATTTCTCAAGGATAATAAAAACTAGATCAGTATTTTGTTGAAATAAAACCTATTATAAAAGTGCTTCTGGAATTCTTGTCAATGAGTCTGAATCTAGATTTTTTAGAGTATCTAGTAGAGTCAGCAGAATTGTACCTACTTTTAGGATTATTGAAAAATATTTTCTTCTTGGCTGAGGAAATTAATGGGACACGGACTTCGGAGAGAAAGCTAATTTAAAAAGTCATGAGATGAATCACGTTACTTATGCGCCAAAGTTTAATAAGTGCCAGCTGTCAGAATTGAAACTTCACACCAATTTCACTTTATTTCCTATGTAGGTAACACTTATTTGAGAATAGATAGCATATATATGAATTTATCGTCTCATCTTTTGATGCTGGCATGTCACAGGTCCTTATCAAAGAGTATCACATATTCCATTGAGTGTCTTGAGAGAAATGTTCTAGCAGCAAATGTGAATGTGCCACAAATTTCCAGAGTGAAAGGTCATTTTGTCAAAGTGTTACCTTTTAAAATTGCTAACATATAACCTGCAATATTTGCTCTAAAGAAAAAGATGTACTCACTGGAAGGTATTCCGGGAGCTACATCTCAGCAGCTTGAGACAGAAAGGTGTTTGAACGTCTACTTTAGTTTGGTGGGATATACATCTGTAATGCAGAGCAGTTGTCTGATAATTTGTCAGAGCTGTCAATGTGTTGGCTGAAACACTCTGGCAAACATTTATGTGTAAGAAGTGAGTTACTCCTTTTAGAGAAACTGGATATCTTGCAGTTCGTGTTCTTTCTTTGCTTTGATACCCTGGTAAGCCTGCATTTTGCTGGCATCCATGTAAGCCAGTTAGAAGACAGTATCATGAGAAAGTGGATCTGGAAAAGAAGGTTGAGCATGATGACTAGTAAGCATGTCAGAAGGTAAAGCAAGGTGCTACTTAGATTAGATAGACTTGATGTTAAAGGGGATGAGGGTTATTCTGTATTAATTCTTTCTCTACTAGCAGAGCTGTCAAATCCTGAAAATGTGCTCTACTACTAGGCTTCACTTTAAAAAACTGAAGAAAAGTAAGTACATAAACATTGCAAAGTATATCTATTAACTATTAAATTTCTGTATACTCATCAGTCTAAGTGAGTAATATATTAAACACCTCTCACTACAATTGGGATTTGTCTACATAAATAGATATTCATAAAATTTGCCTCAGGTGTAGGTTGAGACAATGCTGCTGAGACATTTAAATTTGTGACTGTTATATTATCTTTAAAATATATTTTCATATTTTGATATTTCTTATTTTGTCTGTTACCTTATAAATTATATTTTATTATCCCTCTTTATTGTTTGTATTTTCCTTAAAACTCTCCTTTGCCTTGTATAATATCAGTGACCTTACTTTTTTGATAAATACCTGTTGATTTTCTCTAAACCTTTATTTTCAATATTTCAGGGTGATTATTTCTAGGTAAAAGCAATTTTTTCTCAATCTAATATTAGAGTACTTTATATTTTAACACAGAAATATAAACCGTTTACATCTAATATGGTTACTCTCATAGCTCTCTAACTAATATCTGATTAGAGAGTTGTTCTACCCTAGATTTTCTTTGTCTCTGCTTTGGCATATCTGCCTTAGTTCTTCTCTCCCCTTCCCCACCTGCCACCTATTTTCCTAATTGTGTTGATTTAATTTTCTTACTCATATTTATTTCTTTTCCTGCTTTTGACATTTGTCACGATATTTCTAAACTTTCTTAGCTTATCAGTAGAACCCAGTTAGTTAACTTTTTTCTAACAAAGTAACACATTTATTAGCCTCATAAAAAATTCTTGTAATACCTCTTTCATTTGGATATTTATTCTTCTTGCTAAAAAAAGGAAACAAGGAAACCTTTATTCTTCTTTTCCCTGGTGTTTTGATAGGTCTTTGATATTTGCATAGTCTTCATAAGTTGAAAAATGTATCTCTAAGTAACAAAAACATATGTGGAATAATATTCTGTGTAGAGATAATTTTTGTATTCTGCCTGTTGCCCTTTCTAAACATTTTTGTCTCATGGTGTTTTTTTTAAATGCAGATGAAAGTTTCCTAATCTGAGCTCAACTTTCATAACTTCCCTTTCATGTATGGCCACCAGATAAAATGAAGGATTCCCAGTTACATTTTCATTTTAAATAAACAACAAACAGCATTTTAGTATAATTCTCAATAGCTTTGTAATTTAGTAATATTCTCAATATTGCATGGACAGACTTATACTGAAATATAATTCTTTGTTGTTTGTCAATACATTGCCAAATTTCAAATTAAAATGTGATATTTAAATTCCTGTATTTTCCCCCTACATCTGGCAACCTTACTTTCACATCTACTTAGGAAATTACTTATTCTTGCTATATTTATGCTGAATCTTCTGTATAAAAAACAAACAGGCCAGGCGCGGTGGCTCACGCCTGTAATCCCAGCACTTTGGGAGGCCAAGGCGGGTGGATCACAAGATCAGGAGATCAAGACCATCCGGGCTAACACGGCGAAACCCCGTCTCTACTAAAAATACAAAAAACATTAGCCAGGCATAGTGGCGGGCGCCTGTAGTCCCAGCTACTTGGGAGGCTGAGGCAAGAGAATGGCATGAACCCGGGAGGCGGAGCTTGCAGTGAGCCGAGATCGTGCCACTGTACTCCAGCCTGGGTGACTGAACGAGACTCCACGTCAAAAAAAAAAAAAAATTATTTGATTTCCCTTAATATATGCTTCATTTAGACAATGATGAATAATTGTCTATTTAAAAAATTTGTATCCTGTTACCCACTTGTTTTTCCCTTAGATTCCATTTCTTCATCCCCAAAAACACCTAACCCTAGTTATTATGAAGACTCTTTTGATTTAACTTTTCATTTTTGAGGGTGACCCCTAAGCATCTTGACTATCTCTTAGGGCATGGAACTTCCAACATTGATTTTGCAATGTTGTCTTTGAAGTGGTAAATGAAAGTTAACCTTTTAAATGTAAAGTTATTATTGGTGGGTGGGCAGTTTTATGTTAATCTTTTCAGGTTTTTAAGAACTTAATTGTTCAATCTAGTATTTTATTCCAGTTTCTTATTTTAAGGTAGTTGTATCTTTCAGGTAATATGAAAATCATCTCTTCAGTCTAGAATATCACACTGGATAGAGGTTGAGATATGAAATTTTAAGTCATGGCTTTGAGTAAAAACCTCATTCTGTGTTAGATCCCAGTATCTGTGGGCATGGCTTTCAGTATTGACTCAAATGTTCCCACTAAATGTCTGAGCAATATGAACTTTCACCAATGATTTAGGCAGGGGGTCCAGCCCTCTTGAACAAAGAAATGGTTTCTTTCCTGGGAGTATATCCAACTTTACTCTTCAATTGACTACTTCAACAAACTACTAAGGTTAATCTCAACCAATATTATTGGAGTCCAAACCTCAGAAATGATGTTTTTCTTGATAGTGAGTTTGAATTTTTAAAAAATAATTTTGTCTTACACTTATAGTCTCTGGGTGTCATGAGAGTTGCTTTTGCAAATTTTCACTTTGCTCCAGAGAGCTAGAAATAAGTGCTTGATTTCTATCAAATCACTTGTTACTTAACAAAGAAAACCTCTGAGAAAGGTGTTATTACTATATCCCTTCTGCAGTTGAAGCAAGACATATTTTTGCTTACATTTTCTGAAAACATTGCCAATGGTATTATTTTTCCAAGTGTATGGAAGGTATTCTATCTTTTCTTCACTGTCCTATATTATTTATATGCTATAAATCATTGGCTATTTCACATATATTTCACATATATTATAAAAACTTCTTTGAGATTATTTAATTTTGGTGAAAACTTTATTTTATACAATCAGTTCATTGTAGGTATATCTAATCATGCCATTCTCTGTAATATTATCTTCCTATGATTTCTTTGCATGATACTTTAAAAGCCTTTCTATAACTTTCACTTTTTAGAATTCCCAGTTACACTGCAACACACCAATGTTTCTGACATAATGTCAGAAGGGAAACACAGACTCTGAAAAGTAGAAAGAGAAAGACATTTTCTCTAGGGACTTCACAACTTGAAGAGTGACAGTATGTAAATTTACTGGGATTTTTAGGTCTTTCATGTATCCCAG
This sequence comes from Homo sapiens, assembly GCF_000001405.40. Taxonomy (NCBI): domain Eukaryota; kingdom Metazoa; phylum Chordata; class Mammalia; order Primates; family Hominidae; genus Homo; species Homo sapiens. Next base: position 22,012,535 of record NC_000024.10, read on the forward strand.
ATGATGGACTGTAGAAGCTTCTAATTGACAAAGTCCAATAGGCACAGATAAAAAGGGCTTCAAGGAAATACTGTTTTCTCCCAGTCAATGAACCAGAAGAGGATGACCTACCAACACACAAATCCAAAGAACACTTCTAGAGAGAATATCCAAGCTACTCAAAAGTCAAGCCCTGTCTTTGTTTGGGGCTCAGTGTTTAAATGTTAATCTGTTAAATCAGGGTGCACACAATACAATTCTTCTTTTCCACCCACTGGTCTCTACTATTCCTTAATTCCTGCAACATTTTCTGGGAGCTCATCCAGGATTGGAGACAACAGGTATGCTGTTTCTTTTGCCTGTCAGACTGGAGCTCCAGGCCAGGAAAGACCTGTGACCCCAGGTGCACCATCAGAAGAACTTCAACCTGAAAGAGAGGCCAGATGTCCTGTGACCCTGTGCACCCCCCGAAAGCACAATGGAACTTAAGGGGCTACAGGACAATTCCAGGGACAGCATGCTGCTGAACCATGGGAAGGTTTGGGGCCCAAGGAAGGACCCATACCATAAAGATGGAATGGGAGTCTGATCACCTCCCAGTGCGTATCTAGTTATCCAAATCAGGACACAAGATTTGCTCTCTAATTCAGATGAAACCTACACCATAACCTCTGAAGAGGAACTGAGAGTGGAAACTGTGTGAATGCATGTGCAAGAGTAGGGCGATGTATGTGGGGCTGCAAGTCTCTTAGCATAGACCATATGTCCCAAGTGAAGTGTGGGACCAACCAGGATTACTGGCATATGTCCTCCGGAACTACCACATATGGCTTAGTCAGGCACCACACAATTTAGTGATTGTGGTGGTCTGGGTTCAGGGGTTATACAAACCATCCATTAAAGCTAAGCATCATCTGAAATACTCCCACAGGAGAGGTGGTCTAATCATTCTGAAGCAAAAGTAAAAGAGTAAGTGTATGACACTATAACTGGGAGGAGATGTGAGGGAAGTTGTCAAAACCCACCATATTAGAATACACGTTAAAAAGTTTAAGAAATGTTACACTGGGAATTGTAGTATCAAGTCGACTCCCCAGAGGTAAAAGAGTCTTTGTAAAATAGAGAAGCCCTATTTTAGTGTTGGGTGGCCAGCTGAAGGAACAATAGATGGGGAATAATTGACCATGCACATCAAGTGGTGACTGGGGTCAGAGAATAGCCAGGGTATCCAGACCAATTTTTTTATATTGACTTATGGCTAAATATCATCCCAACCAGCATGGCTACAGTCTTTCCTGATGGCTTACTGCAAAACGCTTGTTGCTCAAGCTGAGCCTAAAGTGAAAGAGGAATCAGCTTCACCAGCAGCAATGGAGAAAAAGGGAAAGCCATAAGAAGGGCAAGAAAAACTGGCTTTGTGGAAACCACCAGAAGAGACAGAAATCCCTCCTCCCTATACCCCAATTAGCCCCCTTTTACCAAGGCCAATGGCCCATGAGGAGTCAAATTCAGATGGTGACACACCCTGGGTTTCACCCCAAAGGGAGAAATCAGAGCCCCTGCCCCAGGAGGTCAAGGAGGAGTGTCAGAATAATCAAGTGAGCTGCCTCTGCTATGGCCATGCCCTGGTTCTGCAGATGCCTTTCAAGGAGACTTGGGGAGGCCTCTACTTTGATGAATATGGCCATACGTAAGGGGGGAAATGGACCCTTATCTACCAGCCTATTTCAATCACTGATCCCCTAACTGGAAACACCATATTCTCTCCTACATGAAGAAGCCCCTGGCCCTCATAGATCTGATACAGTCCATTTTCCAGACACATAATTCAATTTGTCCAGATAGTAAACATCTTCTCCTGATGCTGTTTAACACCAAAGAGCATGGAAGGATGGCTCATTCAGCCCTCAACTGGCCAGAAGCCCATGTGCCAGAAGGCACATTTAATTTCCAGGCATACTCTCAGGTCCAGTTCCCAGAAGCACACTCCCACTGGGACCCAGATGATTTGACCAGTTTCAGCATCTGCAGGCATACTGAAAACCACTCTTGCAAAGGCTAAAGGAAGGCAGAAAACAGGTAATCAATATAGAAAAAATCTCAGAAGTGCTTCAAGAAACTGACGAGAGCCCTAGCAAGTTTTATTAGAAACTGTTTGAGGCATTCTGGCTTTACACTCCATTTGACCCCAAGGATAAGAACCAGCAGATAGTAAATGCAGCATTTGTAGGACAAGCCCAGGGGGACATAAGATGAAAAGTGCAAAAGCTAGATGGTTTTGCAGGCATGAATGCCACCCAGCTTTCAGAATTGGCCACGAAGGTGTATGTTAACTGTGACCAGAAAGCACAAAGTGAGGCTGATTGGAGACTCAGGAAGAAGGCCGATCTACTAGTGGCAGCCCTCATGGAAAGGGAAGCTATCATCACAAGCAGATGCAGATGCAGACTCAGATGTGGAAGGGGCCAAGCAGGGCAGAGACCCAAAAGTCAGCTGAGACTAGATAGAGATCAATATTTGCACTGCAAAAAAAGGGGGTCCCTGGAAAAATAAGTGTTTAGAGGGTAGTAAAAGAAATAACAGAGGACACAAAACTATCAAACAGCCAGCCAAGGACCACCACACCATGAGGGAGCCAGGCATCAACTTAATTGGGCTGGCAGAGACCGAAAAATAGGAAGACTATGCAAGACCGGGCTCCATCTCCCAAGTCCCCAGGAGCCCATGATCACAGTAGAAGTAGGGGAGCAACAGATGGACTTTATGGTGAACACCAGCTCTAAACACTCAGTAGTGACACAGCCCATAGGGCCACTATCTAAACATGATACAACTATTATTGGGGCTACAAGGGATCCAGAAAGGAGGCCATCTTGCTGGCCTAGAAGGTATGTCATAGAGGGACAAGAAGTCCAACATGAATTCCTATACCTCCCAAGTTGCTCAGATCCCCTACATGGAAGAGATCTGCTCCAGAAACTGACAGCACAGATTTCTTTTGGGCCACACGAGGATATAACTTTAAGCCTAACTCACCCAAAGGTCATGGTGTTAACCCTCATTATTCTGCAGGCTGAGGAATGAAGAGTATAGACAAAACAGTCACCAGAACTGTCTCATAAGCCAGGGCTGGAGAAAGTGTTTACACTACTGGGTAAAATTTTTGGAGTATGGGCTAACAATAACCCACTGAGCCTGGCTGTAAAGGCTGTAAATCAGGCACTGATAATAGTAAAGCTAAAACCAGGAGCAACTCCAGTTCAGGTTCACCAATACCTATTTCTCTGAGAAGACACGCGGGGTATTCACAAACATTTAAAGTGACCCTTCAAACACAGAATCTTAGTCTGGTAGTCTGGTGTGAGTCACCCTGGAACACTCCACTGCTACCAAAACAAAATACAGAGTCTGGTAAATCTAAACCAGTGCAAAACTTACATGAAATGAACCAGGCTACTGTAACCTTCCACCTGGTGATACCAAATCCGTACATGCTAATAAGATTCATTCTGGCAAGTGCTGCCTGATTTACTTGACTAGACTTAAAGAATATTTTCTTCTATCTGTGCCTGGCACCAATTAGTCAGCCCATCTTTGCATTTCAATGGGACGATTGAGTCACAGGCACAGGGGAGCAGCTCACATGGACTAGACTCCCACAAAGATTCAAAAACACTCCTACAATCTTTGGAGACACACTGGCCTCAGACATCAAGGCCTTCACCACACCAAATGACAACTACACCTTGCTACAATACATAAACGACCTTCTCCTAGCAGCCCCAACCCCAGGGGGCAGATACCAAGGAATCCAAGACTTCCTCCATCTCCTTTATGGAAAACTGGTTATAACGTATTCAGAAAGAAGGCCAAATTTGCCAAGAAAGTGTCAAATATCTGGACTTCATAGTAAGCCAATGGGAACACCAGCTCAGCAGTGAGCAAAAGCCATGTCTTTATGCACTCTCAACTCAAACCACCCAGTGCCAAATGGGAAAATTCTTGGGGAATGCAGGGTTCTGCTGTATCTGGGTCCCAAATTTCTCACTAATTGCCAAGCCCTTATATAAAGGCACAAAGAGAGGGGAAAGGAAACCCCTCCTTTGAGAGGCTGTCCAGGAAAAGAAGGTGTTTAAACAAGCCAAAGAAGCCTTAACACAGGCCCAAGCCATAGGACTGCCAAATATAAGTAAGCCTTTCTTTCCACATGTCCATGAATAAAAGGGATTGGCTATAGGTGTCCTGACCCAAGTTGTGAAATCATGAATTCGCCCGGTGATGTACTTATCCACACAATTGAACTCCTTGGCCCTAGCATAGCCTCCTTGCCTTAGGGCACTAGCTGACACCACCCTATTGGAACAACAAGATAGAAAACTAGCTCTAAGACAACAGCTGACCATCTGGGTATACCACAGTCAGTTCTAACTTTAATGGATTAGACAGCGCACTATTAGTTATCAAATCCAAGAGTGACTCAGTACCAGGGGCTCATATGCAAAAATCCCGACATAACTTTGGAAATAATAAACACCCTTAACCTGGCTACCTTAGTCCCAGTCAAACCAGGGGTCCTCCTTCATGACTCTGTGGAAACAGTAGATGATGTATTCTCAAGCCAGAAAGACCTTATAGAGCAACCCCTCTGGGACCCAGATGGTAAATACTATATACTGAAAGGGGTCCGTGAAACTGGGTATGCAGTGATAACATTAGATTCAGTGGTAGAAGCTCAGCCCACCAGAACATCAGCCCAAAAGGCAGAGCTAATAGCCCTAATGAGAGCGTTCTGCTGACAAAACGTAAAATGGCCAATGTTTATACTGATTCCAAGTATACTTTTGCCACGCTGCCTGATAATGGGGCTATATATAAAGAAAAAGGATTCTTAACTGCGGTGGGCCAAAAAGAAAAAAAAGTACAAAGAAAAAATTCTGCAACTCTTAGATGCTGTATGGACTCCAAAGAAGACAGCTGCTATGCACTGCAAGGGGCACCAAAAGCCAGGATCACTGGAGGCCAAAAGGAACAAAAAGGTAGACAGGTATGCAAAAGGGGCAGCAATGACTACCCATAGACAGACAGACAGCCATAGCTGACTCTCCTCCCAAATATGCACCTCTCAGAGGTTTCAAGTTACCTCCAAATGAGAAGCTCTGCTTTTCCCAAGGGTCTGGAAAATATATAAAAAGGGACGGTGAAAATTCTCCAATAGGAGGCTAGCCAACCACGAAATGCTGGCCCCAAAATTTGTAAAACAATTCCATCAAGGAACCCACATGGGAAAAATGTCACTGAAAACACTGCTAGGACACCATTTCTATGTGCCACAGCTCACTGTCATCACTTGATCTGTCTGCAAACAATGTCTAACTTGTGCCCAGAACATTCCATGACAAGGGCCCACTTGGCCCCTGGGAATTCAGGAAATGGGAGCCATACCCTGTGAAAACCTTCTTAGAAACTTCACTGAGATGCCCCAATCAGTGGGCTGTAAGTACATACTGGTGATTTTCTGTACCTTTTCAGGATGAGTTGAGGCTTTCCCCACCCTAACAGAGAAATCATGAGAAGTAACAGAAGTACTGTTAAGAGACGATATCCCCAGATTGAGAATGCCTCTAACTCTAGGGTCAGAAAATGGACTGAAATTTGTGACCGAGACAGTTCAGGGACTATTTTCCACTGGCCATCCCCAATCATAGCTCAAATTAGGGGTGAACTTTGCAAACTAGGGAATTAACTTTAAGAAGGCAAAGGCAGGCGTTAAAGAGAGCCATGCAAGAGGTCCATGGCTGGGTATGGGAAAGATTGTCCATAAGCCCAACAAACACAGCACACCACTTTAGACCTGGGGACTCTGTGTAGGTCAGAAATAAAATCCAACCACTCTAGAACCCATATGGGATGGGCCCCATCCTGCAACCTTGTCCACTTCCACTGCTGTTAACATTGCAGAAATTGTGCGTTGGATCCACCACAGTCAACTAAAACTTGCAGCCCAAGACAAGTGGACCAGCAAACATGACCCAGACCATCTGAGCTGGCTAATCCTATGACCTATTTGCCCTGAGAAATGATGAAGCCCTACTCTGGTCATTCCGAAAGCTGACTAGTCTGTTCTCAGCTAAAACTTGAGGAGTCAACAGCCCTGCTGTAGTCATCCTGGAAGCTGACTACTGTACGTACGTTTGAAGCTGGAGTAAAATATAATAAAATAGTGATAAAAATCTTAAATCCAATCATTGTTTTACTATTGTTCTCTCACTTTGCTCAACCTCCTCCCCTGTGTAAAAACTTCTTCTTTTCCTCCCTGGTATAAACATGTTACTCTTTACTTATTTCCTATTCCAGGCAATAGGAAAGCTAAGCCCACTTCTTTTCCTCCTAACTATAATACTCCCCTTATTTGTTTCAGAAAAGGAGACCAGAGAAGAGTGCCCACACTGCACTAACAATATGGTCAGGGAGCACCATAACCAAAACCCTGTTATATCACACTTATTAAAAGTGTACAGGGACCCACCTAGAAACTTGTACTCACAACGAAACTACTCAGTCTGTGACCCAGGAAATGGCTAGACTTATATGTGTTATAACCCCAAATTCCTACCTGAGACCTCTTTTAAAATTCATGGGTCAATAGAAGGAAACCTGCTACACCAAACCAAGGTCTCATCCTCCCATTGGGGAGTTATGTCCTTATCCTTTAATATATGCCAGTTAACATCCATGGGCTCAACCTTTCCCATAATCTCTAATTCTGAAGAGCACTATAATAGTTGCCACAAAAATATATGTTCACCCCTTGCTTTCTTTGCCAGTTTCTCAGAGACAATTTGCTGGAACTGCATAATTCAGTCCTGTAACCTGCAATCACTGGGGTGAGTCATACTTACAGCAAAAACAAACTGTAAGGCAAGCACTTGCTACCTGGAAAATCTCAGTACCTTAAAACCGTATCTGGCTGTATGGGCTACAAGTTTAAAGGCTCCTCTAGGAATACAAGTTAGTGGCCAGAAAACAGACTCAAAAGCCTATTTACATATTATCAAGAAATCTCGGATGGTTACACCTGAAAACTCTGTTTTAAAATCATTCTGTAAAAATTTCAACCAGGAACTGTTTGAACCCTCTCTCTTAGCCAGAAGCCTATTCAGTTGAAGTATATGGAAGCCTATTCAGTTGATGTATATTCAACTGGCTGAAAACATAGCCAGCAGCCTACATATCTCCTCATGCTATGTTTGTGGTTGGACCAACATGGGACACCAATGGCCATGGGAGGCAAGAAAGCTAATGCCCCAAGATAACTTCACTCTTACTGTCTCTTCCCCTGAACCTGTGTTCACAAGCCAGAGCATCTGATTCTTAAAGACCTCCATTATCAGAATATTATGCATTTCTTGTTGGAGAAAAACCTTACAGGCCCAGTAGGAAAGTCAACTTGCCTAGAACAATAATATTACAATAAAACAGTAGGAAAAACTGTATGTTGTGGTAAAAATAATTCCAAACTGCCCCAACCAGGCCCATTCTCCTGATTCCCTTCTTTAAAGCATTCTTTGTACCAACTTAACGCTCCTAATACCCGTCAGGTGCCCTCTGAGCTCTACTGGATCTGTGGGCCATGGGCATATTGCCCATTGCTGGCTAAATGGTCAGGGGCCAGTGTACTGGAAAAAATTAGGCTGTCTCCTTTCTAATCGCCTTAGGACAGGGAGGACCTTTAGGGTATCCGGTCTATTATAAAACAAATACAGAACAAACAAACAAAAGACATAACCATAAGAAATTGGTAAAACAATTAATGACCCCCTAAAAATTCCAACACCATGGCTCAGCCACCTGGACAGAAAATGGAATTTGGGGATACTGCACTCCTATTTACATATTCTACCACAACATAAGGTTACAGGCAGTGCTGAAAATTATTACTAATAACACTGCAAAGACCCTAAATCTGCAGGCCCAACAAGCCACAAAAATGAAGAATGCTATTCATCAAAATAGACTGTCTTTAAACTACTTCCTAGTCCAGGAAGGAAGGGTATGTGGAAAGTTCAATCTAACTAAATGCTGCCTAGAAAGATCATTAAGAATACAACTTCCAAAATCCAAAAATTGGCCCATGTTACAGTCCAGCCTTTTAAAGGGTAGTCTCCAGTTTCCCTCTTTGGGGGCTTGTTTTCATCCTTTGAAGAATTTAAGATCTTAGTAAAAATAGTTCTAGCCATACTAGGATTCTGCCTTGTTCTAATTTGTCTCTTACCCTCCTTGTTAAAAACATTCAAGCAGCCATAGAGGCTCTTGTAAACAAACACACGACTACTCAACTAATGGCTCTAACTAAACATCAACCCCTGCCAAATAGGGAACTGCTCCCCCTTGAAGAATTACTAGGTGATTCTCTCTATTAATCCTCATTTACAAAAAGCATGAAAGGTGGAAATGAAACAGGGAATGTTAAAAAAAAAAACATATTCTGTGTACTGAGCTGACTCACTCCAAAAACCCAGGGATAAGCCAGGCCCTGTTGGGGCTCTGATAGCACTATCAGCAGAGATGGGGCCTGTAAAGAATGGGTTCCAGGAGCAGGAGTGAAAATAACACGTTCTTATCTGTTTCCCCTCTATAGTACTCTCACCCAATACCATTATTCTTTGATGTGCTCTCACATATACTTTTATAACTACTTCTGGAAGTTGACAAAAATTTTGTAGGTTTCTGTTTTCCCATCCATATATAATTGAAAGTCATGATACATGCCTGAGTTATAACACCTGTCACTTTTTTTTAAAAACTCTCTTCATTCTACTCCTATAAGCTTGCTTGCCCATCCTGCAGATTTCATGCCATTAGCTGCCAACCCTCTTCAGTTGCATGTATGAAAGTCAAGCCCTATCTTTGTTCAGGGCTCAGTCTTTAAATGTTATTCCGCTAAGTCAACGTACGCCCAATAAAATCCTCCTGTTCCACCCATTGGTCTCTCCTGTCCCTTAATTCCCACAAGAGTGGGAGCTTTGTCCTTTGTTTCAGGGATGAGCAAACAGCCAGGCTCTTTTCTTTTGGGACCAAAGTATTTCATCCTCAAATATGAAAGTAATTTTCTCAAGGAAAGCCACCTCTTACTCCCTCCCAAACATTGGAAATACATCTTAAAAATATTTCCAAAATGTCTGGTTAGCAGTTTCTTGGGTATAGTCATGGCATTCAGTAACATATAGAATTACTTAAAGAGGCAAGGGATTTTGAGAAGTTTGATTTTGCTTATTCCAGAATAAATGCGTTTTGGAAACCACTCTGTAAGACCTGATCTAGAGCCTGTCTCTGCTGGGCAGTTTCCTTGGGGCTGATCATACAACAGTGAATCAAACCAAGCTCGTGTCATCCTGAATTTCTAGACACTGAGGCAGATGGTCAGCAAACCATTACCCAAGACTGTAGTAGAGTTGGGCTGAAGCAGATGAGTAGGGGCCATGGCTACAAGAGGGAGTTTTGACCGGCAGCCATTTGTCACAGACCTGGGAAAGGGACTGAAACAAGGTAATAAGATAAAGGAATTCAACTGAATAACTTGGTGTTCTGCCTCTGAGGTGGAATGTAGATTATAATACTGGATTTAGAAATTATTTACTGGGTGCAGTGGCTCTTTTGGAGGCTGAGATGAGTGCATCATGAGGTCAGGAGATTGAGACCATCCTGGCTAACGTGGTGAAACACCATCTCTACTAAAAATACAAAAATTAGCCAGGCATGGTGTCATGGGCTTGTAATCCCACCTACTTGTGAGGCTGAGGAAGGAGAATCAATTGAACCCAGGGGGTGGAGGTTGCATTAAGCTGACTGCTCAACTGCACTCCAGCCTAGGTGAAAGAGTGAGATTCAATAATAATAATAATAATAATAATAATAATAATATAAAAAAACATTATTAAGCAGCATAGTGAGTAACATTGGTGTTACTGAGAATTTTTTATATTCATCATTTCACTTCTTCTAGCCTCAATGGAAATTGAAAAGGCTGAAATATGCTCTCTCTGATGCAAGGGGCACAATGGACATACTTCATTTCTTTCCGTTGTGTCCAAAGAGGTTTCAGTATTCCACCACGTAGGTACAAAATATAAACCAGAGCAGTGAAGTAGTTTTGCTTCCTTTCTTCCTTAATAAAGAGGTGCTTAAATAATATTACTATCTTGAAATTACTATTTCATATAAGAAAGCAATCTCATTTATAAGTAACTTTTTTCTTCTTGTTCTTCTAGCACACAGAAAGTTGCCTTTCTACTTGCAGAAATGATTAACTGTCTCTTAAGGTATTTTAATTTCATGAGAAGGATTGAGAAGAGATGGTGGGTGGAGACAGAGAAAAAACTGTGTTGCTTTTCTCCTGTTTTTGAAACTAACTCAGTCCCTGCTGATGACTTTAGAACAAGGCAGAGCAAAAAGGTTCATGACCCTCTGGTGAACCTATAAATTCTTCTGTATATTTGCATTGCTTACTCATAAAAAAATAGGTTATGGGTAGAACTGGAAGAGAAAGGTCAGCATAATTGTTTCTGAGAATGAGGTCTATTTAAACATTTGAGATGTAGGGACCCGTGCCATGATGCAGAGGGAACAGACAATTTGTTGAAATATGGGCCTTCCCTGGAAGAGATAGAAACAGAAGAAACAAGTATGTGTATATTTTCAAGAAGCAGGTACAAGATATTGCACAATTAATGTGCTGGAGTGATTACTTTTCACTTCAGAAATAAGGAAGAGTTGGAATTTCAGTTTGGTCTCCAACAGCATATCACCCTTTATGACAGAATGGAAATGTCACCAGCTGAGGAGATAGTGAAGGCAAATGCCAAGCAAGGAAGCTACAGCCATAGTCAGACCCCAGAAAATGGGTTGGTACAGATGAAACATTTGTAGTACAATGTTGGTGGTGTTATGTGAAATCAATCTGGAAAGAAAAAGGCAGATTATCAGAGCCCAGAATACCATGGCATTGGACTCTACCAGAGCAGAGACACTGTACATGAGATACAATCTTCCCCTCAGGGAATGCCTGGTGCAGATGACCACAGGTTTCTCGCAGGCAGAGACTGAATTCACAGAGAGCCTTGACAGGGCTGTTTCAGTATTCCAGGCAGATGATGAGGAAGACCCCTCTTGCAGCCACAGGACAGAGAGTGTGAATGTGCCAGGGCTAGTTACTGGGTGGATGGAAGATGGCTCATGAGCGAAGGACTGGGATGATCACTCCTGGGATGAAGCTGGTGCTGTGGAGTTTCTACATGTGTATGGAAAGAAACTATCAGAAATGTGGATGGGAGGCTAGGTATAGAGATCAGGAGTGGAGTAAAAGATATGGAAAGGATCCACATCAGAGTAATCGCTGAAACTCTAAGAAGGGCTGCCGTCCATTTGCAAGACTCAGTTTCAACACAAACAAAAAATTAAGAATAATAATAAATTTAAAAAAGAGCTGAAATAAGAGGCTGTCAATGTCAGCTAGTTGGCTGTAGAAGAACCAAACAGTGAAGGTGGCTGCCAGTCCAAGGTTGCTTCCAGGGGCATACATTGCCTCCCTCCTTCCTCTGGTTCTCTGCTTCCCTTCCATATTCTGATTCTGGCCTAGCAGATAAATTTATCTGTCCAATTAATAGACCTGCTAAGTCTTGCTTGAATTACAGCAACATATGAATGTTCCTTAGATTCCTGGTTAATTCAAATCTGAAGCACAGGACACTTGAGGGAAATTAATCACTTCCTTCATTGAGATGACCTATTTGTTTTCCATTGATGATAGCAATGATTCCAATTTTAAAAATTAGTTCACTGGCATACACGATGGAATTATAGTACTGCATTTTTAAACACTTAAAATGTTTTATAAATGTGTTTGTGTATTTTGTGCTTTCATGCCCATCTGTTTTAGAGAAGATGATTCTGGAATCAATGAAGATGTTCGACAGCTTCTCCAGTCACAGAATTTCTCATTCATTACACTAAAAAGAGCTGTTTTTCTAAGCTTATATTTCCTAAATTTTAAATGAGTATAACCTATCATATTGATTAACTCCAGGCCTACTCTTTAAAGATTAAGCTATTTTCTTTCCTCTCCAGTGAAGGACTGCCATCTGTAAAATGAGGTCATCTTTTGCCGGCACATTTCAGTTTTCTCCCGGAACATAAAAACACACAGAAATTCCTAGGCTTTATGAATAGTACAATATTGCCTCTGATCTTTACATTTAATACCTGTGGTTTGAATGTGTGTGTCCCTCCAGAGTTCATATGTTGGAAGTTAAACCCTCCAGTGTGATAGAATTAAAAGGTGGGGGCTTCTGGAGGCAATTAAGAGTGCAATTAGCAACCCTATAAAAGGGCTTAATGGAAATAACTGGGCCCTTTTGCCCTTCCACCATTTAAGGATACTTTATTTGTCCTCTCTGGAGAACACAGCAACAAGATACCATCTTGGAAGCAGAAACTAGGCCTACGCCAGGCATTGAACCTGCCAGTGCCTTTACCTTGGGCTTCCCAACCTCTAAAACTGTAAGAAACATATTTCTGGTTTCATAACTTACCCAGTCTAAGGTATTGTGTTATAGGAACAGGAAGATACTGAGATAGCATCTTTATTGTGGAAACTTTGGTCATAATACTTCATGAATTGGCTTCAAGTATTTCATTAGTTTATAAATATAGGGTTCCTTCCCAGGTGGCAAGATCACTTTTGACAATTTAGAGACTTCTGGTGATCCTATCTATTACTTACACTTTCCTCTGTTGATTTGTGTGAATTAAATAATTGCACAAATTGTTACTTAAACAGAAGGTAGTATGTAGTGTGACAAATAGTACACCAATTGAACTGTGTACTCTTCTCCTGCCATGCATGAATGAAAGGAGATGATCCAGAGTCAGAACCTGAATTAGAGATGGCCATGTGTCAATAGTGATAAAGACTATGAGGCACTAAGAAATGTCAGATGCAGAGAACCCAAATTTAGAATCATGTTGACAGATAAGGAGTTCAAACAGATTATTAAATAAAATCCTGAGTAACATATTTAGCTCTGCTATTCTAGAGAGTAACTGTTAGAACCAGGTTTTTTTTTTATATATATTCCTGAGTAAACCTTTCCATAGAATTTTGTACTATTGATTTGAAAAAATAACCAACTACACAGGGAAACTTATTGTTGTACTTTGCCCAAGTTTAAGCCTTGTTAATCTTACTGGTAGATAGATTTTATTTGTTGCAAAACTGGTCATAAAACATATAACTTTATACAGAGAACTACAGAAGTGTTAGTGGCACTTTTATGCCCAATACAGCCCAGTGGATTATAATATTTTCTTAAATTGCTGAAGAGATTTTTGCCAAAAATAAAACAAGTAGCACTCACAGACTTGATTTTTATAACAACATGAAATCTTTACTATGCACATTATTCAAATGTGACACCATACTGGGGACAAAGATAGATTTATATATAGTAAAAAGGCAAGTAAATGAAGCTATAATATTACTTCATTACTCTTAGTACATCTACAACTATTTCCACTTATGGATGTCAGCAAAATAAGCATGCATAAATATTGACTATTTTCTACAAGTATTTATTGTAACGCTTGATTAGAACTATAGGAAGCGCTTGGCACTTGGGCACTGACGGAAGTTTTTTCTTTTTTTTTTTTTTTTGTTTTTTTTGAGATGGAGTCTGCCCTGTTGCCCAGGTTGGAGAGCATTGGTGCAATCTTGGCTCACTGCAAGCTTTGCCTCCCGGGTTCACGCCATCCTCTGGCCTCAGCGTCTGGAGTAGCTGGGACTGCAGGCACCTGCCACAACGCCCGGCTAATTTTTTGTGTTTTTAGTAGAGACTGCGTTTTACCGTGTTAGTCAGGATGGGCCCAATCTCCTGATCTCATGATCCACATGCCTCGGCCTCCCAAAAGTTCTAGGATTCAAGGACTGAAAATGTTGATTCACTTTTAGATTATGACAATTTATACACAGCAAAATTTAATGCTCTTTACATAAAAAATATTAGACTACTTAAACAAAACTTTCAAAAATTCCTGCAGCTACCAGAATTAGAAAAGTAAAATTAGGGTTGAGACACTCCCCTTCTAGAAAACTGGACTTCAATGCATCACCACTGCTGGAAAAAATAGTCATGGAACAGGAAAACAAACAGTGAGATACTTTGAAATAGCCATTCTGCACAGAAGAGAGCTTCTCTCAATTAAAAAAAAAAATCCCAAATAATAAAAAAACCCCCAAAACTCTACCGATATATGATACTTGATGTTCAAGTTTAATAGCATGCTGATAGAGGTGTGCTTCCTTACTCAATTTTGAATACATTTCTGCACATGTATATTATAAAATTCAGGAAACAGCCAAATCACAAGTTAATTCTTGACATGAATTTACAGTTAATCCTATTCTAAGCAGCACATTTGAAAGCACTGATATACCCAACAGTTACACAGATTATTTCATAATGAAAAACACAAAGTTTACCATCACTAATACCCAGTAACTATAGTCACTTAATGTCTGCTACTCAATAATAATGCAGAAGGCAAGCTTGTATTGAAACTGGCTTAAACTCAAGTACTTTTCTTGCTAAACATCAAACTTTATTATTCCAGGAAACTAAGATTTAGATTAAACAAATAAATACTAAACCTAATTTAAATTCTGTCTTCGAGTCTATAAAAGTAAGAGATTAGTGGCCTATGGTCAGTTTAAATTTAGGTTTTAGAGAGTTGGTATGAAACTGTTTAACTAGACCACTGAAATGGTTAAAATTGGGGGGTCATTTTAATAAAGTAACATTTTCTATTTAAGAAAAATATTTATGGAGCAAAATTACATGAAACATATTTGGGTCTGTGGTTGTGATACAAATTCTTAGAAATTTAAACATATCCTCCTTAAGATGGAGCTGACATTTTTATCCCAAGGATAATGAAAAATGGATGAGTATGTTGTTGGAATATAACCTATTAAAAAATTGCTTTTGGAAATCTTGTGAATGAGTCTTAATCCAGATCTGTTAGGAGTAGATTATAAAATTGCATTTGGAAAGCTAATCAATGAGTCAGAATCCAAATTCTTCTGTAGTGGAGTCAGCATAATTGTTGCTAATTTTTGCATTTTTGAAAAATATTTTCTTATTGGCTGAGGAAATTAAGGGAGCCTGGACTTGGGAAGAAAAGCTAATTTGAAAAGTCAGTCATAAAAATCACATTATCTTTGAGGCAAAGTTTAATAAATGCCAGCTCTAAGAATTGAAACTTCACCCCTATTCCATTTTATTTCCTATGTAGATAGCAGTTATTTGAGGATAGATGGCGTATATGTGAATTCGTGGTCTCATCCCTTGAAAGCTGGCATGTTACAGGTCCCTATCAAGAAGCATCACATATTCCAATGAGTGTCTTAATAGAACTGCTCTAGCAACAAATGTGAACATGCCACAAATTTCCGGAGTATGAACAATCATTTTAACAAAGGGTTGCCTTTTAAAATTGCTAACTTAAAACCTCTCATATTTTTTCTGAATAAAAAGATTTAACCACTGGGAAGTTTTCCTTGGAGATACATCCCAGTAGCTTGAGATAGAAAGTGAGGTATTTGAACATTTACATTAGTTTGGTGGAATACATATGTTTACTGCAGAGCAGCCATGTGATGATTTGTCAGAGCTGTAAATGCTTCAGCTGAAACACTCTGCCAAATATTTATGTGTAAGAATTGAGTTATTCATTTTACTACGACTTGATATCTTGCAGTTCCTGTTCCTTCTTTGCTTGGGTATCTTCACAAGCCTGCATTGTGTTGGCATCCAAGTAAGCTCTGTTAGAAGACAGTATCATGAGAATGTGGATCTAGAAAAGAAGGGTGAGTAGGATGTCTAGAGAGCATGTGAGAAGGCAAAGCATCATGCTAGTTAGGTTAGATGGAGTTGACGTTGAAGGGGAAAAGTGTTATTCTGTATTAATATTTGCTCTATTGCAGAGCTGTGAAATTCTGAAAACATGCTCTACTACTTGGCTTCACATTTTGAAACTGAAGAAAAGTAAGTACACAAACATTGCAAAGTGTTTCTATTGATGACTAAATGTCTGTATACTCATTAGTCTAGATGAGTCACATATATAACACATCTCACTACAATTGGGGCTTGTCTATATAAATAGATATTCATAAAATTTGCCTCAGATGTATATTGTGATAATGCTACTGAGGAATTTATGTTTGTGACTGTTATATTATCTTTAAAATTTTTTAATATTTTGATGTTTCATATTTTGTCTGTTGCCTTGCATCTATAGTTCTCCATCTTTATTCCTTGCATTTTTTCTAAAATTCTCATTTTCCTTATATAATAACAGTGGCCTAATTTTTTTGGATAAATACTTGTTAATTTTTTCTAAATCCTTATTTTCAATATTTCAGTGTGATTATTCCTAGGTGAAAGCAAATTTTTATCAATCTAACGGTAGAGTATTTTATATTTTAACACATGAGTTTAAACAGCTTACATCTAATATGGTTACTCTCTTATCTAAATAACTAACACCTGCTCAGTCAGTTTTTCATTTACCCTAGATTTTCTTTGGCTCTGCCTTTGCCTCCTATCTGCCTTTGTTCTTCTCTCCCTTTCCCCACCCGTCACCTGTTTTTCTAATTGTATTCATTTACTTTTCTTACTCGTATTTTTTTCTTTTTGTGCTTTTGACATTAATCACCAAATTTCTACAGTTTCTGTAGTTAATCAAATTCAAAAATCAAATTAAAAAAATCAGAAAATCAAATTAAAAAAATTAAAGAATCAAATTAAAAAAATTCAATAGCATTTTTTAAACAAAGTAAAACCTATGTCTAGCCCCGTTCAGAAAACAAAACAAACAAACAAACAAAAACTTCCTGCCTACCTCTTTTATTTTGAGATTTATTTTTCTCTTTGCTAAAATAAAATAAGCTTTATGTTTCTTTCTCTTGGTCTTTTGATAAGTCTTTAATATTGGCATAATCTTTGAGAGTTAAAAATATGTTTCTAGTAAATGATAATTTATGTGGATAAATATTTTCTGTAGAGATTATTTTCAAAATCTGTGTGTTTCCCTTTCTGTATATTTTTGTCTTCTTTTGTTTCTTGTAAATGTATATAAAACCTTCCACCACTGAGTTCCACTTTCCTGACTTCTGTTTCATTTACGGTCACCAGATATAATACAGGATTACCAGTTATATTTTCATTTTAAATAAGCAAATAGCATTTTAGTATAATTCTCAATATTCTAGTAACTTACTAAAATTCTCGTTATCTCATGGGACAGGCTCATACTGAAAACAAATTCTTTATTGTTTGTCAAAAAGTAATCAAATTTTAAATTGAAATGTTATGTCCCTGCACCTGGCAAACTTACTACAGATCAACATAGGAAAGTACTTTTCCTACTGTACTTGTTCGGGGTCTACTGCAGAAGAAACAAACAAACAAAATATTATTTGAGTTCCTTTAATATATGGTTGATTTTTCAATAATGTATAATTGTCTATTTAAAAAAGATTATTTTTTTCCTCCTACCCACATCTTTTTTCCTTTAGATTCCATTTCTTCATCTCAGAGAACTCCTAAACCTACTCATTATGAAGACTTTTTTGATTCAACTTTTTATCCTTGAGTATGACCATTAAGTGTGTCTTCCTTTGCTACCCCTTAGGACATGGAACATCCATCTGTGAATTGTTAATGTCGTCTGTGAAGTGATAAAGCAATCTTTAGTTCTTGAGTGTAAAGTGATTCTTAGTGGGGCAGTTTTGTGTTAACCTTTTTAGGTTAACCTTTTAGGTTAATTGTTCAATCTAGTATTGTATACCCATTTCTGCCTTTGGGGACCTTATATTTTGTAGGCAACATGAAAAAATCTAACCTCAGTCTTGAATATACCACAGGATAGAGGCTGAGATATAAATCTTTCTCTCATGTATTTGAATACAAACCTCATTCTGTGTTAGATCCTAGTATCTGTGAGACATGACTCTCTGTACTGACTTAAGTATTTTACCAAAATGTCTGAATCATGCTTTCTTCCACCAATTATTTAGGCAGGGTGCCCAACCCCACTGGACACAGAAATGGTCTCTTTCCTGAAAATATATCTAAATTTACTCCTCAGTTTACTGTATCAATGAACTGTCAGGTTTAATCTCACACTAATATTGCTGGAGTCCAAACCTCAGGGATGTTTCTTTTCTTGATAGTCAGTGTGTTATTCTTTTTTAAAATTTTATCTTACACTTAGAAGCTCTGGCTTTCATAGGAGTTGTTTTTGCAGCTTTTAACTTTGCTCCAGTGAACTGAAAAATAAACGCTTGATTTCTATTAAATCATTTGTCACTTAACAAATAAAATCTCTGACAAAGGTCTTTCTACTATAACCCTTCAGCATTTGAGGAAGAACACATTTTTGCTTATATTTTCTGGAAGTCTTCCCAATTTTGTTTTATTTTGAAGGGTAGGATATGTATTTTATAATTTTTTCATTGATCTATATTATTAATATGCTCTAAATCATTGGCTATTTTACATATATTATAAAGGCTTTGTTGGGAACAGGCCCCAAAATCTGGTCATAGATTGGCCCCAAAACTGGCCATAAGCAATATCTCTATAGCACTGTGACATGCTTCTGATTGCTATGATGACTACAATGAAGGTTGTTTATCAGAATGAAGGCCAAGGACACCTGGCACACCCAGGGCAGAAAATCACTGAAGGTATTCCTGAACCACAAATAATACCATGAACGATCTGTGCCTCAAAGACACTTTCCCACTGCAGATAACTAGCCAGAGCCCATCCTTTGTCTCCTGTTTTAGTTAATCTGTAATCTATAGAAACAATGCTTATCACTGGCTTGCTGTCAATAAATATGTGTGTTAAACTCTGTTTATGGCTCTCAGCTCTGAAGGCTGTTAGCCCCCTGATTCTCACTGTGCACACTATATTTGTGTGTGTGTGTGTGTGTGTGTGTGTGTGTGTGTCTTTAATGCCGCTAGTGCCATTGGGTTATGGTTTCCATGACCGAGCTGGCCTCGGCAAGTGGTGACTATACGGGGTCTCAAACCCAGGTCAAAGGTCACCGGAGCAATGGTTGGAGAATGTAGGACTACACTGGAGGACATCTGGCTACTCTTAAGCAATCGCCATAGTGAGTTAGAAGGGGAGTTTGGAAGCATCAGGTTAACAATGGGACAAGTCCAGGTTCTGGTTTGTTCCACCTTGGAACATTTTCACATTGATGATTAGGAGGAAGGAGAGTATAGCAAAGTAACAGAAGAGGTGACAGAATAGGTTTGTTTGCCAGCTAAAGCTAAAGTGGCAAAGGAGAGAGAGGTTTGTCTCTGCCCTTCTTCACTCCCTCACTATTTTGAAGAAAAAGAGTGGTCTGACCCTGTAGATCTTTCTTTTCTGGAACCCACTGACCAAAAACTAGTTGCCCCATGATTGTTCAAGCAGTGCCATGAGCAATTGCTCTTCGTTCTATTCAGGCAGGAATTCAGCAACCTAGACGAGAGGGTGATATAGAGGCTTGGCAGCTCCCTGTTAGGATACATGCCCCAGGTCAACAGGGAAATATTATCACTACTTTTGAGCCTTTTCCTTTTAAATTACTCAAAGAATTTAAACCAGCTATTAATCAATATGGACCAGGTTCTTCTTTGGTAATGGTACCGTTAAAGAATGTTGCTGTCCCCAGTCAGATGATTCCTACTGAATGGGATGCTCTTACGTGAGCTTGCCTGACTCTCGCTCACTTTTTACAGTTTAAAACTTGGTGAGGAGAAGAAGCTTTTTTCAGCCTTCTCACAATGCGCAGGCCCAACCTCAAATTAATATAACTACAGACCATCTTTTGGGGGTAGGCAGCTGCGTTGGTTTGGATGCACAAGTGGTCATGCTGGGTGATGCCATAGAACAGCTTAGAGGAGTATGCATTAGAGTTTGGAAAAATAACTTCAGGAGGAGAACAATATCTTTCCTTTAGTGCTATAAAACAGGGACCAAAAGAACCATATGCAGATTTTATAGCTTGGTTATAGGAGTCTCTTAAAAAATGACTGCAGATTTAGCTGCTGAGGATATAATGTTGCAGTTATGAGCTTTCGACAATGAAAATCCATATTTCCAGGTGGCTCTGTGACCTATTAGAGGGAAAGCACATTTAATTGACTATATCAAGGCCTGTGATGGTATCAGAGGTAATCTGCATAAAGCTACTTTGGTGGTGCAAGCCATGACAGGACTGAAAGTGGGTAAAGGAAATACTCCATTTCCTGGAGCTTGTTTTAACTGTGGGAAGCATGGTCACACTGGAAAAGAATGTGAAAAAAATCAGTGAGTCAGGCCACAAGTTGAGGGATAAAAGGAAAACTGCTGAGCCTGGAATATGTCCAAAATGCAAAAAGAAAATTACTCGGATAATCAGTGTCACTCTAAGTTTGATAAAGATGGAAACCTGATTTTGGGAAATGCCAGGAGGGGCCGTCCCAGTCCGCTTTCTAAACCAGGGCATTTCCAGCTCAGGAAATGCCCTATATTTCATCTCAAAAGGTGGAGTTTGCAGCTGTAATTGAGGTATGGACTTGTTTTAGTATGCCTATAAATGTGATTTCTGATTCTTCATATGTGGTTCATTCTACACAGTTACTTGAAAATGCTCAGCTATGATTCCACACAGATGAGCAACTGATGACTTTATTTACCCAATTACACACAGCAGCTAGAAGTAGAATGAACCCTTTTTGCATTACTCATATTAGAGCTCATAAACCTCCTCCAGGACATTTGACTGCAGGGAATCAAATGGCTGATCCGCCAGTTGCTACTACAATATCTAATGCCAGACACTTTCACAATTCAACCCATGTTAATGTTTTTGGTCTCAAACACAGTACAGCATTATCTGGAAAGAAGTGAAAGCTATTATCCAGCGATACCCAACTTGCCAAATGGTGCATTCCTCATCTTTTACAGGAGGAGTTAATCCTCGAGGATTAGGACCTAATTCTCTTTGGCAAATGAATGTCACACATTTTCCCTTGTTTGGGAGACTAGCTTATATACATGTATGTGTGGACACATTTTCTCACTTTGTCTGAGCTACTTGCCAATCAAGAGAGTCTTCTGCCTGTGTTAAATGTCACCTTTTGCAGTGTTTTGTGGTGATGGGCATTCCAGCTTCTTTAAAAAGGACAGTGACCCAGGCTATAGTAGCCAAGTTCTAGCTACATTTTTCTCTATATGGAATATTAAACACATTACTGGTATCTCATATAATTTTCAAGGACAAGCCATAGTGGAAAGAATGAATCTCTTCCTTAAACAACAGTTGCAAAAGCAAAAGGTGGAAACAGGGACTGTGGGATGCCACATATGAAATTGAATCTAGCATGATTTACTCTAAATTTTTTGAGCTTGTCTAGGACCAGATGCTATCTGCAGCCAAACAGCATCTACAGAAGCCAGCTGCAAAGATAGAAGCAGAAAAACTGGTTTGGTGGAGAGATCCAATAATGGAAAGTTGGGAAATAGGTAAAATAATAACATCGAGTGGAGGTTATGCTTGTGTTTCTCCAGTACCAAATCAACTGCCAATGTGCATGCCATTGAGACATCTAAAGCCCTGCTATGAGCCAGATACCAAGAAAGTGGTTTTGAGAGGATTCCAAAGACACATCGGTGGCAGTCTTGTCTAAGTTGACCCTGAGGAGGACCCCAAATATCATGAGCAACACCCATCAAAAGCAGCCACCCACCTGAGGACAGATCAAGAAGCTGTCACAGATGGTGAGAGAAAATCTGAGGTGGGACAACCAGTCCCAGTGAGTAATTTAATGATAGCTATCAAAGCGGTGATCACCATTGCCATGAGTATTTCTTTAACAGAACTGACACAGTCCTGTCCATGCTGACACACATGCTTTCTGGTCTCAGTATATTTCATAATAAATCTGCTCCTATAATTGAGGCATACCACCCTTAAAAACCTATTTGTAAACAGAGCTGGACGTGGCCAGAGAAAATGAATGTACTTGTTTGGGAAAATTGCATTGCAGAACAGACTGAGGTGCTGTGTAACAATTCCTAGGGAATCCTTATTGTTTGGCCCCCTAAGGGGATGTTTACCTTAAATTGCAACTCTCAGTCTATGTGCCACAGCCACATTATGTTCAGCTGGTCTGAACAAAGCCATCAGATGGTAAAAATGGTAAGAAGTACCGCAAGAGTTCCTCTGGAAACATGGCGGTATAATGGCACCTCAACCTCAAATGATATGGCTCGCTCTAGGAGCTAAAAATAAGGATTTGTGGAACCTATTAATGGCTCTTCGTAGTATAAACATTTGGGAAAGAATAAAAAAGCATCTAGAAGGACACTCTATGAACATGTCTTTGGATATTGTAAATTAAAATAACAATTATTTGAAGTATCCCAGGCACACTTAACCTTAATGCCAGGAACAGGGGTACTTGAAGGAGCTGCAGATGGATTAGCAGCTACTAATCCAATAAAATGGATAAGAACTCTTGGAGGTTCTGTGATTTTAATGATGATTGTGCTTTTAGCCTCTGTTGTTTGTCTTTGTATAGTCTGCAGATGCAGATCCCGACTCCTGCGAGAAGTAGCTCAGAGTAGTAAAGCTGCATTTGCTTTTATTGTCTTAGAAAAACAAAAAAAGAAGACATGTTGGGAAAAGGCCCCCAAATTTGGCCATCGACAGGCCCCAAAACTGGCCATAAGCAAAATCTCTGAAGCACTATGACATGCTCAAAATAGATATGACGTCTACACTGAAGGTTGTGGGTTTACCAGAATGTGGGCAAGGAACACCTGGCCCACCCAGGGCAGAAAACCACTTAAGGCGTTCTTGAACCACAAATAATATCATGGGTGATCTGTGCCTCAACGACATGTTCCTGCTGCAGATAACTAACGAGAACCCCTCCCTTTGTCTTCCATTTTACTGAATCTATAATCTATAGAAACAACGCTGATCTCTGGCTTGCTGTCAAGAAATATGTGGGTAAAACTCTGTTCATGGCTGTCAGCTCTGAAGGCTGTCAGCCCACTGATCCCACTCTGCACTTTAGATTTCTGTGTGTGTGTCTTTAATTCCTCTAGTGCCACTGGGTTAAGGTCTTCACGACCTAGCTGATCTCAGCAGACTTCTCTAAGAATATTTAATTTTGGTGAAGACTTTATTTTATAAAACCACTTTATTGTAGGTAAATCATATCATGTCATTCTCTATAATCATATCTTCCCATGTTTTGCGTTATGAGATTTGGTTTGCATGGAACTTTCAAAGCCGTTCTCAACCATTCACTTCCTAGGATTTCCAGTTACGATGCAACAGCCCAGTGTTTCCTCTAAACAACTAAAACACCATGGATATAACGAGAAAAAAACAAGGACAGGCTCTGAAAGGCAGAAAGAGGAAGGCAGTTTGTCTAGGGACTTTAGGACTTAAAGATTGATAACATTGTCACTTTTCTGGGTTTTCCTATTTTCTTCCATATATCACAGATGATGGACTGTAGAAGCTTCCAACACAGAATCTCCAATAGGCACAGATAAAAAGGACTTCAAGCAAATCCTGTTCTCTCTCAGCCAAAGGACCAGGAGAGGATGGCCTAACCATACACAATCACACAAAACATTTCTAGGGGTAATAACCAAGCTATTCCAGACAAACGCTACGAGAAAAAAAAAAAAAAAGCTAGTATTGCCATTTGTGTGGAGCCATATACAAAGACAATCTTCTCACGGGGCAGTAATGCTTGATTCTCCATAAAGTCAAAGTAGGCAGCAATTTTTTTTTTTTTTTGAGCTGGAGTTTCTTTTTTGTTGACCAGGCTGGAGTGCGATGGTATGCAATCTCAGTTCACTGCAAGCTTCACCTCCTGGGTTGAAGCAATTCTCCTGCCTCAGCTCCCTGACTAGCTGAGATAACAGGAATGTGCCTCCACACTGAGCTAATTTTCCATTTTTTGTAGAGTCGGGGTTTCTCCATGTTAGCCTGGTTTTGAACTCCTGACCTCAGGTGATCCACCTGCCTCGTCCTCCCAGAATGCTGAGATTACAGGCGTGAGCCACCACATCTGGCCAGAGGGAATCTTCTATCACCCTCCCGGAGAAAGCAGAGGAGAGCATTCCAATTCCCTTATGTCAGGAGTCTCTGGTAGCAAGCTGATCATCTAGGTTGACTCAACAACAACAATTTTTAAAGGGCTAGAGCTGATTAGGACTGATTGCACTGTGTGGTTTGACTGCCTCCGCACCACCCTCCTCTATTCTATCCTGTCAGTGGGCTTTAGTGGAGAGTTAACCATCTACCACCACCCACCCTCCTAGGAACTGAACAACTGAAGTAAATCCAAACTAATTAGCACTCTGCTATTTTCCCACACTGCAGGTCAACAGGACCCCAAATTAGCAACTGTATGATCTACAACTGCTCCAAAGAACATCAAATGTTTTGATATGCATTTAAACAAAAGAAAACATGTATGAGATCTATGTGCTGAAACATGTAAAACACTGGTGAAAGAAATCAAATAGAGATAATGAGAGATACACTGTGTTCATGGATATGAAGACAATATATCCTGTTAATTTTCCCCAGCTTGATCTATATATTTGGTGAAATTCCTATCAGTATCTCAGCAAGAATTTTTGCAGACAAAGCAAACTTACTCACCATGATAGCTAAGACAATTATGAGTATACAAGTATATAGTGGGAGAAATTCATCAACATTTCTAAGACTTATTACACAGCTAAAATGAACATAACAGTTTGGTATTGGCATAGAAATAGATTCATATAAAAATGGAGCAGAAGAGAAGGCCCAGGAATAGAGCCACACTAGTGTGGATATGACCAAGTGATATGACACAAATCTGGCAAGCAGAAATCAGTGGAGGAAAAACAGCCTTTAAACAAATGGTGCCAGGGCACGTGGATATTTATAAATTTAAGAAATAAAGCCATAACATAAATCTTATACTACAGAAATTAACTCAAAATGTCTCATGAATTTCAATGTAATATAAAATTACAACACATTTTATAAAACGTTTTCAGAAAAAAAGAACGTAAAAAAATTCAAGCTTCTTAGTTGTAGCAAAATGTTATTATATTTGATACCAAATGCATAAGCCATAAAAGTAAAAAAAAAGATTAACTGTATCAAATCAAAATTAAAAACTGCTGCTCTGTGAAGGATCTTATGAAGACATTCAAAAGCCAGTCTGCTAAAGAAAGGAGTACCCTTCTTGCTGATTGCTGTAGACAACGGGAGGAGAGCAGTACCCTCTCCGCTGAGAGCAGCAGCTGCAACAGAGAGCTTCACAGACCTGCAGAGACATCTAAATGACTTGCCGACAGAGAGGAGCCTCTCTCTCTAGAGTGAACACACCATAGGAAGACCTGCCTATAGAGGAGAGCTACCCACTCCTTTGTGAGGTATTGCTCCTCACAAGAGGGCACTAGCTTCAGGGGTCTGCCCGCAGACCCTGACCCAAATTGCAGATGGATAAACCACACACTAGCACATAGATACTCTGTTTTGCCAGTCTAGCTGAATGTCTGAGCACCTGCATGACAAGAAAAGTTTGTTACTGAGGCCGGCCCTGAGCAGCTCGCACTCCAGGCATTTATTTAGTATACAATTAACAACAGAAGCTTTGAGTCAGCACACTTGTGGATAATTAACCTGGCTGAGAGAGTAGACCTATGAATGATTAAAGCTCAGGTACCGTGGTCTAAAGTAAATTACAGTATGGGGCAATATCCTTGGTCGACCTCCCTCCAATTGAATAATTGTTCAATTATTACAAGCTATGTAATCTTTCGGCCTTCCAAAAAGTTTGTGACTATTCCCTATACCTTTCCATAATATTTCCATTTCATATTTCTGCGACCGTACTGAAGGAATCCCAACACTTTGAACCGTTTTAATGCCAAATAGAACTCTGCTTCTTCTTTACCCTTCACCTGTCTGTGTACCTCATTCTTCCTGCAAACAGGACAAGAAGTCAAGCAAAGGCATCATGGCCACAGAAGTTTCTGGCAAGAAAAACTGACACCATAGTGATCCTTTAACAGTAGCACTAACATTTCTGTGTGAGATTTTTATTTGAAAGTTAAACATTTGGGGAAATGTTAGGAAACTCTGAACCATATTATGACATCCTATTTGTTCATTTGTAGCTGGCTTTGTCTGATACCACCATAACAAAGGAAAGTGTATGCTTGTAAAGGAAGGGCACAATTCCAAATTCTCTTCTTCACTTCCTTTGACATCCAAGGCAGCCCTTCTAGCTACTGATAAAAAAATATGCAGATTCCAGCTTCAACCTGGGTGTTACTTGTACCTCCCTGGCTAGAAGCAGAAGGGTGTCCCCATATGGCAGCATTGAAAACTCTAACTCTCTACTTTCCCTTATGTGATTCCACTCCAGCAGAGGGTTGGGGTGCCTCATTACTGCCTGGTGCTCTCTATGTTTCAACTTAAACATTGTTGTCCTGGCTAGCTTTTTTGGTTTGCTTTGTTTTCTGTTGTAATGTTTGACTAAAGTAGGAAGGCTATTGTAAAAATATTTTTCTCTTTGTAAGGTGTCCCTTTCCTAGCCATGTGGCTATAGAAGTTGGGTTTTGGGAGAACTTTTTGCCTGTACTTATTTACATTTTTGGGTACCAGCTCCATTAGGATCAAGTCTGTGATAACACCAGGCAAAAAGAATCCAGGAAACTCAACCATCTTATCACTTGTTGCATCTTAAATTTCCTCACCCGTTTATCTTCTTGCTCCATCCTTCAGTCTTATGTTTGCTTTATATACATTATGTGGTGCTATTAATTGTATTTATGTAAGGGGGAAAGTACATTTGCTCCATCTACTTCATTACTCAAGTGATGACCCAAGATGAAGAACGTCCGTGATGTTCCTTTTGGGCAGAAAATTCAAAGTAGTTTTTGTTGTTGAAACAGTTTAGTTTAACCTAGATGGAGAGAGAATACCTAAGAAGGTACAAGGTCTTTGAATCCTAGAGGAAGCTAGGATATTTTCTGGGTTAGACTACTCTGTGATTGATTACATTAAAATCTTGTCAGGATGTTCCTCAAAATACAAAGAATTTGCAGAGAGTGGGAATGAACAGATATTCTAATCATGCTGATTACTTTACATTTTGCATTTGCTTTCTCTTTTTCCTCATTCACCCTCTCTCTACCCCTCCCTGTGCTTGTTTTATTGTTGCTTTTGTTGTTTTTTTGACACTTGCATTATTCTGGCCTTAAATTTACAATAATGTATTCCACATTTTAATCTGTCTCAGTCCATCTTTCATTACTTTATCCTTACTTTCTAAAATATCATTTTCTTTTTTCTTTGTTGTCTTGGGGTTCACCCAAGTTAATCTTTTCACTTTTTATTTATTTGGCATTATCCATTTTATTGTTGTCCATTCTTTTGAGATGAAGTCTTACTCTATCACACAGGCTGGAGTGCAAAGGCAGGATCTCAGCTCACTGCAACCTCCACCTCCCAGGCTCAAGTGATTCTCCTGCCTCAGCCTCCTAACTAGCTTGGATTACAGGCACACATCACCAGGCTTCACAATTGTTGATTTTTTAGAAAAGATATGGTTGCACCATGTTGGCCTTGAACCACTGACCTCAGGTGTTCTACCCATCTTAGCCTCCCAAAATGCTGAGATTACAGGCCTGAGCCATCACCACTGGCCTAATTTTTTTAAACATTCTTCATATTAACTATTTAACCATGTCCATCGCACTACCCTCTGAAAATCCAGCGTGAGAACTAAAAAGTTAATAGTATGTGGACATAGGTGAAATGATCTTTGTCTTGTGTCATGGTCTGCCAGGAAAGGAAATCAGGATTCCCTTTTTATAGCATTGATTCTAAATTTCTTCTACTTATGCACAATCTGAAAATATAGGCATAGGGTAAGATGGCACCACTAGGTTTCCATACTGAGGAATCTGTCTGACCAAATCCATACTCCATTCCAATTTCAGTTGTCCCAGAAAACTGAGTGATGAATCTTGTCAGGCCTTAGCTGGTGACACCAAATGTTGCATAATATACCAAATCCACAGTGAATGCTCCTTCTGAACAATTGTGCAGCTGGATCCCCAGTGTAAGCCATTTCAGCACAACAACTGGGAATCTCTACAGCAAATAAAGGAAGGAGTGGCAAAGATAAAGCTATTCTTTCAGGCAAGGACCTGCCAGTCAAAGCAGAAGATGAAAAATAATTTTTAGAAGAAGCTGGGAAAAATCACAACCAGACCTTTTTTTCCAAAATGGTGGAATAGGAACAGCTCCAATCTACATCTCCCAGTAAGACTGATGCAGACGATGGGTAATTTCTGCATTTCCCACTGAGGTACGGGGTTCACATCACTGGGACTTGTCAGACAGTGGGTGCAGGACAGTGGGTTCAGCGCACTGAGCATGAGCCAAAGCAGGGCAAGGCATCACCTCACCCAGGAAGCACAAGGGGTCAGGGAATTCCCTTTCCTAGCCAAGGAAAGCTGTGACAGATGGCACCTGGAAAATCAGGTCACTCTCACCCTAATACTGCACTTTTCCAATGGTCTTAGCAAACAGGACACCAGGAGATTAGATCCCACACATGGCTCGGAGGATCCCATGCCCACAGAGCCTCACTCATTGCTAGCACAGCAGTTGGAGATCCACCTGCAAGGTGGCAGTGAGGCTGGGGGAATGGCACCCACCATTGCTGAGGCCTGAGTAGGTAAACAGAGTGGACAGGAAGCTCGAACTGGGTGGAGCCCACCCCAGCTCAAGGAGGCCTGCCTGCTTCTACAGACTCCACATCTGGAGGCAGGACATAGCCAAACAAAAGGCAGCAGAAACCTCTGCAGACTTAAATGTCCCTGTCAGACAGCTTTCAAGAGAGTAGTGGTTCTCCCAGCACGAAGTTTCAGATCTGACAACAGACAGAGTGCCTCCTCACATGGGTCCCTGACCCCCAAGTAACCTAACTGGGAGGCATGCCCCAGTAGGGGCAGACTGACACCTCACATGGCTGGGTACCTATCTGAGATGAAACTTTCAGAGGAATGATCAGGCAGCAACATTTGCTGTTCAGCAATATTCACTGTTTTGCAGCCTCCACTGCTGATAACCAGGCAAACAGGGTCTGGAGTGGACCTCCAGCAAACTCCAGCAGATGTGCAGCTGAGGGTCCTGATTGTTAGAAGGAAAACTAACAAACAGAAAGGACATCCATACCAAAACCCCATTTGTACATCACCATCATGAAAGACCAAAGGAAGATGAAACCACAAAGATGGGGAAAAAACAGAGCAGAAAACCTGAAAATTCTAAAAATCAGGGCACCTCTCACTCGCCAAAGGAACACAACTCCTCAGCAGCAATGGAACAAAGCTGGACGGACAATGACTTTGATGAGTTGAGAGAAGAAGGCTTCAGACAATCAAACTTCTCCAAGATAAAGGAGGAAGTTCAAACCCATCACAAAGAAGCTAAAAACCTTGAAAAAAGTTTAGCTGAATGGCTAATTAGAATAACCAATGTGCAGAAGTCCTTAAATAACCTGAGGGAGGTGAAAACCATGGCACGAGAACTACATGATGAATGCACAAGCTTCATTAACTAATCCAATCAACTGGAAGAAAGGGTATCAGAGATTGAAGATAAAATGAATGAAATGAAGTGAGAAGAGAAGTTTAGAGAAAAAATGAATAAAAAGAAATGAACAAAGCCTCCAAGAAATATGGGACTATGTGAAAAGACCAAATCTACGTCTGATTGGTGTACCTGAAAGTGAAGTTGAGAATGGAACCAAATTGGAAAACACTCTGCAGGATATTATCCAGGAGAACTTCCCCAACCTAGAAAGGCAGGCCAACTTTCAAATTCATTAAATACAGATAATGCAACAAAGATATTCCTCGAGAAGAGCAACTGCAAGACACAAAATTTTCAGATTCACCAAAGTTGAAAAGAAGGAAAAAATGTTAAGGGCAGCCAGGGAGAAAGGTCAGGTTACCCACAAAGGGAAGCCCGTTAGACTAACAGTGGATCTCTCAAAAGAAACTCTGAAAGCCAGAAGAGAGTGGGGGCCAATATTTAACATTCATAAAGAAAATATTTTTCAACCCAGAATTTCATATCGAGCCACACTAAGCTTCATAAGTGAAGAAGAAAAAAAAATCCTTTACAGACAAGCAAATGCTGAGAGATTTTGTCACAACAAGGCCTGCCCTACAAGAGCTCCTGAAGGAAGCACTAAACATGGAAAGGAAAAACTGGTACCAGCCACTGTAAAAATGTGCCAAATTTTAAAGACCATCAATGCTAGGAAGAAACTGCATCAACTAACGAGCAAAATAACCAGCTAATATCATAATGACAGGATCAAATTCACACATAACACCATTAACCTTAAATATAAATGGGCCAAATGCTCCAATTAAAAGATGCAGACTGGCAAATCGGATAAAGAATCAAGATCCATCAGTGTGCTGTATTCAGGAAACCCATCTCACATGCAGAGACACACATAGGCTTAAAATAAAGGGATGGAGGAAGATCTACCAAGCAAATGGAAAACAAAAAGAGGCAGCGGTTGCAATCCTAGTCTCTGATAAAACAGGCTTTAAACCAACAAGAACAAAAGAGAAAAAGAAGGCCATTACATAATGGTAAAGGGATAAATACAACAAAAAGAGCTAACTATCCTAAATATATATGCGCCCAATACAGGAGCACCCAAATTCATAAAGCAAGTTCTTAGAGACCTACAAAGAGACTTGGACTCCCACAGAATAATAATGGGAGGCTTTAACACCCCACTGTCTACATTAGACAGATCAATGAGACAGAAAGTTAACAATGACATCCAGGAATTGAACTCAGCTCTGCACCAAGCAGACCTAATAGACATCTACAGAACTCTCCACCACAAATCAACATAATATACATTCCTCTCAGCACCACATCTCACTTATTCCAAAATTGACCACATAGTTGGAAGTAAAGCACTCCTCAGCAAATGTAGAAGAACAGACATTATAGCAAACTGTCTGTCAGACCATGGTGCAATCAAACTAGAACTTAGGATTAAGAAACTCACTCAAAACCACTCAACTACATGGAAACTGAACATCATGCTCCTGAATGACTACTTGGGTACATAACAAAATGAAGGCACAAATAAAGATGTTCTTTGAAACCAATGAGAAGAAAGACACAACATACCAGAATCTCTGCGACACATTTAAAACAGTGTGTAGAGGGAAATTTATAGCATTAAATGCCCACAAGAGAAAGCAGGAAAGATCCAAAATTCACACCCTAACATCACAATTAAAAGAACTAGAGAAGCATGAGGAAACATATTCAAAAGCTAGCAGAAGGCAAGAAATAACTAATATCAGAGCAGAACTGAAGGAAATTGAGACCCAAAAACCCTTCAAAAAATCAATGAATCCAGGAGCTGGTTTTTGGAAAAGATCAACAAAATTGATAGACCGCTAGCAAGACTAACAAAGAAGAAAAGAGAGAAGAATCAAATAAACGCAATAAAGAATGATAAAGGGGATATCACCACTGATCTCACAGAAGTACAAACTACCATCATAGAATACTATAAACACCTCTATGCAAATAAACTAGAAAATCTAGAAGAAATGGATAAATTCCTTGACACACACATCCTCCCAAGACTAAACCAGGAAGAAGTTGAAC
The DNA here is from genome assembly GCF_000001405.40 of Homo sapiens. Classification (NCBI taxonomy): domain Eukaryota; kingdom Metazoa; phylum Chordata; class Mammalia; order Primates; family Hominidae; genus Homo; species Homo sapiens. Next base: position 22,044,374 of record NC_000024.10, read on the forward strand.
CTCTGAATAGACCAATAGCAGGCTCTGAAATTGAGGCAATAATTAGTAGCTTACCAACCAAAAAAAGTGCAGGACCAGATGGATTCACGACTGAATTCTACAAGAGGTACAAGGAGGAGCTGGTACCATTCCATCTGAAACTGTTCCAATCCACAGAAAAAGAGGGAATCCTCTCTAGCTCATTGTATGCAGCCAGCATCATCCTGATACCAAAGCCTGGCAAAGACACACAAAAAAAGAGAATTTTAGACCAATATCCCACATGAACATTGATGCAAAAATCCTCAATAAAATACTGACAAACTAAATCCAGAAACACATCAAAAACCTTATCCACCATGACCAAGTTGGTTTCATCCCTGGGATGCAAGGCTGGTTCAATGTACACAAATCAATAAATGCAATCCAGCATATAAACAGAAAAAAAGACAAAAACCACACGATTGTCTCAATAGATGCAGAAAAGGCCTTTGACAAAATTCAACAGCCTTCATGCTAAAAACTCTCAATAAATTAGGTGTTCATGGGATGTATCTCAAAATAATAAGAGCTATGTATGACAAACCCACTGCCAATATCATACTGAATGGGCAAAAACTGGAAGCATTCCCTTTGAAAACTGGCACAAGACAGGGATGCCCTCTCTCACCACTCCTATTCAACATACTGTTGGAAGTTCTGACCAGGGCTATCAGGCAAGAGAAAGAAAGAAATGGTATTCAATTAGGAAAAGCTGAAGTCAAATTGTCCCTGTTCGCAAATGACATGATTGCATATCTAGAAAACCCCATCATCTCAGCCCAAAATCTCCTTAAGCTGATAAGCAACTTCAGCAAAGTCTCAGGATACAAAGTCAATGTGCAAAAATCACAAGCATTCTTATACACCAATAACAGACAAACAGAGAGCCACATCATGAGTGAACTCCCATGTAAAATTGCTTCAAAGAGAATAAAATACCTAGGAATCCAACTTACAAGGGATGTGAAGGACCTCTTCAAGGAGAACTACAAACCACTGCTCAATAAAATAAAAGAGGAAACATACAAATGGAAGTTTATTCCATGCTCATGGATAGGAAGAATCAATATTGTGAAAATGGCCATACTGCTCAAGGTAATTTATAGATTCAATGCCATCCCCATCAAGCTACCAATGACTTTCTTCACAGCATTGGAAAAAACTACTTTAAAGTTCATATGGAACCAAAAAAGAGCTCTCATTGCCAAGTCAATCCTAAGCTAAAAGAACAAAGATGGAGGCATTGCGCTATCTGACTTCAAACTATACTACAAAGTTACAGTAATCAAAACAGCATGGTACTGGTACCAAAACAGAGATATAGACCAATGGAGCAGAACAGAGCCCTCAGAAATGATACGACATATCTACAACCATCTGATCTTTGCCAAACCTGACAAAAACAAGAAATGAGGAAAGGATTCCCTATTTAATAAATGGTGCTGGGAAAACTGGATAGCCATATGCAGAAAGCTGAAACTGGATCCCTTCCTTACACCTTACACAAAAATTAATTCAAGATGTATTAAAGACTTAAATGTTAGACCTAAAACCATAAAAACCCTGGAAGAAATCCTAGGCAATACCATTAGGATGTAGGCATGGGCAAGGACTTCATGTCAAAAACAAAAAAAGCATGGCAACAAAAGCCAAAATACAAATGAGACCTAATTAAACTAAAGAGCTTCTGCAGACCAAAAAAAAAAAAAAAAAAAAAAGTACCAGCAAAGCGAATAGGCAACCTACACGACTGGCAGAACATTTTTGCAATCTACTCATCTGACAAAGGGCTAATACCCAAAATCTACAAAGAACTCAAACAAATTTACAAGGAAAAAACAAACAACCCCATCCAAAAGTGGGTGAAGGATATGAACAGAGACTTTCTCAAAACAAGACATTTATGCAGCCAACAGACACATGAAAAAATGCTTGTCATCACTAGCCATCATAGAAATGCAAATCAAAACCACAATGAGGTACCATCTCACACCAGCTATAATAGCAATCATGAAAAAGTCAGGAAACAACTGGTGCTCAAGAGAATGTGGAGAAATAGGAACAGTTTTACATAATTGATGGGAGTGTAAACTACTTCAACCATGTGGAAGACAGTGTGGTGATTCCTCAAGGATCTAGAACTAGAAATATCATTTCACCCAGCCATCCCATTACTGGGTATATACCCAAAGGATTATAAATCATGCTTTTATAAAAACACACACACGTGTGTATTCACTGTGGCACTGTTCACAATAGCAAAGACTTCGAACCAACCCAAAATGTCCATGAATGACAGACTGGATTAAGAAAATGTGGCACATACACACCATGGAATACTATGCAGCTATAAAAAGTGATGAGTTCATGTCCTTTGTAGGGACATGGATGAAGCTGGAAATCATCCTTCTCAGGGAACTATTGCAAGGACAAAAAAACCAAACACCTCATGTTGTCACTCATAGGTGGGAATTGAACATTGAGAACACTTGGACACAGGAAAGGGAACATCACACACTGGGGCCTGTTGTGGAATGGTGGGGGAGGTATAGCATTAGGAGATATATCTAATGTAAATGACGAGTTAACAGGTGCAACACACCAACATGGCACATGTATACATATGTAACAGAACTGAACGTTGTGCACATGTAACCTAGAACTTAAAGTATAATAAAATATACAAATATATATAAAAATATATACAATATATTTAGAAAAATATGCAAATAAATATACAAAAAATATACAAATATAAAAATATACAAATATAAAAAAATAAAATATACAAATATGTAAATAATATATACACATTATACAAATATATAATATATGAATAATATAATATATAAATATATAAATATTTTTTACAATATATATAAATATAAATATATAAATAAATTTTTTACAAAAATGTAAAATATAACAAACATATACAAATAAATATACAAAAATATACAAACAAAAATATACAAATATAAAACATATACAAATATAAAAAATACATATACAAAAAATATACAAATATATACATATATAAAAAAACATACCTATACCGAAAAAGAAAGCGTGATAGTTGAAATGATAACCAGGGATGTTAATCTCAGTAAGTCAAAATTATTGCACCTCTAGTGAACAAAACTCTGACCTACCCTTTTATGAAAAGTTGTGGTGAGTAATGAAGAATAACAAGTAATACCACAACACCAATAATGTTCATTTTTGACAATGAAAATAGATTTTATGGTTGTATGTCCACAGTCAACATTCACAAATTCACATACATATGTGTGTGTGTGTGTGTGTGTGTGTGTGTGTATATAAATACAAAAATGTACATATATGTATTAGGTACTGTGTGACATCAGTGCTGGGTGTCCAGGAGACACAGACAGACAGACAAGAAAACTAATGTGACAGATAAGAAGCACCTTCTGGAAGGAGTGATGTCTGTGTTGTAGGAGTCTTAAGTAGGCAAATCGGGAGAGAGCATTTATCTCCAAGAAAAAATGGGGCCCAAGTTACAAGATAGGAAAGGGCATGGCTGAAAGTGGAGTTGTCCAGATGTTGCTCCAACTGGACTGTGGTGAAACAGAAAGACATGAAGCTGACAGGAAAATAAATATTAGGTCTGGAAGGGATTTGTTCAGCCATGCTGAGGATATGGATTCAGAATCTAAAAGGTATCAAATCCTGACAAAAGCCATGAAATCTGACTTTGTATAGATGAAACCAATGTGATGAACATCTGTATTAGAGGAGGGGTTTGGTGGCTCAACCTTGTAATTCCAGCACTTTTAGGGGCCAGGGTGGGTGGATCACGTGAGGCCAGGAATTCAAGACCATCCTGGCCAATTTGGTGAAACTCCGTTTCTACGAAAAATACAAAAATTAGCCCAGCTTGGTGGGCATATATAATTTTACCTACTCAAAAGTTTGAGGCACAGTAATTACTTGAACCCAGAGGCTGAGGTTGCAGTGAGCTGAAATAATGCCACTGCTCTCCAGCCAGGGTAACACAGTAAGACTATCTCAAAGAAAAAAAGAAGCAAGGAAATGTGCATTAGAAAACATGAAACATGGACTCTAACAGGAGGTAATGAAAGGCACAAACATGTTGGAATCCTTTAATGTAAGATCAAAAGTGTGTACTGTTAATGTTAGCTCCTGATCTAAAATGCTTCTTGTTGAAATCTTCATTGAATAAAGTAGGTATAAGTGAAGCATTTTTAACACCAATTCTTCTTTTCACCCTTACTAAATGCTGGGGACAGCCACGTTTGAAATTTGGATTATAATAAAACTTTAACTAAAACCAAAGAAAAAGGTAATTCAGTGCCATTTTAAACCGGGAGACAAGTGACAATAACAAACATAACACATAAAATATCAGATTTCTCTTTCGTCACACAAACTTAATGACATCAAATAATTCATGAACATTATTTGCTATTTTTAAGAAAGTGCTTGTTGGGAAAAAAAAGCACTCAAATTGTTAAGCCCTCAGGTGAAAACATGTTATATATTAATAGCAACATTACATTAAGTGGCTTTGATACATTTATTTGGAGTTCACTGGTAAGATTCAAAGTTTTAGCAACATTTCTGAAAACTCTGAAAGGTTGATGCTCAAGCTGAACTCAATAATTTCAAAAAAATAAATAATTTCTACCTTAATATTTTATATAATTTTCAACATCTGGTCTTGTTGCATGTATTAACATATTTACTGATGTTCAAAGTAAAATTACATACATACTTTACATAGAGTGGTAACTGAAATATGTTAAATGCTTTGCTTAAGGCATCGGATTCTTTCTCTTCTGCCAGAAAGGTGGCTAGAAAGGCAGATCTTTGAAAATTCTGTCGCAACGGAGACCTACTGGAGGCTTCTGAACCAGTTAACTAATCTTTGGGAGAAACATCTTGAATTTCTGAAGAAACATGTGCCATCTCAAATAAACATTTCTTTAGCTACTCTTCCAGCCTGCATGGTTTTCAAGACTGTGGCTTCAAATGCTGCTTCAGAAGGCCTAGGCAGGTAAAGAAATCTAGACCATCACGATGTTCCCAAGGTGAGTAGCAATGACATCACAAGAGGATTTTGGTCTCCTAGCAACCAACAAAAAATCTGACCAAAAGTGCTTCCTTCCCAGTCTGAGAAATGTATCCATTGAAAATCAAATATACACTGCTAACTTACACAGTGTCAGCTGCAAAAATCTCATCCCTTCAGCATGATTTAAATAAACAAGAAAATAATGTCCTCAATCCCAGAAATAAATGTAATTTTCTCCCTGACACACACACTTACTAGATTGGTGACAGGAGCATAGGTAATTGCAAAACAAAACAAAAAAAGGAAATTATTTAAATAGCAAGTGCTTAATTGTGTTACCATACCATAAACAGAGAATGTGTCCCCATGTACAAATGTTCTCATTTCCCCAGCAAATATCAAAAACAATGTAATGATAATTTTAAAGCTTATAATCTTTTTAATTTATTTATAAAAAGGTAAGTAAATAATCATTAACATCATCATGGTAATTATGCCATAACTAACTTAAGCAATACTTTCTTATCAAAGCTTAACATATTTATATATAGCAATCCTTTGGTATCTGTAGGGGATTGGCTCCAGAAACATCTCAAATACCAAAATGTATGTCTGCTCAAGCTTCTGCTTTATAATGATGCAGTAGGTAAGTATAATGCACACCCATCCTCCTGTGTAGTTTACTTTATCTCTACATAAATAATTAATAAAATGTAAATGCTATGTAGACAGATATTTTACTCTAATGACTTTAAATTTGTTACATTTTACCATAGTATTGATTTTTTTGTTTTTGTTTTCAAACACTTTAATATATGTCTAGGGAAATCTGTTTGCAGAACCTTTATATGCAAAAGGTCTCTTATTTGTTGCAAATCAGAAAACATTACTGACACAGAGAGTGATGGCTATGTGGTTCCATATAGCCACTACTATCTGTGTTACTTCTCTAATATTTTCTTTTATGCAATTAAGCAGAATTTGGTGTGAGCAAACTGAAGATACAAAGTAAGCAATAATGATAGCAGTTAATACTTATAGTGCTTAAAGTCAAGGTAATACACTAAGAGCTGCACACATATTAATAAATTTAATCCTCACTGTCCTTTCTTTTTGTGTGACAGTTTCACTCTCTTCACCTAGAATGCAGTGCAATGGCAGGATCTAGGCTCACTGCAACCTAGACCTCCCAGATTCAAGCGATTCACCTGTCCCAGCCTCCCCAGTAGCTAGTATTACAGGCATCTGCCGCCACACCTGGCTAATTTTCATATTTTTAGTAGAGATGGGGCTTCACCCTGTTGGCAAAGCTGGACTCTCTGTCTTATAAAAAGGTAAAACCTATACATAATACTTTAAACGGTGTGAATTAAGAGTGGCAGGCAGGGTGAAAAGAAATTGTTCCAAGTCTCAGAGGTGAAAATAGCAGGCAGTATGCTGTTAAAAATAAACCACAATTTAAATGGCAGCTAAGTGCAAGATAATGCAGACAGCTTGGAGGTGAGATGTTATGAAGGTCAAGAAAGACATACCTGTCATTTAATATATAATATCTTCAAAGACATTTTACCATTATATATCCTAGTCAAATTGCGAAGAAATAAAATTAGCTGGTTAGGCCTAAAGAAAGAGACCTGTTTGTGAAACTACAAGTGGTCGTTAAAATCTGTTGGAAGCCCATAAAATGAAGGAACATTTTTGCTTCAAGAGATTTTTATAGTAGAAAAAGAATAATGCTTTCTTCTACCAACTCTTCAAGATTCAATCATTAAAATGCAATTTATTTTAGAGTAGAGATGAAAACAATCTGGGAGATTATTTTACATCTCAAATTATTCACCTAATGAGAATAACTTTTTTTTTCCTAGTCAGTCATTCGATTTTGTCAATAACATTCTCCTTTAAGCCAGTTATCATCTTGACTACCTCTCTGATACCGTGCAAATACTAAAGAGAAAGCAGAAGTTAATTTTGTGGATGAGCACAAACACTTCTAATTGTCTTCTGGTTGTTTTCAATGAGATAATTATTTTTTTCAAAACTGAACAAAACAAACTTTTTATCACATTTTACAATGATGTGCATTTGCACATTCAATTTGATACACTGTTCCAAAGAATGAAGAAGATTTTGAAGACTGTTCATGTCCACATTTAAAGTTGTAAAAGATTTCTCACATTTGTATCAAAAGATATTATTTAAAATACAAATTATAAAATGTATTTTTTACTTTTATTTGTGAAGACAGGTTCTTTGTCACTGAAGCTAAAATGCAGTGGCACAATTCCAGTTCACTGTGGTCTCAAACTCTTTGGCTTGAGCTGGGGTTTCCCTAATCAGTATCCATCTGCGTCTTGTTATGAACTGGGGCTACACATCAACAGGTGAGTGGTGGCCAAGCATGGAAACCTTATCTCTATTTAAAACACTAAGTATGGTTCACAGTACTGCCTGAGATCCGCTTTCTGAAGATCAGTGGCAGCATCCGATTTTTATAGAAGCGAGGGAACTACTATTTACTGCACTTGAGAGAAATTTACGTTTTGCACTCTTTATAAGAATCAAAACAACTGATCACCTGCAACAGTCTCCCATCACCCACAGATAGAACCATCTAGCTACAGGAAAATAAGTTTAGGGCTCCCACTGAGTCTACATTATGGTGAGATGTATAATTATTTTGTTAAATATTATAATGTAATAATAAGACAAATAAAGCGCAAAATCAATGGAGGGTACTCAAATCTTCCAAAAACTGTCTCCACAACCCCAGTTGATGAAAATCTTGTCTTTCACAAAAACAGGCCCTGGTGCCAAGTGATAGCAGATGATCACATATAGATGCATGCACACATAAATTATTGAGTGAAAGTTTTGAAGACAGAAGCTCAAAGAGTTATAATAATTTGAGAGAACAAGAACAGAAATGTTGACTAGATTGCAGAAAAAGAAATGTTTTGAGTAGAGAAAGCTAATGAAAATAAATTGTTGACACAAGAAAAAATGAGAGTGAGGGACGTGTGCAGATAAAGAATTGAAATATGTAAATTAGAATTATATATGCAAATCATATTTATAACCTAGGTTTACAGTTTAGCTATGAAATTTGGAAACTTTTACTGAAAGCTATAATGGGCAGTCAGTTAATTACACGTGCACTAAAGACTTTTAAAGGAAATCTAAGTGATATGCTAATACATAGAAAGGGAACTACTGTGAGTAAAACAGAAGACAGCCCAGAAATCAGAAGATCCCTTTTTCTTCCTACCTCTGAGCTATCTAAGAAATACCTTCTTGAAAGAACACTAAACTCTTTCTCTGTGTGTGTGTGTGGTTTTGTGTGCATGTGTGGTTGTGTGTGTTTGTGTGGCACAGCTTCTCTTCATTACTCAGTCTGCAATGCAGCAACACGGTTACAGCTCAGGTGATGTTTTCGCCTTAGTGTCCCGGGTAGATGGGACTAGTGCAGACAATTACACTCAGCTAATTTATTGCATCTTAGTAGAGATGGGATATCACCATGTTGCACAGGCTGGTTTTGAACTCCTGAAATCAAGTAATCTGACTCCCTTGGCTTCCCAAAGTGCTAAGGCTATCCATGTGAGTGACAGGGCCTGGCCTAGTTGAGATTTTTCAAATCTAAACACGGACCAAGTGTTATTGGTCACTTTTGTAAGAGGCTCAAAATCTATGAGATTACATTCAGGCTTGCAAAAATTATGTGTATATTACATGAAGTTATAGATTATATATTTATATAAAAGTATATCATATATATTTTATCTTGCAGGACTAGGAAGCAGTACTTTTTTGTCAGTGATTAAAAGGTTTATTTGATAATAAAAATGCTTATTTGATGATGAGTAATATGGATTTCTGAGGTGATTATTATACATAATCTCAGGCATAAACATTACTCTAGAAACTAAAAGACATCATTGATGTGCTAGTCTAAATTGAACAGTATAATGAGGAAAGTGTAATCAAATATCAAAGTTAGTCAAATAAATGGTATTTTATCTTTCCAAGTAGCTGATACTACAGGCTCATATATCCACACCTGAATAATTTTTGTTTTGTTTTCATAGAGGCAGGGTTTTCTACGTTGCCCAAGGTTGTAAAATAATTTGTATTATGTGTGATAACAGTACCCTGGTCATATATTTTTGAAAAAACTTTAGGGATGTATTAAAATATCTGTACACTTAAAAAATGTACTTGACATTTGCTTCATTTGAGAACTGTTAAATCAAGGAGATGACTTCATTTTAATATTTTGATTATATAGATTACAAATCTTCCTATAAGAAGTCAATTATACCTTAAGAGATGAAAGAATACAGTGGCCTGTCTTTGCTGTGACAATTTTAACCTTTTTCTATTAGTATGACAATAATAAAAATGATCAAGAAATGCAGCTAGGATATTACTATTTTTTAAATATTACATGCCAAATAAACTATGTATTTTAAAGATCTATTTAAAAAATTTAATGTACAGACGATTTTATCAAAATTAAATTGATAAATCACCCATAATTTACCTGAAGTGTTTCCAAAAAATTTTCAGTACATAGTATTTTAGTCAGAAGGCAACTAAATGTAAAAGAGGCTTGAAGGTGTCTTTGGACACGAATATTGTTCTCTTTCCTATCTTCTATCTTGTTTAATGTGGGCTCATCTTTAAATTTATGACGTTAACTACGTACATCATTTTGGAGATGAGCATTGCTATAGAAACCAAAATACATTGGTGATGCACTAATCTAACGTTAAAATATAATAAAAGAAGTTGAAATAAATACCAAAACTTAGTTAATAAGATGATATGCATGTTTTAATATTATTTTCAAAGAACTTATTGTTTTTAATGTTTAGGATTAGTGATTATTTCACAGGGGGACCATCAGAAAGAGATCACAGAAAAATTATCCTTAGCAATAATAAAACAATAGCATATATTGCAGGTAATAAAATATACTACAGTGTTGTTGAGTAGACAGATTAAAAACAAATCAGTGCTCTGCCATATGAGGAATAAGATACTTTGTTCTCCTAGAATTCAGTGTCTTCTTGTGATTTTAATGCATTTTTACAGATTTCATGATATAATTTATGTGATGTATTTGGAATTATTACTGCACAATAAGTACAGCTATTAAGAGTAGTTGTGGAAGGAATGAGAGCACACACAGGAACGCCAAAGGTCATAATTTCCTTATAGCTACAGAGCAAAATACAGTTGTTTTACACATATCTCTCATGTTTCTGTATGTTTTTCTCTACATCTGAGGTTTTTGATACAATAATGAACAATATCCAGTTTGTGCCCTGATGAAGTTCATTGTATAGAAAAAGCAGCTAGGCAGACATGCAGCCACAGTAAAGCGCTAAGACATCATAAAGCACAAGCAATGAAGCACAAAGGTGGGGATTTAATTTGAATTTTATATTCTGTCTGCCTCATTCACTTCTTGCCAGTGTAATTAACCATCTCTATCTGTTTTAAATTCAAAACCCTAGGGGTAAAACTGATTACAGTACAAGGAACTAAATTTTACTTTTTGTTGTTGTTGTTGTTTATTAGTGACTATTAACCAAGTGTTAGCGAACGTCCCATATGGACATTCTACTAAAAGAAATGCTACCAAGGTTTTAATGCCTGCGTGGTGTGATCTATCAGATCTAGAAAGGGAGAGGCAAGTGTGTTTTTAATCTCCATAAATGATAAATGCTGAGATGCTATTTGAAAACCAAACTATTTCTGATCACTGAGGAAGAGAAATGTAGAAATTTAAGATTTATTACAATTAAAATATTCTAATTTCTTTATTTAGTTTCTATCAATACCTATGCAAAAAGTAAAGGAACTACTTGAGTACAAACATTTCCAAAATTCAAGTTTTTGGTATTCACTTATTTAATAGCTATATCTTAAATATGTAATCTGCCACTAAAACCTAATATTTTTGCTGCTTTATTTTCAACCAGATACTTTTTATTTTCAACCAGATGATTTATACCCTTAGCAGCCTGATTGTAATAGTTACGTCATGTTGCTAACAGGTCCATGTAGCATTATCTGAAAATCAATTTTTTTCCTTAGCAGAAAAAACCCTAATTTGAGAAAAATATTTAGAGAATCCTAAAAATAAGCACAACTTATATAACACAGATAGAACAGTAAAAAAGCCTACTTTATAAAACAAGATGAAAATATAATTATTAAAAACAAAAATTTCTCATTATCCAAAGAATGAATTGCATTTACCATGTTGTGCAAATGTGATTATATCAACCATGCTTTGAAAACAACAAAAAACATTGATAAATATTATTAACTAAAATTTCAACTTACTAGATAGTGATCACAATAAATATGCCAGTCATAGTATCTCAGATATTATAGCCATATCATCAAAATGCAGTCCTGATAAAACCTCATGAAACTATACTAATTTGAGGAAGAACAACAGTATCTACTATGAGAATATTCAAAAAATGATAATTAAAACTTACTTCACAATTTTGTTTCTCATCTTTGAACGATCATCGAGTTCATCACTAACTGTGTTTTCAATTGTAGAAATACTGTTTCTGATGACTGGGATTATGTATAGTTGCTGGATCACAGAATTATTAACCACAGACTTCTTAAGTCCACATTTTTAATGACATTGCTTCTGTAACAATTTTCTTAGAAAAGGTCATGCATGATGGTATAATATTAAATTCTAATGTGTTACACAGACTTAGCATTAATCATTACAAATTTACATATTAAAAAACTTTTGCACTTAAATGTATTCAATACATTTTAATCAGATCTTTACATAAATAGAACTTTAGAGTTTTCTCAGTTTTAATTGAGCACTACATTTACATTATTGTTCTGACTCATAAAAACTATAATCTTCACATAAATATCACTTTCTTCCTCAGCTAATAGTGATAATTGTTTTATCTATGTTCATAGTTTTATTGTGAGAAGAAGTCAATTAGAAGTTGTCTTTAAAATACCTGTGAAAATTGTAAATGCTACTTTTTGTAAAACTGAATATGACTTACACATAAATCCAACTTAGAGATGGATTACATAAATTAGAGCACATTGAACTGCAAGTTATGTAGCTACAAAACAGAATTAAATAGATCTTGTTGTATTGACAGGCGTGTGACTAAGTACAAAACAAGGTTAACCATATTGTATATAAACTCATTACTTAAAAAGTCAGATCATTCTGTGTCCTGTGGGATCTATGTAGAGAGAAGAGTTTCCTTTTTGAAAACACTTTTTTTTGTTAATTTGTTTAACTATTGTATTAGAATAGTAAATATATATTTTCAAAAGATTTTTTTACTTTGATCAGAAATATGATCATTTCTGTAAGAAAAAAAAATAGCTAATTGTATGAAGATGTGCATATATCTCAAAGAAAATCTCTGTACCAGAAATATAATATTGGTGGCAAGATAATAGTTTTTAGTGCATGTCCTCTTGTATATTTGAAAATATATATTAATCACAAGAAAACATTGGCTAGTTTAACAACAATACTGTTTATTTTAAAAAATCTCTTTTGAAAATACAAATTTACTATTCCAATACAATAGTTAAACAAATTAACAAAAAAAAAAAAGTGTTTTCAAAAAGGAAACTCTTCTCTCTACATAGATCCCACAGGACACAGAATGATCTGACCTTTTAAGTAATGAGTTTAGCTAGAAACTCCTACAATGTACTAAAAAATATACTCACACAGAGAAAAACATAAATATAATTTCACATTTTCCAATTAAATATCTGTACAGAATGCTGTTGTTAATTATGTACTTAACCCTCAGATTTCTCTTGAAATCAACTAAATTTCATGTTATTACTTGTTAATTTACTTACATTGGCTCCCAGTCTGAGTTTCAGTTTTGTGTAAGATTTCAACATTGCTACCTATTTTGCTTAACTAATATGGACATTTAAAAGTAATAAAATGCACTCAAATGTTCTCTTCTCACATTATGATTTTTAAAACAATACCTCTCTTATAATATAACTAAAATACCATGAAACAACTTCAAAGTTTGGGTTATGAAAATCTTTTTAATGCATACAGTTTAAATATAAAGTTTTTGTAGCATTAAATTTGGCTTCTTGTTATTCTAAAGGGTTAGTATTTTTTTTTCACATACAACTAAATAAAACCCACTGTGGTAAATTACCAAAACCAGCTATAGGAGAGAAGTTAAGAAATACATGCTTATTTTGAAAAATAATGTTCTCTTACTTACATGGTTTTAATTATATACCTGATGGCTACAAAATGGTAAACTAGTTAATCAAAAAGAAAAAACCCATAAGTTAATTTTTGCAAATGAAATAATAGAATTTTAAACTAAAGTGTGATTAATGAACAAAAACTGCTTTATAATTTAAAATATTCACTAGTTATTGCTTTGTCTTTGTAATATGTTTCAGTCAAACAGTCTAGCATCATTGTGAGATTTTTTACACAGCCAATAGCTGGTGCTGCAAGCAGCTCAAAACCAGGGTTGATGGTAGTGGGTCAGTTACAGACAAGAACAGCCTTCTCTGCTAGCAGTTATTCACTTCTTATGTATTGCAGGTGAACTTTAGATGAAGGCAAGATGAAAACGAATTAATTTCTAGTAAGTTAGAAGAAGTAATCACATATTATTAGTAGAAAAGACAGGTTATAAAAACTTTATTTTCAAAGAAAATACCTTTAAGTCTATTTCACATAATTAAACATCTCAATGTATCTTGAAACAATTTTGAATTTTCTTACAAAAGAAAATCCTGAGGAAAAAAAACTGAGTGCAATCAACTAATGTAACTAATTATCCAAATTAGATTTTTACAGAAATTTCTAAAACTTCAGAACTTTACACCAAAGCAAAATAACATTCTAAATATACCTACTATTTTAGTTACATATTAATAAAAATAAATTAATTTCCAAGTATAATACATTAAAATTATATTATTTTTCTTGAATTATGAGACATATAAAGAAACTCATCAAAAATATGATGTAGAAAATAAGGTTTTGCAAGATGGACTTTTTTATTCAATTAGAAATTCAATCAGGGGCCAGGCATGGCGATTCACACATGTAATTCCAGTACTTTTGGAAGCCAAGGCAGGCAGAGTACTTGAGGTCTGAATATTGAGACAAGCATGACCAATATGGTAAAAACACATGAGGTGTGGTGGTGCACACCTGTAATCTCAGCTATTCAAGAAGCCGAGGAAGAATAAATACTTGAAGCTGGGAAGCAGGGTGCTGCAGTGTGCTAAGATTGCACCAGTGCACTCCAGCCAAAGAGGCAATGTGAGATATCATTCTAAAAATAAAAGAAAACAAATTCAATCAATTAAAAATTGAGATGTACTACTTATTTAACTTTTCAATGCAGTTTGTGACAACTCTGATTTTTAATTACAAAATGTTTTAAATAAAGTGTGCACACATTTCAAAGTTACTACAACCCCACATCCAGAAAAAAAAGTTTTATTTTTATTTAATTAATTTAATTTTGTTTTATATTAAGTTCCACAGTACATGCAGGACATCCTGGTTTATTTCACAAATGACAGAATGTTAGAACAGCAGCAAGTTAGAGAAAATGTCAGGATGGCAGAATAGCCAAAAGTTAGAGAAAAATGAGATCTCATATAAAATTTCAGCAATTTTTTTTTTAAGACAGAGCTTTGCTCTTGTCATACAGGCTGCAGTGCAATGGTGTGATCTCAGCTCACTGCAACCTCCACCTCCTGGATTTAAGCAATTTTCCTGCCTCAATATCCCAAGTAGCCGGGATTCCAGCTGTCCACCACCATGCCCACCTAATTTTTCTTTCTCTATGTGTGTGTGTGTGTGTGTGTGTGTGTGTGCGCGCGCGCGCGCGTGCGTGTGTGTAATTTTAGTGAAAAAGAGGTTTCACCCTATTGACCAGGCTGGTCTAGAACTCCTAACGTCAGGTGATCCTACTGCCTCAGCCTCCCAAGGTGCTGGGATTACAGGTGTGAACCACCCCTCCTGGCATCTGCAACATTTTAAAAAGTGGTTTTTAATTTATTCTTCAGAACTCTCTAGAATAGTAAATGTCAACAATTTAGATTCCATGAGACACAAACGTATTAGGGTATTTCAACCACAGAAAAATGATGTTACTATTGCATTTAACAGAAAATGCCAGAAATGCGCTCATCATCTTACAATGCCCAGCAAAAGTGCCTCCCAAACAGAAACTACATAAGTACAAAATGTCAAAGTCCAGGAATTAGAAATACTGTTTCATAAGCAAGCTTCATAATCTACTAAAAGAATGCTAATCTGAAGCCCAATGCCATGCTAGGCACCATGGTGGGTGCCTGTAATCCCAGCTGCTTGGGAGGCAGAGGTGCACTGAGCTGAGACCATGCCATTGCACTCCAGCATGGACTACAAAAGTGAAAGTCCGTCTTTAAAAAAAAATGCAGTATACATAAGATGGATCAGGTGGTTCAATGCAAATAATAATCTTTCAAATTTGATTTTGTAAAAATTTTGAAATATAATCATTTCCAAATAAGGTTAAAAAAATCCAAAATGTAGGACACTGAATTTTCAGTATTTCAAGAACTAAAAGAAGTAAGTCATTTAAACACAACCAGCTATGCTGCTTTTGCAATGGGATTTTAGGGGAGTCACTTTGTCAGATGAAATCCTCTGTGGCCAGTGGGGCCTTTCCCTGAGCTTTAATCAAGCCTGCTAAATTTGTTCTACCCACACTACCTGGCAGGCTACACCCAGCTGGAGTTACTGGAGTTATCACCTGCCAAGGGCAAACATGGATGAGTGGTGAGAGGTGTATGAGCAAGTGTGGCTTCCAGCCTCTAGACATGGTCAGTCATGCCAGCTGTGTCAGGTCAGGAAGTTTTAGGTGCCAACAGAACTGCTAGATCACTGAAAAGCTGCAACTGGGCCAGGCCTACTGCAAGCAGCCTCCACAGCTGATACTGGGGAATGTAGTGATGCCCAGAAGCTTGCAGATGCCAGAAAAGGCAAAGCCCCAAGGAAGGTGTGACAGCCCTCCCTGGCTTTGAGAGCTCCCTGGTCTGTGCGCCCTGAAGGGCCACAGCTCTCGTTTTATTTTTGTCTACCACAATGTGATAAGCAAGGGGAATGTTTTCTACCCGTTTGTGTTCCAGGTCATTCAGCCCTGCCATTCAGGTGATCTCATATTATTTTCCTGCATCCAGGAAAAATGAAGTTCATGCTGCCATGAGCCCTTCCACCTGTGTCTGTAGAGATAATCCCTGCGCTGGTTATGGCAACAGTGATGGCCTCCCCTAGAAGATGCTTGAGTATTCATTCTACTCAACACCTAGAATTATCTAGCCCTGGCTATAATCCTTGAAATCTTGGTTTTCATTTGGCTTGGTTATTGTAAAATCTTCACAACTTTTCTGTCATAAGAGACATTTAATATTTGTCTTATGGCAATCATTACGCTCGATGGGTATGCATAATGTAGTGTACCAATGCACATGTGTGCATCTGTATTCTGTATGCCTTCCAGTCGTATTCCGGATTAGCTCTATCCCAAAAGGCTTTGATTCAGTTTTCTCCATGGTATCTCAAAAATAGAGTGTGCCTAGGGTTTTATTTTGCTATATTAGCGTTTTACATAAATATTTAAAAATAATGGAAAAGAAAAGGGGAGAAAAAGGAAATATTTAGTTTACCTTTTTGTTTTTATTTGTTTTTTTGGAAACGGAGTCTCGCTCTGTTGCCCAGGCTGGAGTGCAGTGGCGCGATCTCAGCTTGCTGCAAACTCTGCCTCCCGGGTGTTCCCGCCATTCTGCCTCAGCTTCCGGAGGAGCTGGGACTACTGGCTCCCGCCACCATGTCCAGCTAATTTTTTTTCTTTTTTTTTTTTTTGTATTTTTAGTAGAGACGGGGTTTCACCAAGTTAGCCTGGATGGTCCCCATCTCCTGACCTGGTGATTGGACAGCCTTGGCCTCCCAAAGTGCTGGGATTACAGGCGTGAGCCACCGCACCCGGCCTATAGTTTAATTTCTAATTATTGATTAACTGAACTGACTTTACTTTACTAACGCTTACCCTAACTTGAATCAACTGAACTTTAAAAGAGCTTCTTAAAATCCTTCCGATTTACAGAAACCAGGGATTTTGAGTTAAGTGACTGTGAATATATAAAATCAAATTGTTCTAAAAGTGTGCTCCTATTTTTTTGTTTACAATTTTCTGGAGAGATGGTTCAATACTGTTAATTGCTCAAAGGTGCCTGACACTAGATTTTAAGATATTCAACAGCATTTCTAGCCTCTTGGCACTAGATGCTAGTAACAACCTTACCAATTCCACTTCCAGTCATGAACTTGGCTTAGAGTAAAACTCAAGTAAAATCTACTGACCTGTAGAAACCCTAGACAATCACATGGACTTTGTGTTACCCCCATGAGCTCATTGTCTGCAATCGTTTTCCTTCCACAGTCTGCTCCTTCCACAGTCTGCTCCATCCACAGTGACCTGGTCGTTTTTCAAACTGTTTATACAGGCTTCTGCCAGAGATCATCACACTTGTAGATCTTGCTGCATGCTTACATAATTATTCCCTTATTGTTTTATTTAGATATGTACTTGAAAGTCACTTTGGAAACAAATTATTTTATACTTTTTGTTTGTTTTTATTTTTTATTATACTTTAAGTTTTCGGGTACATGTGCACAACGTGCAGGTTTGTTACATATATACATGTTTTACATAAAACCAAGATGTACTACATAAGAGAATATTGCCCCTTGCCCTTTATACTAAATTGATAATATCAATTAATAGAAAGCAAACAACAAACTTCATACCGTAACCACTAAAACAAAAACCTAACAACTGGAAACATAAATTAAAAGTGTAACTTTCAATTTAAGTGTTTTAAACAACATTTTCATGGGACAAAAACATAGATCTCCTAAATAAAAATAAACTCTGAGATTACAAAACAATCAGTGCTTCCCAAATAAAAACGCAGGCAAAACTGCAGGCCTGGCAGCTTTGAACCATTCAAAGAAACATCACACCAATCAAACACTGTCTGAACCCTGTAAATCAATTGTTTGTATCAACCAAGGAATCCATCCAAAGAGACAATTTTAAAGTAGTAAATTTTTTTTAGATTGCCATACTGCCTCCCAGGCACAGATGAAGCCTTCAAAATTGAAATCCACATTTTCCATTTTAAACCCTGGTTCCTAATTCTGGGAGGAGTGAAGAAGCACTTGTGTGTTAATTTATTGTGTTTGTTCTAGTCTTTCTAGAAGATAAATAAACAATTGATGAAACATATTTATTACTGTTTTGCCAAACTCAGAAGTCACTCTTGGTTGAAAATGCCAGGAATTGGTCACAAACAAAATTTTAAGTTGTTGAAAGCAAAGAATACAGTTATTTCCTACAATAGACAATATAACAGATTTGTTAATACAGATCCAGTATTTAAAAAATAATAGTTTATATATCACTCTTATTCATAATGCTAATGGAATGTATTCAATGTATGGTTAACCTTTCTCTAAAAAAAAAAGAAATGCTATTACTATTACAATTCTGGCAAAGTTAGCTATTACTATTACAGCTCTGGTAGGCAGCTATTACATAAAAAATTACAAATTTACTTTAATGGACACTCAGTGTGTGCAGATAAAATCTGAGACAATAATATAAACTGAGAAAGAAAAGTACAAGAGCAGCATATATTTATATTGTTGAAATTAAAATTTAGATTATTCAAATAAGTTAATATTATTCAAAGAAGGCTCTATTAAGTTTAGAATACAATTAAAGTCCCAAATATAATGAATTATAACATAAAAATACAGAAAAAAGTTTTAAAAAGTTAACATTTTTTAATGGACAAAGGAGAAATTGAGGATCCAATAAAATAAAGAACATATAGAAAAAAAGTAAAATGTCAGAGTAATTTTTTACTTGTAATAACTTTAAATGTGAGCTCTTACATAAAAACACACAGACTGGCACAAATGCACCTTTAAAAGAACAATTCACTCGTGATTTCTATGCAAGTCTTACTTTAGGTTCAAAGAAACGAGATTGAAACTAAAATAATACAGTTTCTTGGAAAAGCATGACAACTTATTTTCAAACATAAAAAAAAAAAATTCTGGGCCAGTTCCAGTGGCTCTCAGAAAAAAAAAAATTCTGGAGATGAAAAATAAAACAATTGACATTAAAATTGACTAGAGGCCTGCAATTCCAGCACTTTGGGATGCCAAGGTACAGATCATAAGGTCAAGAAGTTGTGACTATCCAAGCCAACATGATGAAACCCCATCTTTACTAAAAACACACAAATTAGCTGGGTGTGGTGACACGTATCTATAGTTCCAGCTACTCAAGAGACTGAGGCAGGAGAATCAGTTGAACCCGAGAGGCAGAGGTTGCAGTGAGCCAAGATTGTGCACTGTACTCCAGCCTGGTGACAAAGCAAGACTCCATCTCAAAAAAAATTGTATAAATAACTAACTAAATAAGTACTACAGACATTTAAAAGGAGACTTGAGCATACAGAAGAAAATGTCACCAAATCGAATAAAAGGGGCAATTGAAATTATTAAGTCAGGAAGAGAAAAAATAAATAAATAAATGTGAAAACAGTCTAGAAACCAGTGTGACACCATCAAGCAGACCCACTTATCCATTTTGGAAGTTCAAGGAAAAGAAACAAAGAAATAGGGAGACTAAAAAAATGTGGTCAAACCTGTCACAAATTTAAGATAATAAATACCGAAGAAACTGAACAAACTCCAAGTAAAATAAACTCAAAGAGGCACATTCAAACATACATGATAGTTAAACTGTCTAAAATAAAGACAAAGAGAATCTTGAAAGCAGCCAAAGAAATTTTGACCAGTAATGTATGAAAGAACCCCTCATAAATAATCAAGGAATTTCTTATCTGAAAACTCAGGGTAGACTCATATATTCCAAATGCAGTAAGAAAAAAAAATTCAAACAAATGTTATGTTTAAACAAAGTGTCCATCAAAAATGAGGGAGAAATTATGAAATTCCTAAATAAAAGCCACATTCTTTTGCCAGTAGACAACCATTTAATAAATGCCTTATGTATTATTCCAGGGTAAAATGAAAGGACATCGAACAGCAGTACAAATAAACAAAGATTAAGGTAAAGATAAATATCCTGATGCAGAACAGACTGGAGAAGAGAACAGGTGCAAGATACACCCACTAATGTCTCAGGGGTCTGGCTCGGTTACTGCTTCCATGGTTACGGGCTCAGCTAACAAGGAAGGTACACTGGTATTAGCAATTCCATAAACAGCCAATGGAAGAAAAAAACATCCATACATTTGTTCCAAGCATGAGAGGGGGGAAAAGAGAGATTATTGATGATGAAAAAGACCAGCCTTTTATCAAAAGGATGTATTTAACCATAAGGCTAATAGAAAGTGCCAGTAGACTCAGAAACATTTTGGTGAGGGAAAATGATGGCTTTACCCAGAAAGTGCTATCAATGAGATTGACAGAGAACAACTCACTAAATATTGAAGTAATGAAAAAAAATCAAGAATGCTCTGTATAGGGCTGCTGCAGATGACAGGAAGCTTATGCTGCCTAGTGCAGATGGCTGCGTCCCTTGCTGAGGTCTTGATTTTGTTTGCATTTAAGAAATGACAGAAACAGAGAAAGCATTGAAAGAGTGGATACTGTAAAGAACATTGTGAATAGTTTCATTCAGTTTAAGAAGCCTATTGTTGTATCAGCCAATAGCCCAGCCATTTGACTAGATGCATCCATACTTCCTCTTTGTGATTTGGTTTAGGCTAACAAAAAGGCTTGGTTTTAAACTGCTTCTATGACCTTTGGACAGAGTCCAGGTTGCTGTTTTACCATTAAATTTCCCAAGATGATGGGTGAAGCATAGGCCAATGTAATGTTGATTGGTGGGAGAAAGCTGAAAGCATGGGAGGCATGTGCCAGAGACCTGGTCTCTCAGGTGTCTTGGACTGCAACTTTTCCCCCAAGTGGTTATGACTCAAATTAAGGACTTTGCCTCATATAATTCAGTTGTGCTAGAGAAAAGTAATGCCCTTATTTACTGTAAAGTTAAAGATGAAGTTAAAACAGGTCAATGAGAGAGTGTGGTGTGCCGAAAAAAATCTGAGTCTCAGCACAAGGAATAGAATCTGTGTTGATGTTAAGTGTGGGTTTCTGTGTTTCAGCCTTGTTTCTGTTACTAATCTTCAGGTTCTCCATTAAGTGGGTCTTGAATTCTTGATGCATATCCAGGGAGAATTATGTATGTGGAAAACAGGAGAATAATTAGGGTAAATAGATGCTTTATTGAGTGATGGCGCAGCTTTCAGGAGACAGAAAGTGGGTAAGTCCATTTCAAAAACAGGAAATACCTGCATCTCTGCAACACTCAGTGAAGACAGGGCCAAGAGAGACAAGATGAAGAAGCAGGTTGTTAAAACATCACTGAAGGCTTCAGTGGAGAGAAGTTTCAGAGTGGGTAGCGTCTATCTGCAGGAAGGTTGTTGAGATGTATCTGCAGCTTTAAGTTTGGAGAAGACATATCCATTTGCAGCCGTGCAATCCCAAGAAGTGTACAACTCACAGTGAAGAGGTGGCACATTGTTGGTAGATCCACTTTAAGTCAGGTTATTTCAAAGTCTGATGCAGGGCATGGTGGCTTTTGTCTATAATACCAGCAATTCAGGAGACCAAGGCAGATGGATCACTTGCAGTTGAAAGTTTGAGACCAGCCTGACAAACATGGAGAAACCGTGTCTCTAATAAAAATACAAAATTAGTTAGGTGTGATGGTGGATGCCTTTAATCTCAGCTACTCAGGAGCTGAGGTAGGATAATCGCTTCAACCTGGGAGGCGGAGGTTGTGTGAGTTGAGGTCAAACCATACTACTCCAGTCACGTCAACAAGAGTGAAACTCCGTCTCCAATAAATAAATAAACAAACATATATAAACAAACAAACAAATAAACAAATAATCTAAATACGTATGGAATGCATATGAACCTCAGAAGTCAGAAAGAGAGTGCTGATTAGTCGGGTGAAGATGGGTGAAAAAGATGTCTAACCCTAAATATAACCCCTATTACTAACACTAAAACACTAACAATAACCCTCAAGCCCTAACCCTAATCTCCACATAAACCCAACCTGAACCATTAACAAAACATATCCCTATCCATAAATATAACCCTACCGCAACCCATAACCCTAAACATACACCTACACCTACCCCTAACCCTAAATCTACCCCAAACCCTAAATCTACCCTTAAACATAACACTCAGAAAAACACTAACAGAAATACTAAACCAAACCCTAACTCTAACACTACCTCTAAACACTGAACCCTAACCCCTAACTCTAACTCTGACCCCTAAAGCTCCTTCAAACCTAACCCTAAAAGCACCCTTAACTCTAACCTGAAAATTAAAATTCTAACCTTAAAAACATAAGCATAACACATAACCAACATCCCTAATCCAAATTCCTACCCCAACCCTAATTCTAAAAATATGCTGACCATATCCCTAAACTTAATCCTGACACTAACCCTAACCCTAACTCTAACCCACAACCTCAAATGCAACTGCAACCATAGCTCTAACACTAAAACTTAAATGCTAACTATAATCACATATAATAAACCCAATCCCAACTGTAACCCTGAACTCTAACCCTAAAACTAAACCCACCCTAACGCTAACCCTAAAGCTTAACACTAGGCCAAACACTAACCCCTCATCCTAACCCTAAAGTGACCCTAACCCTAACCTAAATGCTAAACAATAACCCTAAAAATAACACTGCACCCTAAACACTAACCCTAATGCTAACCTGAAACCCTAAACCGAATCCTTATTCTTATCCTAACACAAACCCTAAACCCAAACCCTAACGCTAATGCACTAACCCTCTTACCCTAACCCTCACCGTCACCTTAACTCTCACCCTAAGCACTAACTCTAACCCTCACCATGAAGTTAAGCCAGAACCTAACCCTACACTAACAACAACCTCTAACTGTAGGCCTATTTCTTACCCTAAACCTAAACATAACCTGACCCTAAAACTAACATCTAATCTTGATTCTAACTGTAGCCCTAAACATAACACTAAACTTTAACCCTGTCCCTAATCCTAATCCTAATCATAACCCTAATCCTACCACAACACTGACCTCTAACCCAACCCCAGATCTAACCCTCAATCTAAACTTTTTTCTGCAATTGTAAACCCCTATTCCTAATCCCAAACTTCTATCCCATTCTTAATATTATCATATCACCCTTCAAAGAATTTTAAATATATCATCTATGACTCTAACCCCTAATGCCCATAAGAGTACACTTAACCTTACCTCTTAACTCCAATTGAAAATTGAATTAAACAGATGATGTCACTGGGACAAAACACTAAATGTTAACAAATATGATAATTAGAGACATTAGATTATGTAACCAAATAATAGTACATGGAATTAACTACACGAGGAAGACATTATGCACCTATGTGATTACGTTTTTTTTCTAGAAAATTGAGGCTTGTTTTAACATTCTGAAGCCATCCCTCTTCAATATACCATGTAAATTAAATGCTGGGAAAACAGTACATGTATATCTCAACTGTTACAGAAAATACTTAAAGTTAGTCAACATGTTTACTGATAACAACATCCAATAAACTGTGATTAAAATGTCTTTCACATGATAACACGTCTTTATACAAAACCCATAACAATCAGCGTCTGAATTGTTGGGAACAAAAGCTTTAAGATGAAGAACACAGCACTGATGCTCACTTTCATCATTGCATTTGATACTGTATTAGAAGTTCCATCCGAAATAATTGGAAAAGAAAAATATATATGAAGCCATTCATATGTCAAAAAATAAAATAAAACTACCTACTCATGGATCTCATGATCTCATATACAGAAAATCATAAGAAATCAACAAGAAATAATAAAATCTAATAAACAAATTAAACAAACATACAGTATATATATCAATACACTAAAATCTATTTGTATACACTAGCAATAAATGATATGAAAATGAAATTAACACAACAATTTTATTTGTAAAAACAACAAGCTGCATGTTCTCCAACTTCCCTTGAACACACAGGAGCAGGCAGCTGGGGTTGGGGGTGGCCTTGGAGTGGGGTCTGTGCTGCTTTATTGGGACCTGGGCTGCACTGTCCATGGGCTAAGCAGAAACTACTCAAGTTCCTGGGGAGTCAAAGTAGAAATACTTAAGTACATAATGGATGAAGAGTAGAAAATCTACAGTGGTTTTGAAAGCCCTCATGCCACGATGTCAAATGGATATCTTCAGAGTCATAAATTAATGATAAAAAGAGAACATGCATGAACATCAGCAACAGTGAAAGCCAGGGAGAGTGGCCCAGGTCATTTTGCTGAGAAGAAATGCATTGAGTTTAATTTGAGAGACGTCCCTTCACAAGTGCTGCTAAAGGCATACACATATTTTACCTAAATGTTTCACTGCGCCTACAGTTCCACAGAAATTCCTAAATTCCCATTTCACCTGAAACTGCAGTAGAACTGTTGATGGCTGTGAACTTTCTATATTGTATATAAATACAATTGATTTATAGGATAAAATAAATTAGAATAAACTCTTAAATTTTTTTTAGTGTTTAAGGCCTGTGGTTCAGTTCATATTTTTTATAGGTAGCACATTCCCTGTATGCAAGGTAACTATAAAATTAATCGCAGAAATCAAAACCACAATGAGATACCATCTCACACCAGTTAGAATGGCAATCATTGAAAAGTCAGGAAACAACAGGTGCTGGAGAGGATGTGGAGAAATAGGAACACTTTTACACTGTTGGTGGGACTGTAAACTAGTTCAACCATTGTGGAAGTCAGCGTGGCGATTCCTCAGGGATCTAGAACTAGAAATACCATTTGACCCAGCCATCCCATTACTGGGTATATACCCAAAAGACTATAAATCATGCTGCTATAAAGACACATGCACACATATGTTTATTGCGGCATTATTCACAATAGCAAAGACTTGGAACCAACCCAAATATCCAACAATGATAGACTGGATTAAGGAAATGTGGCACATATACACCATGGAATACTATACAGCCATAAGAAATGATGAGTTCATGTCCTTTGTAGGGACATGGATGAAATTGGAAATCATTGTTCTCAGTAAACTATCGCAAGAACAAAAAACCCAACACCGCATATTCTCACTCATAGGTCGGAATTGAACAATGAGATCACATGGACACAGGAAGGGGAACATCACACTCTGGGGACTGTTGTGGGGTGGGGGGAGGGGGGAGGGATAGCACTGGGAGATATATCTAATGCTAGATGATGAGTTAGTGGGTGCAGCGCACCAGCATGGCACATGTATACATATGTAACTAACCTGCACAATGTGCACATGTACCCTAAAACTTAAAGTATAGTAATAAAAGAAAAAAATTAATTGCAAAGAAGATTCTATTCTGTTTTTTTGCATAACAGAGTTGAAATTTATTTGTATTCTGAAAAAACTATGGACATTTTCACAAACAGAGAAATAAACAAATATGCCAATTCATAGGCGGTTTTGCCTTACCCCTTGAATATGACTTTAAAATGAGTAATGTTGACATAGAAAATGATGAAAATTAGACATATATAATTGCATAATATGCATGTTCATAACTTAGCCAAAAGATTGATTTTTATCTAACCCTAACATAAATGTTATATTAATGCCTGTAATCTCAGCACTTTTGGAGGCCAAGGCAGGCAGATAATGTGAGTCCAGGCATTTAAGACAGGTCCAGGCAACATGGCAAGTCTTTGTCTCTCTCAAAAAATACAAAAAGTTAGCCAGATATGATAACTGAAGCTAAGGCAGAAGATCAGTTGAGCTCAGCAGTTAGAGGCTGCAGTGAGCCATCATAGCACTTCTGCACTCCAGGCTGGGAAAAAGAATGAGACCCTGTCTCAAAATAAAAATAAAAGGAGAAGAAGAAGGAAAGGAATAAGAGTTGAAATTTTGTATGTCCTTTGATAAACCTCAGTAATGTTTAATATTGTCTTTTCATTTTGTTTATTGCTACAATTTAAGAAATTTACTTAAAAACACTTTTGGAAGGTTGCTGGGTACAATTTTTGAAGAAGCAACAGAACTATACCCAGATGGTCAACAGGTCAAATATATGACTTACAAGCAAAGCATCCTTGGCAACTTTAAAAACAGAAAGAAAAAAAAATCCATAAGGTTTGATGGGTTAGGTTATTTTCTATGTTTTTAGATTTAAGAAATCCCTTTTTTCTCTTAGATAATTATAATTTATAACACTTTAATAGGTTATACTTTTGTAAACAGAAATGAAACACTTGTTAAAAAAAATTAACTCTCCTGTCCCCCCACCAACCACAGCCATCTGAATGGACCCCTCCTTTTGATCAAGAGCATTCCAAAATTGCTTCACTTCCTGACAAGAAAGAGGGACACACATGCTTCATTACATACTATTCCCTTTTGAACTTTAGAAAAAGTTGACCACCACTAACAGCAACACATACCTTAAATCTGATAAGGAATATTTACCACCTATTTTCTCGAGCCTGCTACATGGAGGCTTCATCATCATAATAAAACTTTGGTCTCTACAGCCCTTATTATTTATTGTAACCCAGTCATTCCTGTCTATTGATTTTATGTTTTTAGATAATAATTTAACTCTTTCAGCCAACTGCCAATTAAAACATATTTATATCTACCTGTAACTTGAAAGCCCAGCCCCACACCATCACTATTTTCAAGTTGTCCATCCTTCCTGGACCAAACCAATGTACATCTTACATGTGTTTGATTGATGTCTCAGGTCTCTCTAAAATGCATAAATGTAGGCTGTGAACATACCACCTGGGGCACATGTTCTCAGGATCTCCTGAGTAGGGATGTGTCATGGACCATTTGTCACTCATATCTGGATCAGAATTCTTCAACTAATTTTATGGCATAATATCAAAGTTTGATATTGTTAGTATATCTCAGCTAATGTAGGATGTCAATATGTATAAAGCAGACATTTACATTACCATTACAAATGCACTCTCAGTTAAACTGTGACTGTCTCAGGAAAAGAAAAAATGTTGCTAACCAGGCATATATCATATATTTAAACTTACATAATAATTCAAGTTCTAATATGCCTACTTAAAAAATGTTTCTATATTGTTTCAACTACTTTAGTTCTCTAAGAAAAATGAGTTATTAAAGCATGAAAAAAAGTGTTGTTGGAGGTTGCGATGTCTCCCCTGGCCTCAGCCCATCGTGGTTCCACTCAGCGCCTCTCCTTTCTCTGTACCAGAATCTCTGCCAGAAACAAGCCCAGATCATCTGCAAACCACACTTTGGTAGCTGTGACAATGCGTGGTCACTGCCTCACTCAAGGGACACTTTTGTAAGGTCAGAATTGGAGGCCAGGGCTGGGAAGTAAGGCCCAGGGCAGTGCCCCTCCTCAGTTCTGGGTGCTGCAGACAGGGTGTCTTTTCCTCACTTGGCCGCCAGATGTCTCAATGCCATGTACTCTCCTGGGAGGGTCCTGAGGAGACGTCTTTATTCTCACCCTGGTCGTAGCACCAGGTGACTTGTAGCAACGGCCACTCCTGGACATGTCCAGAAGAGAAGGAGGTTTTATCCTCATGGTGGACCCGACCCCAGGTGTCCCAAAGCCGCGGCCACTCTTGGGCGGGTCCTGAGATGAAGTAGGCTTAGTCTTCTTCATGAACGTGGCCACAGATGTCCCCAAGTGCCCTGAAACCACGGCCTCTCTCGAGTGTCCTGAGAAGGAAGCTCTGTCCGAGGCACTGTGAAGATAACCTGCTTCTCAGAGAGTTGGTTTGCAGGCTCAGTGCATCAGCTCCGTGCACCCTCTGGTGGTAGCCTTGGAAAATCTCTGAAATTTGGGGTGGGTTAATCCAGGCGGTCATCTCACGAAGTGGAAGTGAGATACAGCCAACCTTCCCATATCTAGAATGGAGATAAAAGGAAGCAAAGAAGACGGTCAATATACAAAACTCAATTGATTTTCTCTATATCAGCAATAATGAATATAAATAATTGGATTTTGAAATATTAAAACACCATTTACAATACTACCCGCAAAATTGAATCCATTAAGTATAACTGTAACAAAATATGCAGAATTCATTCAGAAAACAATGAGTCACCATTGGGAGAAATCAAAGGAAATGTTAGCAAATGCAGACAGGCTAGGCACGTTGTCACACGCCTGTAATCCCAGCACCTCGGGAGTCTGCAGCAGGCAGATACCTTGAGCCCATGAATTGGAGACCACCCTGGGGAACATGGTGAAAGCCCATCTCTGCCCAAAATACAAAAAAAATAAGCTGAGCTTGGTGGTGCATGCCTGTGGTCCCAGCTACTTGGGTCGTTGAAGTGGGAGAATCTGTGAGCTGAGATCATGCCACCGCACACCAACCTGGGTGACACAACTCCTTCTCACAAAGTAAATAAATAGATGTTTCTTGTTCTGGAGAAGCACATTTATTATTATTTCAGCTATATTCCAATCAAATTCCAGGTAAATATATCAACAACTCTTCCTAAACCTAGAATAGATGAAATAAGACTGAAGAAGTGCAATGCCAGATGTGATATGAATACTTACACTAAAGCTAATGTAATAAACAAGAGTGTGTCATTCATGATTTAATAGACAAGCAGATAAGTGGAACAGAATAGTCAGCCCCAAAACAGGCCCAAGTCAAATGATTTTGTCGAAAATGCAAAGAATGTCCTTTGGAAACAATAAGTCTCTTTCACAAGTGGCAAGAAAACAGCTGGAAACTATACGGAAACAAATGAACATAGACACAAATTTTACAGTTAAAAAAATTAGTCAAAAATACCCACACATTAAATTTTTTCAGTGCAAAGTTGTAATTGGAAAATATCTTCATGAGCTTGGGTTTAGTGATGAGTTATTATCAAGTCCATGAAAGAAAAAAAAACGGATAATATGAACTTTATTGAAAGTTGAAATGTCTACTCTGTAAAACACTCTGTTACCATTGGGCATGGCAGTTCAAGCTTGTAATCTCAGCACTTTTGGAGGTCGAAGCGGCCAGATCACCTGAGGACAGGGATTCCAGATCAGCATGGTAAACACGGTGAAACCCCGTCTCTAGGAAAAATTCAAAAATTTAACTGTGAGTTCTGGCGTGCACCTGTAATCCTAGCTGCTCAGGAGTCTGAGCCAGGAGTTTGAATCCCTTGAACTTGGGCGGTGGGGATTGCGGTAAGGCCATATAGGGTCATTGCACCCCAGCCTGGGTGACAAAATGAGACTCCACCTCCAGCTACTCGGGAGGCTGAGGCAGGAGAATGGCGTGAACCCGGGAGGCGGAGCTTGCAATGAGCCAGGATCGCGCCACTGCACTCCAGCCTAGGTGACAGAGTGAGACCCCGTTTCAGAAAAAAAAAAAAAAGAACCAAAGAACCAGCCACAGCCATAGATAGAAAAATTTAGCAAACTTATCTGAAAAGTGACTTGTATGCACAACATATGCAGAAACTCTAAAACTCAAAAAGATAAGCAACCCAATTCCAAGGTAAAAACCTGAGTAGATACATCACTAAGGAAGATACAGAGATGGAAAACAGGCAGACACACCAAACACTGCTTGCGGAAAGCCTGCTGCTTCTGCTGAAGGCTGACTCTAAGCCGTCCCATGGGGAGCAGCAGTGGCTGCCAGAGCGGCAAGTGGCTCCAGAGACCGCCCCCACCTACCCCACCTCCGCTCTTCCTCCAAGGTCCAAGGGTCCTGAAGGCACTAGGCATACTCTCCTAGAAAGAGCCGGAAGCTGGATACTTTATTTCTCGGCTTTCCTTAAAGTTCTGGAAGCTGCCAAGTATCCTTAAGTTGGAAGTTTTATTTTTTTCCTAAGCACCTTGAGGCACTGAGAAGCATTAGGAGAGTTGGTTTTTAACTCACACTTGTCTTCATAAAGAGATAAAAGAATTTGCTCCAACCCCTTTGTATTAAGTTGTTTTAAAATGTTTGGGTCAATATGTTGTTATTTTGCTTTCCTCCAGACACGAAACACAGAAAAAGCATTAAGTAAAAACCGAATAGGGAGTCATCATAAATTCATGGATACTATTTAGTTTTTCATTAAACCTGCCTTTTTTTATTGTAATTTAAATTCTAGGATACATGTGCAGAACAGGCAGTTTTGTTACATAGGTGTACATGTGCCACGGTGGTTTGCTGCACCCATCAACCCATCATGTAAGTTTTAAGCCCTGAATGCATTAGGTATTTGTCCTAATGATCTCCTTCCACTTACCCCCTACTCCCTGACAGGCCCCATTGTGTCCTCATTGTTCCATTCCCACTTATGCATGAGAATAGGTAGTGTTTGCTTTTCTGTTCCTGTGTTAGCTTGCTGAGAATGACGGTTTCCACTTCATTCATGTCTCTGAAAAGGACATGAACTTATTCATTTTTGTGGCTGCATAGTATTCCATCGTGTATATGTGCCACATTTTCTTTATCCAGTCTATAATTGATGGGCATCTGGGTTTGTGCCATGTCTTTTTTGTGTGTAAATAGTGCTGCAATAAGCAGCACTAGCAGCAATAAGCAGTTTCCTTAGAGTAGAATGATTTACAATACTCTGGGTGTATACCACATAATGGGATTGCTGGGTCAAATGGTATTTCTGGTTATAGATCCTTGAGGAATCACCACACTGTCTTCCACAGTGATTGAACTAATTTATACTCCCACCAGCAGCATAGAGCATTCCTTTTTCTCCACATCTTCGCCAGCATCTGTGGTTTCCTGACTTTTTAATGGTCACCATTCTGACCGATGTGAGACAGTATCTCATTGTGGTTTTGATGTGCATTTCTCTAATGCTCAGTGATGCTGAGCTTTTTTTATATATATTTGTTGGCTGATTAAATGTCTTCTTTTGAGAAGTGTCTGTTGATATCCTTTACCACTTTTTGTTGGGGTTTGTTTTTTATTTTCTTATAAAATTTTTTAAGTTCCTTGTAGCTTTTGGATATTAGACCTTTGTCAGATAGATAGGATGAAAAAATGTTTTCACATTCTGTATGTTGCCTGTTCACTCTGACGATATTTTCTTTTGCTGTGGAGAAGCTCCTTAGATTAATTAGGTCCCATTTGTCAATTTCGGATTTTGTTGCAATTGTTTTTTGGTCTTTTTGTCATGAAGTTTTTGCCCATGCCTATATCCTGAATGGTATTGCCTAGATTTTCTTCTAGGGTTTTTAGGGTTTTAGGTTTTACATTTAAGTCTTTTAATTCATCTTGAGTTAAGTTTTGTATGTGATGTAAGAAAGGGATTCAGTTTCAGGTTTCTGCATATGGCTCGCCAGTTTTCCCAGACCAGGGAATCCTTCCCTAGTTGCTTGTTTTTGTCAGGCTTGTCAAAGATCAGATCACTGTAGATGTGTGAATTACTTTAAGCAGTATGGTCATTTTAGGATAGAGCAGGATTTCAATCCCAGCTTTTTTTTTTTTTTTACTTTCCATTTGCTTTGTAAATATTCCTCCATCCTTTTATTTTGAGCCTATGTGTGTCTTCACCCATGATATCAGTCTCCTGAATACAGCACACCAAAGGGTCTTGATTCTATCCAATTTGTCAGTCTGTGCACTTTAATTGGCAAATTTAGTTCACTTACATTTAAGGTTAATATTTGTACGGGTCAATTTGATCCTGGCATGGCAATACTAGCTGGTTATTTTGCATATTAATTGATCCACTTTCTTCATAGTGTTGTTGGTCTTTATATTTTGCTACTTTTTTTAGTGATGAATACTGGTTTTGTTTTGTGTTGTTTTGTTTTCTGAGACAGAGTCTCGCTTTATTGGCCAGTATGGAGTGCAGTGCTGCGATGTCAGCTCACTGCAAGCTCCAACTCCCAGGTTCCTGCCATTCTCCTGCCTCAGCCTCCTGAGTCCAAGTACCTTTGACTACAGGCACCCGCCACCATGCCCAGCTAATTTTTTGTATTTTTAGTAGAAATGGGGTTTCACCATATTAGACAGGATGGCCTTTTACCTTTAGTTAAATAAGTTAGAGTAGAAACAAAGGAATGCGGGGTGTTTACCTAAGTAGCTTGCTTAGTCATGTGGTCCTAAGACTAATATTTGACTTAGCACAGTGCTAAATTGCTTTCTAACTGGGAAGTCCACACTGTCAATTACCCTTTAGTGGTGTTAACTAGAGCCTTGGTCAATTAATCCTTACTGAATAAATGCAAGTCTCACTAGCTGGCTGGGGCCACAGTCAAAACTGTTTGCAATAATTTGCCTGTAGTCTGTAAGCAGCTTGATGTTCAGCTGGACTGGCAAAGCATAATATCTGTGTGCTTTATTCATCCATTTATTCATTGTAGAAATCATGAATTAAAAAAATAACAGGATAAATGCGACAATATGTACTAGCATATTTTTTTCTTTCTTTTTTTTTAGTTTTTACTAAGTAGAGCTTAGAATATGATCGGTTTTCTGTGGCACAGCAC
Source organism: Homo sapiens (assembly GCF_000001405.40). Taxonomy (NCBI): domain Eukaryota; kingdom Metazoa; phylum Chordata; class Mammalia; order Primates; family Hominidae; genus Homo; species Homo sapiens. The sequence continues at coordinate 22,077,137 of NC_000024.10, forward strand.
ATGCCTGCTTCTTTTGGCAGCAATTATAGAATAATGAGAAAACAATAATAACAAAAAGTGCCAGTCTGAAGAGATCATGTATTTTATGATCATATTTCTATGACATTATAGAAATGTCTACAGAGAAGGTAAGCAGACCTGTGATGTACAGTGGTTTGTAGGGGAAAGAGAGTGAGTTGAATAGGGGAATAGGATGTTGGAAAGGGGGTACAAATGGGCCAGTTAGACTTAGACTGCCTCTGGTTCGTGAGGTCATGCTTGGTGTGTGGAAGAGCCAGGAGTGTGTAGTACAAGCATGATAAGAAGGTTTCTACTCAGCCAGATGTGGTGGCTCACCACATCTGCAGTCCCACCACTTTGGGAGGCTGAGTTGGGTGGATCACTAGGTCACGAGGTTGAGACCATCATGGCTAACACGGTGACACCCTACCTCTACTAAAAATACAAAAATTAGCCAGGCATGGTGGTGGGCACCTTTAGTCCCAGCTACTCAGGAGGCTGATGAAGGAGAATGGCATGAATATGGGAGTTGGAGCTTGCAGTGAGCAGAGACCACACCACTGCACACCAACCTAGGCCACAAAGGAAGACTCTGTTTCAAAACAAAAACAAACACAAAACAACAACAGCAACAAAAAACAAAGGCTTCTACTCACTCTAGGAGAGAGAAGGGTCCTCTTCTTTCCACATGGAACTATCTCAGGACTAGTTCTCAGGAAGCCTTTTTGGTATGTGGTAAAAGAAACGTAACATAAATTTACCAATCTAAACATTTGTAGGTGTACAGGTAAGTGGCATTATGTATGTTCATGTTACTGTGCAACCATCACCACCATTTCACATTCTCACCAGCAATGCACAAGGGTTCCATTTTCTCCACATACTCCCCAACTCTCCCTTTTTCAAAAAAAAAAAAAAAGACATTCTAGTGGGTTTAAGGTGATAATCTCATTGTGATTTAGATATCCATTTACCTAATGGCTAATGATGTCGAACATATCTTTCTGCGCTTATTGGCACTGAACTTGTTAATGGTTTCCTGGGTATGACAGAGAATGCACAGAAAACAAAAGAAAAAATAGATAAATTGAACTTCATTAAAACTAAAATCTTTCATGCTTCAAAGGGCACTATCAGGATGGTCAATAGAAAACCAACAGCATAGGACAAAATATTTTCAAGTCATATATAAGGGTAAGGGCCTAGTATCCAGGATATAGGAGAAATTCTTACAACTCAAGAACAAAAAGACAATCAACCCAATTAAAAAAATGATAGAGAAATTGAAAATACTTTTCTCCAAAGATACACACACACACAAAAACACATAAAAATTAGCTCAACATCACTTATTTCAGGGAAATGCAGATCAAAACCACAAGAAGACACCACTTTTCACCCATTGTAATTATTATTATTTAAAAACCATGAACGAACAAGGGTTGACGTGGAAGTGGAGAAAAACAAAAGTAAAATAGTTCATCTGCTGTGGAAAATAGTTTGGTGTTTCTGCAAAAAGCTAAACATGGAACCATCATAGAAACCAGCAAATCCCCCCCACCTCAGGTATATACACAAAAAATATAAAGCAGGTATTCAAACAAAACTGTGTGTGCACATATACTCATGGAAGAATTATTCACAATAACTAAAATGTGGAAACAAACCAAATGTCCACAAACAAATAATAGGAAAACAAAATGTAGTATACCTATACAATGGCATAATATCTAGCCATAAAAAGATTGAGACACTCATACTACAATGTGAAGATACTGCAAAACCATTGTGTTTAAAGAAGCTAAGCACAAAAGTCACATAGTGTATGATTTTATGTATATAAATGTCCAGAATAAGTAATTTCATAGAGAAAGAAAGCAGATTTGCTAATTGTCAGGGGTCAGAAAGAGGACAGATTGGGTAGTAGTTCCTTAATAGGTAGGGGATTTACTTCAGTAAAAAATATCCTATCCCCAGTATTCCAACAGCAGGCTGAGCTCTCATTCCATGGTGTCCCCTTAACCTGGGGTTCAAGTCCCCCCACAGTCCGGAAGTGCCTGGGGCCTGAGCAGGCACATTCTGGACACATACTCCAGCCATTGTGTCCACCAGCTCCTAGACCTGTTACCAGTGAAAAGTATCTGAGTTACTGGCAGCAAATCCGTCCGGGTCTTTAGCAATATCAATTCTTGCCTCCTCAGGTGAAAGAATTCAACTGGTGGGCATAAAGAAGGAAGAAGGAAGAAAATGCCATGGCAAGTTTCACAGCAGGAGTGGACGTTTATTAAAAAGCTTTAGAGCAGGAAAGAATGAAAATTGCACTCGAAAGAGATCCAAATGGGTGACTTGAAGAAGTGTGGCCATTAACCTTCCTTCTGGGACATTTTAGGCTGGCCTACCGCCAGCATCTGGTGCACCCTTTCCCATGATTCTTCCCCTAGCATGGGCTGCCCACAGGCACAGTGCCCTCGTTACCCTTGGGAAGTAAGTATAGACAGTGTGTTTAAGCAGTTATATGTATGCCCATCTGAGGCTTCCTCCCTTTTATTGGTGGGGTGACCCCAGAAAGTCATACTCCACCATTTTGTCTCTTAATGTGCACTCCTGGGTTCAGTCATCCAATGTCTGAGATTTTATGGGACGCCCTTTTTCCTCCTCTCTGGCATGTGAGTTTAATTAACACTTTAATGTTACCAGCTGTGTATCAGGCTATCCCTGGCCCCAGCCGCTAAATTATTATTTTTAGAGAAGCAATATGATAACTGTCCAACCATCACCCGATGGCCTGACATTCCTGGTATGCGGATGTGGAGAACCCGCTCTTGCCCCACTCATGACTGTTTAACCAACTGTAACAAACCCACGGGCCAATTTCACTTCCAGGTCAGTTTTTCTCTGCTGCCTTTCCGGACACCCAGTGATCAGTGATGCCTCCTCAGGGTTTACAAGGTCTTCAGTATCATGCTCTATTTTGATCCAGACCTCAGCACATAATATCCATGGGTTGTTCCATTTCAATAAAGGGAAATTAACATTTTCTGATCACAAGTGCATGCAGGTGTCTTACTCAGGTGAACTCACAGCAACTCTGCAAAGTATGGGTAGTCCCACATGTAGAGAAAAATGCCAGGATCCAGTGACTGAGTGACTCACTTTCAATCACACAGCTTCCAAGTAACTTCATACTCACATTCCAGCCCATGGCCTGGTCTCCAGTTGTCATTTAGAAAAGGTTTGCGAGTACTTGAACATATGCCCAGGCCACACCCAGACTTATTTGTAACAACAAAGATGAGCTCCAGGGACAATGGTTGACAAGACCCACCCAGTCATCTTTCTTCCATTCAGAGCCATTGTAGTACTCGATACTCATCAGAAACAGTCTCTTATCCCAAAGCCCTCTCATACATAGGGTGTATCAATGGGAATGGGTCACACATGGGGCACAAAGGGCAAATTTAGTGAGGGAATCAGAGCCAGCACATAAAGAAGGAGCTGGTGATTCCAAGTGTAAAGAAAGGCGGTATGCTAAGAAGTTATTGCCCTGGAGGGTGAAGGATACAAGAGGTTTGTATGACTAAATCAGAGGGAGCAAGAGAGAAAGCAGGCAATGGACCAAACACTTAGCACAAGGGACAGTGATTCCTTAACAAGGTCGATGCAGACCTACCATGACATGATGTGGCCACTGCACTCCTAGGAATGAACCATGAGAAATGAAGGCAAGCTCACAGGCTACATACATAAATAAATATTCATGACATCCTTACACATAATGGTCCCAAACCAGGAGCCCAAATGCCCATACACAGAAGAAGGGTGAACAAGCTGTGGCACATCTATACAATGGCATGTGGCTCAGCATGAAAAGGAATGGACTGTTGATGCACTCAGAACAGAGTGACTCTGAAAGTAGTTCTGCTGAATAAAAGAAGCCAGATCAGAACGACGCACAAAGACCCAAGTACATACTGTATTTACCTGTAATTCTATAAAATACCCACAAGTTTTTAGTGAAAGAAGCAGATCTGTGGTCCTAGGGTGGCCAGGGAGTGATCGTTATTGATGGGAGGAAGATGTGTTTTCATGACCTTCATCACACTTCTGGCCTTGCGGTGAATGAAATACTCACATGGAGAAACCATCAGTTCTTCCATCTACACAGGTGCAGTTTACCATATGCCAATCACATGCCAACAAAGCTGTTTTTAAATAAGCAATCATGATCCAGAGCAAGGAATAAGGTTGGGCAGGAGACCTGATGAGGCAGATTGTTTTCTTTTCCTAATCTATAAGGCTGCACACTGAAATTAAGTTGGCCCTGAGCTCAGACACTGAACAGGCCTTTGGGAAAGGCTCACACAGTCCTTCCTCCTGAACAGAAGAGTGACCACCTAACACAATACCCAGCTGCCCCTCAGGAACTTTATATGTCAATGTGACCTTCCCATCCTTGTGTCTGTTTTCTGCAATTTCCTCTTTCAGGCAGAAGCCAATGTGGCCTCTGATGTAGAGGAAATAATGTTAAAGTTCTAATATGGACATTCTGGTTCCATCATAGTAGAGAAACGGGTTGCATCTTCTCTCTTCACGACAAAGAGAAGGGAAAAGCCATGAGAACAATGTCCACAGTTGTGTGATCAGGTTGCAAGTGGAGGAAGAACATCGCCATGCCAAGGAAGCAGCAGGGCAACTGAAGGTGAAGGTTTCTGCAGAGGAAAGAAGGAAGCTTAGGGATTCCCAGAGGAAATCATCCTTCCCATTTGTAGGCCCCTGGTTTGAAGGCCAGTTCCTCTTGTCCCAATGTGAAATGAGCGTGTGACAATCCCCATTTCAGCCTTAATGCTAATTACAGAGGCAAACGTGAGAGACCAACAGTTTTTAAAAAATGCAAACAAACAAAAAAAACAAACAAAGGCAAATATGATCAACAGACAACTCACCTCCAGAGAAATGAGTCTTTAAGATCCTTCTTCCTTCTGGCCTCAAGACCTCTGTTCAAGGAAAGTTCAGAACACATGCTCCCCGTAGTCTCAGAGAAGTATAAAATATTGCATCCCTGAAAAATAACAAAATTTAGGAAGATAATAGGAAAATTCAGAGATTAGGAACAACAGCTTGAAATTCTCTTAAAATGTGTAACTCTCAAAAATTGGAAGACAGAATCTAAAAAATATTTCAAAACCACATACAATTAACAAAATAAACCTAAGAAAAGTGGTTAGCTCTCTGGGAGATTTGTCCCATAGTTGCAGTAGCGAAATAGCATTTGACATGTAAAAACCCAGGGAGGCAGTTATAAAAGCTCTGGGAATGACAGCTCCACCCCAGGCCTAGAGAGATGTTGGTGGGATAGGAACAGGAAAACGGAAGGTGTCCACCAGTGATTTTTCAGGTGGGAGGTTAGAAATGAGGGAAGATGATAAGGATGTGATAAAAGGAGATTTAATTTGAATTTTAATTTAGTTCCAACTTAATTTAATTTAATTTTAAATTTAATTTAATTTTAATTTAATTTAATTTTAAATAGAAAGAAAGAAGAAAAGGCAATTAGAAACTCCAAGAAAAGAGAAAGCTAAAGAAAAAATATGTATATACCTATAGAATACCAAGAAATGTAGGTGAATTCAAAGTGCCAATATACTTCCTACAAGAAGAAAGTCACAAGATTCTATTGCATTGGATTGAAAAAATATATACATAAATATACATATACTCTACAGTTACTTTCAACATCAATGATAACTAAGAAAGAAACTAAAATCATGATATTTCTATCATTGGGTGAGGGTGGAGGAAAGGTCAGAAGTCTAAGAAACTCAGCCTTCCTCTGTTGTACCAGGTGTTAACAGGTAATTCAGGGGACTAGGGTTAGGTGCACATGGTGGCAGTTCCTTCTGAGTTACCCTTGCCTCATCTCTGTATTTTTCAGTCATGTGCATATATTTTTATTTTCAAAATAAAATATATGGGAAGTAATTTGTGGTGTCAGAGACTCTAGGAAGATTCTCTGTTCCAGGGTACGGGTTCCACATCTAATTAAACACCACAGATTCCAGCAGAAAATCCTAGCTCTACCCACACTTCCACTCCCTCAAACAAGACTCAAGTAATCACCACATCCAGCTCAAAAACTCAAGATCTGTCCAAAGCAGATCCACGTGTAGCCATCAGCAAGGGTATCAATAGACACAGCCACAGAGGTGTCTGCAGTGCATCATGAAGTCCAGCCGCTAGCAGTAGACCAACTGCACAGTCTGGAAGGAAATTTTCTTGGAGGATGCCAATGCTAGAGGAACCAGCCATGATGCAGGTGCAGCCATAGAGGGGTCCATCATGTTACTGCAAGCAGCCAGAGGGCAGAGGTAATGAGCAGGAAAGATGAGGGGGAGGGTGGCGACATCATGGTTGGGCCCCTACTGGTACATGTTGCCACCCTGCAGTGGCCTGTGGGAAACAGAGAACACCGTATTTTGGTGGGCAGAGGCTCTCTCAGGCCAGAGCAGTAGGACCTGGAAAGAAACTGAAGCCAAGCTCAGGAATGTGGGTTCCTGTTTCAATTTGGCTACTGGTGGCTGTGGACCCCAGGATATAACAAATTACATGCCTTTACCGTTTTCCCTGTGGCTGCAAAGACTTGGGTCAGGCTCTGAATTACCTGGCCCCCTTGAGGCGCTTAATAAAGCTTATTACTGGAAACTGATAATATATTAGCACTTTATTTACAATGACCTTCAATGAAGTGTTGTTCTCCAGTATTGAAAATAGGAAAACAATTATCAAGAGCTTAATAGTTATGGGATTAAATGATGGTTGATCCTCAAGAACTATTAGGCAGCACTTGATAATAAAGCATTGGTATTTCATGAATGCTCACTGTGTCTCAATTGTACTCTTAGGCTTTTGACAACCAGCCTGACTTAAGCTTTGCAAAAATCCCCATGGCAGATCCTGGCACCATCTCTATTTTACAGGTGAAAGGTCACATGAACCTGCTTAGGGACACATACCTGGGCAGGGCAGGATCTAAATGGAAGCAGGCCCAAGAGGTGTCAAGAAAGATGCTAATATCCTAATGGTATGTGGAAAGGAGGAGCAAATGTGCACATGGTGTGAAGGCCAGACAAGATTTAGGACAGCCCTAAATGTAGAACAGATCCACAGCAGGCCAGCCTCCAGTTTTCTTATTCTTAAATGATCCTCCTCATCAAGTAAAGATCACAGAGTGCAGGGAGGCTGCTCAAAAAAGTACTGATATGTAGCAGAAACATGAGAAAAGCAAAAGAAACAAAATACTAAAAATAAACACACCACAATGACAGCTGAGTTTGTCTTTAGGTGGCCGGCCTACAAGTGTCTTTTTCTAAGTCTGTTTTCACCATTCTCCAAAATAGACATAAATTTAGGTAATGTGTCCAGCTGCAGGAACAAGTGTTGGGTCAGAGGAAACTGCTTCCCAAACCTGGCCCCTGACCCAGGCTCCTTGCTGGCAGCTTCCCCTTCCCTGTGGTCTGTCCTGATCCCAGTGACAGGGCACTATCATCCCTACACATATTCCATGTCCTAGTCCCCACTAAAATGTAGAGGGGTACTGAACAGGTGAGATGTTCTCATGGCCCATATGATGACAGTACCTGGCAGTCAGTGCCATTCAAATTGTCTTGTCTCCAGGAAAGTAGAAAGCCAAGCCCAGTGGCTCCCATTGTCCTTGAGTGGTCTCTTGGGATTGTTGAGGCCCATTTTATTCATGTCTCTCTAAAAGAGATAAGATGGGAGAAGAGGTTTTGTGGGACTCTGAGGTACATCCTTCTTCCCAGCAGGTAAAGCAAGCCTGCTGGCTGGAAAATGCTGTTACCACAGGGGCACCCCAATATTCTTTGTTCATCTCTGGCCCTATCTTTGGTCTAAACCAACAACCCATAATTACTAACTGTGGGAAACAAAGTTTCTGGGGTGCCAATTAAGTTGGTCTCCCCTGTATGAGACACCCATGGGGAGCCATGGGCAGCCTCTGAGAAGAAAAATCTCCTTATTACCTTCATGTATTTATGCCCCCAGAGCATAACCACTCAGCGGCATTCCACTGGTTGCTCAGGAAGATAACGTTCCCTTGAAGCAGTGGAATATAATAAAACATCTTGGCTCCTCCTGAAACCCACTCCCACCCATTTCAGTCATGATAAGTTGAAGATCTTAAGTAGTTTAGACACATGCCTTTGCTCAAGGAAATTCACAGAAACCACCAGTGCTATACATCTTATTGAATGGCTGATGAGTTCTCCTTCACTGCTTAATCCTTTTCCTTATTCCTTCCTCCCCCTCCCATCTCCTTAAGGACAAAGAATTTGTAAACCAATAAATTGGGTGGAGCCTGAGAGCTCCAGGCCATGAGCAAGTCTCCAATGCTCTGGTGCCCTGGACCTACCTTTTAAGTGCTTATTCTGTCTCTTTCTAACACCTTTGTCTCCTCCAGATTCGGGGTACCCACTGGGTCTTATGTGGCTGGTTTCCCCAACACTAACCTGGGACATTCCAAATCTTGGTGCTTGTGTTGTCTCTCAAATCAACTCACCAAGCCCTCCTCAGAAAACGCAATGCCCTTTTCTGCAGCCAAAGACCTCATTATGCCACACAGTGACCTTGAAATGCAGAGGGGCAGCCACAACCCCACTTGGGCCTGTTCTGAACCTGAGATCTCTGGTTTCAGTGATCTCACAGCCAGTTGATTGAAAGGGACAGGGAAGTGTGTGGAGGAAGCACTCTCCACACCACTGCACTGCAGCCTGGACAACAGAATGAGACCCCATCTCAAAAAAAAAAAAAAAAAAAAACCTTTAAAAATGCATCCTATTTTTTTCTGAGGGTGTTCCAAGATGGCCAAATAGGAACAGCTCCAGTCTGCAGCTCCCAGCATGATCAATGCAGAAGATCAGTGATTTCTGCATTTCCCACTGAGGTATCTGGTTCATCTCATTGGGAATGGCAGGGCAGTGGGTGCAGCCCACAGTGAATGAGCTGAAGCAGGGCAGGGCATCACCCCTCCTGTGAAGTGCAAGCAGTCGGGGAATTTCCCTTTCCTAGCCAAGGGAAGCTGTGACAGACTACCTGGAAAAACGGAGCACTCCTGCCCAAATACTGCACTTTACCCAAGGTCTTAGCATCCAGCAGACAAAGTAATTCTCTCCCATGCCTAGCTTGGTGGGTCCCATGCCTGGCTTGGTGGGTCCCATGCCCACAGAGCCTTGCTCACTGCTAGCGCAGCAGTCTGAGATCAAGCTCTGATGTGGCAGCCTGGCTGGTAGAAAGGCGTTCACAATTGCTAAGTCTTGAGCAGGTAAACAAAGCACCCAGGAAGCTAAAACTGGGTGGAGCCCACCACAGCTCAACAAGGCCTACTGCCTGTAGACTACACCTCTGTGGGCAGGGCACAGTTGAACTAAAGGCAGCAGACAACTTTGGCAGACTTAAATGTCCCTGTCTGACAGCTCTGAAGAGAGCAGTGGTTCTCCTAGCATGCCATTTGAAGTCTGAGAATGGACAGGCTGCCTCCTCTCATCTGTCCCTGACCCCTGTGTAACCTATCTGGGAGACAGCTCCCAGTAGGGGCTGACAGACACCTCATATAGGCAGCTGCCCCTCTGGGATGAAGTTTCCAGAGGAAGGATCAGGCAGCAATATTTGCTGTTCTGAAATATTTGCTGTTCTGCATCCTCTGCTGGTGACACCCAGGCAAACACAATCTGCAGTGGACTACACCAAATCCCAAAAGTCCTGCAGCTGAGGGACCTAAGTGTTAGAAGGAAAACTAACAAATAGAAAGGAAGAGCATCAACATAAGCAAAAAGTTCATCTACACCAAAACTCCATCTGTAGGTCAACAACATCAAAGACACAAGGTAGATAAAACCACAAAGATGGAGAGAAACTACAGCAGAAAAGCTGAAAGTTTTAAAAATTGAGTGCTTCTTCTGCAATGGATCACAATTCCTCACAAGCAATGCAACAAAACTGGACAGAGAATGAATCTGATGAGCTGACAGAAGTAGGCTTCAGGAGGTTGGTAATAACAAAACTATTTGAGCTAAAGTTTCATGTTCCAATCTATCACAAGGAAGCTAAAAACCTTGGAAAAAGATGAGATGAATGGCTAACTAGAATAAATAGTGTAGAGAGGATTTTAAATGACCTGACGGAGCTGAAAACTGTGGCACAAGAACTTTGTCATGCATGCACAAGCTTCAGTAGCTGATTCAATCAAGTGGAAGAAAGGGTATCAGTGATTGAAGATCTCATTAATAAAATAAACTGAGAAGACAAGGTTAGAGAAAAAAGAGTAAAAAGAAACAAAATCTCTGAGAAATATGGGACTAAGTGAAAAGACCAAATCTAAGTTTAATTGGTGTATCTGAAAGTGATGGAAAGAATGGAACCAACTTAGAAAACACTCTTCAGGATATTATCCAGGAGAACTTCCCCAACCTAACAAGGCAGGCCAACATTCAAATTCAGGAAATACAGAGAATGCCACAAAGATACTCCTTGAGAAAAGCAACCACAAGACATACAATTGTCAGGTTCACCAAGGTTGACATGATGGAAAAAGTGTTAAGGTCAGACAGAGAGAAAGGTTGAGTTACCCACAAAGGGAAGCCCATCAGACTAACATTGGATCTCTTAGCAGAAACCCTACAAGCCAGAAGAGAGTGGGGGCGAATATTCAACATTCTTAAAGAAAAGAATTTTCAGCACAGAATTTCATATCCAGCCAAACTAAGCTTTATAAGTGAAGCAGAAATAAAATCCTTTAAAAATAAGGAAATTCTGAGAGATTCTGTCACGACCAGGCCTGCCTTACAAGAGTTCCTGAAGGAAACACTAAACATGGAAAAAAACAACCAGTATCAGCAACTGCAAAAGCAAATTTTAAAGACCATCGATGCTATCAAGAGACTGTATCAATTAACAGGCAAACTACACAGCCAACGTCATAATGACAGGACCAAATTTACACATAACAATATTAACCTTAAGTGTAAAGAGGCTACATGCCCCAGTTCAAAGACACAGATGGGTAAATTGGATAAAGAGTCAAGATCCATCAGTGTGCTGTATTCAGGAGACCCATCTCACATGCAAAGATGCACATAAGCTCACAATAAATGAATGGAAGAAGATATACCAAGCAAATGGAAAGCAGAAAAAAATATAAGTAGGAGTTGCAATCCTAGCCTCTGATAAAACAGACTTTTAACGAACAAAGATCAAAAGAGACAAAGAAGGCCATTACCTAATGATAAAGGGATCAATTCATGAAGAAGAGCTAAGAATTCTAAATATATATTCACCCAATACACAACCCAGATTCAGAAAGTAAGTCCTTAGAGACCTACAAAGAGACTTAGACACCCACACAATAATAATGGGAGACTTCAACACCCCACAGTCAATGTTGTCTCATTAATCAACAGATCAATGAGACAGAAGGTTAACAAGGATATCCAGCACTTAAACTCAGCTCTGTAACAAACTGGCCTAATAGACACCTACAGAACTCTCCACCCTAAATCAAGAGCATATACATTCTTCTCAGCACCACATCACACTTATTCTAAAATTGACCACATAACCTGAAGTAAAGCACTCCTCAGCAATTGTAAAAGAACAGAAATCACAACAAAGTGTCTCTCAGACCACAGTGTAATCAAATTAGAACTCAGCATTAAGAAACTCACTCAAAACTGCACAACTACAGGGGAACTTAACAACTTGCTCCTGAATGATTGCTGGGTAAATAACAAAATGAAGGCAGATATACAGACATTCCTTGAAACCAATGAGAACAAAGACACAACATGCCACAATCTCTGAAACACATTTAAAGCAGTGGGCAGAGGGAAATGTATAGCAGTAAATGTCACAAAAGATAGCAGGAAAGATATAAAATTGACAACCTAACATCAGAACTAAAAGAAATAGAGAGGCAAGAGCAAACAAATTCGAAAGGTAGCAGAAGGCAAGAAATAACTAAGATCAGAGCAGAGCAGAACGGAAAGAGATAGAGACACAAAAAACCCTTCAAAAAATCAATGAATCCAGGAACTGGGTTTTTTTTTTTTTTTTTTTTTTTTTTTTTGAAAAGATCAACAAAATTGAAAGACCCCTAGCAAGGCTAATAAAGAAGCAAAGAGAGAAGAATAAAATAGAAGCTATAAAAAATGATAAAGGGGATATCACCATCGATCCCACAGAAGTACAAACTACCCTCAGAGAATACTATAAACACCTCTAACAAAATAAACTAGAAAATCTAGAAGAAATGGATAAATTCCTGGACACATACACCCTTCAAAAACTAAACCAGGAAGAAGTTGAATCTCTGAATAGACTAGCAACAGCCTCTGAAATTGAGTAAATAATTAATAGCTTACCAACCAAAAAAAAGCCCAGGACCAGGTGGATTCACACCCAAATTCTACCAGAGGTACAAAGAGGGACTGGTACCATTCCTTCTGAAACTATTCCAATCAATAAAAAAAAGAGAGAATCCTCCCCAACTCATTTTATGAGGACAACTTCATCCTGATACCAAGGCCTGGCAGAGACACACAAGCAAAAAGAGAAGTTTAGACCAATAGCCCAGATAAACATCCATGCGAACATCCTCAATAAAATACTGGCAAACTGAATCCATCAGCACAACAAAAAGCTTATCTACTACTATCACATCAGCTTCATCCCTGGGATGCAAATGTGGTTCAATTTATGTAAATCAATATACCTAATCCATCATATAAACTGAACCAATGACAAAAATCACATGATTATCTCAATAGATGCAGGAAAGGCCTTTGACAAAATTCAACAACCCTTCATGCTAAAAACTCTCAATAAACTAGGTATTGATGGAACATATCTCAAAATAATAAAAGCTACTGACAAACCCACAGACAATATCCGACAGAGTGGACAAATACTGGAGGCATTCCTTTGGAAAACCGGCACAAGACAAGGATGCCCTCTCTCACCATTCCTATTCAACATAGTGTTGGAAGTTCTGTCCAGGGCAATCAGGCAAGAGAAAGAAATAAAGGGTATTCAATAAGGAAAAGAGGAAGTCAAATTGTCCCTGTTTTCGGATAACATGATTGTATATTGAGAAAACCCATTGTCTCAGCCCAAAATCTACTTAAGCTGATAAGCAACTTCAGCAAAGTCTCAGCATACAAAATCAGTGTGCAAAAATCACAAACACTCCTGTACACCATTAACAGACAAACAGAGAGCCAAATCACAAGTGAACTCCCATTCACAAGTGCTTCAAAGAGTATAAAATACCTAGGAATCCAGCTTACAAGGAATGTGAAGGACCTCTTCAGGAAAAACTACAAAACACTGCTCAACGAAATCAAAAAGGACAGAAACAAATGGAAGGATATTCTACGATAATGAGTATGAAGAATGAATACCTTGAAAATGGCCATAGTGTCCAAAGTAATTTATACAAGCAATGCCATTCCCATCAAGCCACCAGTGACTTTCTTCAGAGATTTGGAAAAAAAAAGGTACAGTTCATATGGAGCCCAAAAATAGGCCATATTGCTAAGATAATCCTAAGAAGAAGAAGAAAAAAAAAGCTGGAGACATCATGCTACCTGACTTCAAACTATACTACAAGCCTACAGTAAACAAAACAGTATGGTACTTGTACCAAAAGAGATGTATTGACCAATGGAACAGAAAAGAGGCCTCTGAAATAATACCACACATCTGCAATCATCTTATCTCTGATGAATCTGACAAAAAGAAGAAATGGGGAATTGACTCCCTATGTCGTAAATGGTGCTGGGAAAAGGGGCTGGCCATTTTTAGAAGGCTGAAACTGGATCTCTTCCTTACACCTTACATAAAAGCTAATTCAATATGAATTAAAGACTTAAATATTAAATATAAAACCGTAAAAACCCTAGAAGAAAACATAGACAATACCATTCAGGACATAGGCATGGGCAAGTACTTCATGACTAAAACACCAAAATTAATGGCAACAGAGGCCAAAATAGACAAATAAGATCTAATTAAACTAAAGAACTTCTGAATGGCAAAAGAAACTACCATCAGAGTGAACAGGCAACGTACAGAATGGGAGAAAATTTTTGCAATCTACCCATCTTACAAATGGCTAATATCAGAATCTACAAAGAACACAAACAAATTTTCATTAAAAAAAAAAAACACCTCATCAAAAGGAGGGCAAAGGATATGAACAGACACTTCTCAAAAGAAGACATTTATGCAGCCAACAGACACATGAAGAAATGCTCATCATCACTGGTCAACAGGGAAATGCAAATCAAAACCAAAATGAGATATCATCTCAAGCCACTTGGAACGGCAATCATTAAAAAGTCAGGAAACGACAGACGCTGGTGTGGATGTGGAGAAATAGGAATGCTTTTACACTGTTTGGGAGAGTGTAAATTAGTTCAACCATTGTGGAAGACAGTGTGGTAATTCCGCAAGGATTTAAAATTAGAATTACCATTTGACCCAGCAATCCCATTACTGAGTATATACCCAAAGGGTTATAAATCATGCTGCTATAAAGATACATGCACACGTATGTTTATTATCGCACTATTCACCATAGCAAAGACTTGAAACCAACCAAATTGTCCATCAATGATAGACTGGATTAAGAAAATATGGCACATATAAACCGTGGAATACTATGCAGCCATAAAAAGGACAAGTTATTAATGGTATTATAATTAATATCTTGAATTAATAATAATATAGTGTGAATTATAACAACTGAGCATTGACATTATACAAAAATCATTTTCCCATACTGTTTTCCCCAACTTTCTATTTTTTTGTCAAAAATAGTTTGTTATGCAACATTTGCTAACAACCCAGATGTGTAATTATTGCTTTATTTTTTGTCATTTCTTTATTTTATTATTGTATTGTATTTTAATTCATTGAGACAGGGTTTCAGTCACACAGGCTAAACATGGTTCACTACAGCCTCGAGCTCCTGGGCTCAAGGGACCCTTCCAACTCAGTGCCCTATGTTCTGGGGACAGAAGTCCATGCCACCACAGCTGGCTAATTTTGTTTATTTTCTCAAAAGACGGTCACATTTTGTTGCCCTGGCTGGTCTCAAACTCCCAGACTCAAGGAAATCCCCCTACTTTGTTGGGATTACAGTTGTGAGATACTTTTAAATCCAGTAGAAAAATAAAGTCACAGAAAACCCAAATATAATAATATTGGCTTTTCTATTTCGTGACGTAATTATTTTATTGATGTTCTTATTTCTTTATTTGCACATGGGGCACTATTTTTCTTTCATTCCTTGCTTGTTTTCATCATGTTTTGTAAGGCTGATCTAGTAGTAATGTACTCTCTTTAATTATGTTTGCTTGGAAATGCCTTATTTGCTCATAAAGTTAAATTTTTGTTTGGCCAGATATTGAGTTTATGATTGACTTTATCTTCTTATTCCAGCACTTTAAAGATCTCATCACAGTGACTTCTTTCCACTATAATTTTTAATGAGAAATTGGCTGTTAATGTTATGAAGGATAACTTGCATGTGATGAGTTACTTCTGTCTTGATTCTTTTAAAGTTCTCTATTTATTTGTCTTCTGTCAATTTCAGTGCATGTGTTTCAGTGTGGATATCTTGGATTTTATTCTCCCTGGAGTATTGTGTTCTTTAGAGATACTTGGATCAGTAGATTTGCATCTATCGACACTTTTGGGAAGTTTCAGCCACTATTCATTTAAATATTCTTTTTTTCCCCATCTCACCTATTCCAGTGGGACTCCCATTATGAATATGTTGATATTCTTGATGGTGTCCCATGGAAACCTTAGTTTTGATCATTATTCTTGTTTCTCTTCCTTACACTGAACAATATCAAACAATCCATCTTCAAGTTGCCTCATTAGGCATTCCTGAGGCAGGCTAAGGCACCCTTCAGAGCTGTCAGTCTGCCTAAGCAGAGGAAAATGGTACAGGCAGAGCCTTCCTGGTATAGGGAAAAATGCTGCCTGTAATAAGCCACCACTGGACACAAAAATATAGATGATAGGGCCCTTTTGGGCAGTCTCTAAGGTTGGGTTCCACAGAAGAAGTCATTTTGAGACTGTGAAGGGGTCACTGCAATCTGCACCTCTGCCTCTATTCCCAATAGAGGATGTGTGCAAGAGTTAATTCCCATGGGGATTGAAATACCATTTGGTGAGTTTTTGAAGCATCTCTGGGTGATGGAATCATCACTGAGACCCAAGAGAGTGGTGTCAGTGAAAGATGGCTGGGCCGTTGACATCACTGACTCCCTTCATCCTGGGCCTCACAGGGGAAATACAGGGAAGCACAACAAAAGCAAGTATTTGTTCCTCTCTGGGAAATACAGGAACCACAACAAAAGCAAGTCCCAGATAAAGCATTGTTTTCACACCTCAAACTGGCCTTTCTCGGATGCAGATGTGGTTGAGAGAGTATCTCTGAGGTGGTCCATGGCAATTGCAAGACAGAAAAGGGTGTCCAGTAGTGCTGATGAGGGGCAATGTGGACTCCCCATGAAAGCAAAGAAAAATGAAAGCTCGCCTGAACGAACAAGCTGACTTGTGCAGGAGTACAAGCAAAGTTCAAAGATTCCTGTCAGAGGACCCAAAAGCCTCCTGCAAAGTGCAAACAACATCAGCCCCTACAAGGACACCATGATCCACAACCTGGTGCATAGCCACCGTATGCAAAGTCCTTTTGGCTTCCTGAAATTCCTGGCACTGAAAAGATCTATAGCAAGAGGCAGTCCCATCTAGCAAGAGCCAATGATAGACCCACTCCACAGCAAGGAAGGACATGCAGATGAAGTGAAACAGAGCCAAGATTAGCAGGAAAATGCAGAACATGGCTGCCTGCCTCTCATCCTACAGGAATCATGCAACCCTTCAATAAAAGAGGGATAATAAAAGTTTCCATATGGATGGTTGTAATGGGAATTTATGCCTTTAAAAGTCTCATATTGCCTAGTCATTAAAACGTGACAGAATTAAGAAAGAAACAATGATGCAATGGATTCACATAAGAGTGGTCCTCCATGAACTGGGAAACTTCTAGTGTGGAAGATATGGAACCAGACCCAGAAAACCCTAGGCCAAAGAGGAACATGGAAGTCAGGAAAAGAAGACGCAAGTGTGATGGCTACACTCACCCAGCATCAATCCATCACACTCTCATTTGGCTCCGGTTATGAAAGCCCTCACATTGAGAGTTCTCCAGATGGCCCCAGTTTGTTCTCAAAATATTCTCTTCATGTCCACCTGAAAACCAGGCTATTTACTTGGAAGCAGATTCTGTGTCATCTATCTTCATTTTTTTTTTGCAAGTGATGTTGCAAAACCTTATACACCCCTCACGAGATTTTGTCCTTAAAGCTATCTGACTTTATTCCTGCTCATACTCTATGTCCCAGGATGAAATCAAAAGATGATGGAGAGTGCCCCCCCACCACAAGATGTGAATCACCTGCTCAGCTGGGAACCAAATTCAAGGTTAATTCAAAGTGCCCAGTGGACAGGACTGCTAGTGTCTATGCCTGGGTTGGCCTCACGACAATGAAACACTAGGAGATGTCTCTTTTGGGCATGGTGTGCTCCTCTTCTTTTTAGAAGAGTGGCTTTTTTTGAACACACAATGCCACACACACATTCAGACATCCTACACTCACTATACTCCCACAGAAATACACAGCCCAGCAGCTACCGAGGCTGCACGAAGCACTACCTGGAGAGAGTCCCACAGCCCAAGCAGAGAAACACAGGCCACCAAAATGTTGGAAGACTCAAAAACAGAAAGCACTGGAGTGCATAAGTAATATGCTTTTAAGCAGACTTCACTTACAGTCACACACACACACACACACACAATACCACACAAACATGCAGACATCCAACACTTGAAATGCTCCGCCAGAAATGTTGGGAGACTAAAAAAAAAAAGAAGGGAAAAGGGCTGAAGCGGGTTAGCCATGTAATTTCCAGCACACTCTACTGTCAGGCGCACATGTGCACACCCAATGCCACACACACACGCAGACATCCAACACTCACAACACTCCCACAGGAAAACAGAGCTCAGCACTCCTGAGGCTATGTGATTCTGCAAGAATCCCAACCTGGGAGACAGCAACCACAAGAAACCCCAGTTGGCTATACCTAGAAATCACAGTTGGACAAGTTTCAAAAGACTCATGCCTACAATGTCTAGGCTGGCCTGAGAAGTCCTGCAGATGTTTTTCCCTGTGTTTAAGCAAGCTGACATCCTAAGCAGAGAAAAATAATACAGGCAGAGTAGGCCTGTTGTTGATAAAAAAGGCTGTGTTTGAAAACCCTCTGTGTGACCCTAAATGTCTCAACCTCAGGGCCCCTTCAGGAGGAGGTATTTTTAGATAGTAACCTGTTCACTGGAAACTGCCCTTCTGTCTCCATTTTTGAAACAGGCTGTGTGCAATAATCTGGTCCCATAAGAATTGGAATATGATCTGTTGTGTTGTTGAGGGTTCTTTGGGTGATACAATCATACCTGAGTCCTTAGAGGTGGGTGTCAGTGAAAGAAGGTTGGGCTCTTGACCTCACTGCATCCCTTCATCCTGGGTCTCTCAGAAGCTCTCTGGGAAAGGTAGAAACCACGACAATGGCAAGTCCGAGGTGGAGGAGTGTTCTCATACCTCAGACTGGTCTTTCACTATGCAGTTGTGGTTATTCTCTTACCTCAGACTGACCTCGGACTGTGCAGATAAGGTTGAGACAGTGAAACACTGCAAGATGTCTGTTTCTGGTGTGGTGTGCTCCTCTTCTTTCTAGAAGAGTGGCTCTTTTTTGTTTTATTTCTTTCAGGAGGAGTTGATTTTGACACCTGCATGTCTTGGCCCACCTCCCGATTCACTGCAGATTCATGATCCACAGAAAAATAAAGAACACGGAGCCCCACAGCACAAACAAAGCAACAGAGAGGCCAACAAAGATTGAAACATTCAAAAAAAAAAAAAAAAGAGGCACTGAAGTGCATTAGACACATTATTTAAGCAGACTCCACTTACAGCAACAAACACATTCTTAAACACACAATGAAAAACACACACACACACACACACATCCAACAGTTGCAACACTCCCACAGAAAAACATAGCTCAGCAGTGCATGAGGATGCATGGCTCTGCAGGAATTCCCACCTAGGAGAGAGCAACCCCAAGGAACATAGGCAGGCTGTACCTAGAAACCACAGTAGGGCAAGTTTCAAAAAGATTCACCCGTACAATGTCTAGGCAGGCCTACCAAATCTTGCAGATGTTTCTGGATGCTTAAGGATTTTGTGGTTTATTCCTGTAGCTATGCTTGTTTCTTCACGCTGGCTAACGTCTACCCTCTCCTAGGATCATGAGACTATCCGTGGATTTCACAGAGAAGACAGACGAGAAGACACAGCTGACGCTCCTCCACGGAGGTCCCCTTTTCCAAGATGCAGATACTTCTTGCTAGGCAACGGTGACATTTATAGCGATGCTAGACAGAGCTCACAATCGGATCAGGTACCCTGAGACTAGCGCATGCGCATTTGTGAGGCAGACTCAAGTCAGGTTGTCAGAGCTGTCAGTCTGCCTCAGCAGGGGATAATGGAACAGGCAGAGCCCGCCTGGTATCGGGAAAAAGGCTGACTATAAAAACCCACTGCAGGACCCTGAAAATCTCGACCTCAGGGACCCTGCTGGCCATTTCCTTGTTCAGGTCCCGCTGGAGGAAGAGGTGTTTCGCGACTGCGATGTGGTCGCTGGAAACTGCTCTTCTAACTCCATTAGCGAAAGAGGGTGTGTGCAATAATTGGGTCCCAAGGGGGTTGGAATATAATCTGGTGTGTCGTTGAGTGTTCTTTGGGCGACAGAAACATACCTGAGACACCAGAAGTGGATGTCAGCAAAAGATGATTGGGCTTTTGAACTGAATGCCTCCCTTCATTCTGAGCCTTGCAGGGGCTATCTATGAAAGGCAAGAACCATAACAAAGGCAAGTCTAATGTGGAGCAGTGTTCTCACATCTCGGAATGGCCTCTCACTTGTGCAGATGTAGTTGAGACAGTGTCTCAGAGGCCATCTGTGGTGATGGCAAGCTTGAAAATGGTGTGCAGTGCTGCTGTTGGGGGGCACTATGGATTCCCCAAGAAAACAAAGAAAAACCAAGGTTCACCTAAGAATGAGCTGCCTTTGCTGGAGTCCAGGCAATGTTCAAGATTCCTGTCAGAAACCAAAAGCCTCCTGCAAAGTGCAAACAACTGCAGCCTCTACGATGAGACAATGATCCACAATATGGAGTGCAGCCAGTTTATCAAAGTCCCTTTTACTCTCTGAAATCCCTGGCAGCAAAATAATCTGTGGCAAGTGGCAGTCCTAGCCAGCAACAGCCCAGTGAAAGGGCCCCTCCACAATGAGAAGTCCATGCAGATGAGATGAAACAGGGGCTAGATTATCAGGCTAAAGCCAGACATGGCTGCCTCCTTCTCATCCTAGAGGAAACATGCAACCCTGTGATAGAAGTGGGAAAAAAAACAGATTCCTTGTTGGTGGGTGTAACAAGAATTTACCGTTTTAAAACTATCAAAGCTTCCCAGTCTTTAAAAGGTGACAATGTTTAGAAGGAAACACTCATGCAATGGATTCCCAGGAGGGTCGTTCTCTGTGAACTAGGAAACATGTAGTGTGGAAGTCATTGAGCCAGAAACAGGAAACCCTAGGTTGACGAGAAACGTAGAAGTCAGGGGAAAAGAGGCAAGTACGGAGGCCACATCCAATACAGAATCAATCAATTCTGCTCCCATTTGGCTCATGTATGAAGGCTCTTAAATGGAGAGTTTGCAAAAATGGCCCCAATTTGCCCTCCAAATATTCCTTGCAGGTTAAAGTACTCCCACCAGAACACTGGGCCATGGTGTGTACTGCTTGTGCAATTAAGGGGATGCAGAGATAAAGTTGGAAGAACCTTCTGTGTTTTCTGCCTTTATGTTTTGCAGGTGAAGTTGGGGGATTACTTCCACCCCTCACCAGATTGTATCTTCACCCCATCTGACCTCATTTCTGCTCACAATCTATGTCCCAGAATGAATTCCAAGATGATGAAGGAGATCTTCCTCATGACATGAAGCATCTGCTCAGCTGGAGACTGAATCCAAGCTAAATTCAAGGGGCCATGCACACAGATCTGTGAGGGTCACTTTCTGGTTTGGACTCTGGACAATAAAACACTGGGAGATGTCTTTTTTTTTTTTTTTTTTTGGTATGGTGTGCTCATCTTTATAGACGAGTGGCTTTTGTTGCAGGGGAGGTGATTTCGATGCCTGCGTGTCTCAGCCCACCTCCCAATTCACTGCAGATTCATGATCCACAGACAAATAACAGGAAGCCCCACAACCCAAGCTGAGCCACACAGACAGGCCACCATAAGTATAAGAGACTCAAAAATAAAAGAAGTGCTGCAGTGCATTAGCCACATTCCTTTAAGCAGACTCCACCTACAGGCACACAAACACACACACAAACACACAATGCCACACGTACCCACAAAGACATCCAACACTTGCAACATTCCCATGGAAACACACTGCCTGGCAGCTACTGAGGCTGCATGGTTCATCAGAAATCCCCACCTGGGAGAGAGCAACCCTGAGGAACACAGGCAGGTTTTACCTATAAATCACGTTGGGACAGGTTTCTAAAAGACTCACACCTGCAACTTCTAGGCAGGCCTGAGGAATCCTGCAAATCCTTTTGGATCCTTAGGCAGTTCACCATTTATTCCTCTTCTTGATGTTTCCTCAGTCTGTCTCACGTCTGCCCTTTTCTAGGACTATCCTGTGAATCCCACAGAGAAGACAGGTGTGGTTCCACCGCCGATGGACCTCCACAGAATTCTCCTTCTCTACCAAGCCCCAGGCCTTCTCCCAGGATCATGAGACTATTTGTGGATTTCACAGAGAAGATAGGTGACAGTATACCACTGACACACCTCCCCAGTGGTCTCCTTCTCTGGCAAGAGGCAGGGACTTGTCACTAGGCAATGGTGACCCTTTTTGTAACTTTTGCCAAAGCTCACAATCAGGCCTGCTACCTTGAGACTAGCACATGTGCATTCGTGAGGGTGGCTCAGGCACCTGACTGTCACAGCTGTCAGCCTGCCTCAGCAGAGGAAAATAGTACAAGCAGAGATGGCCTGGTATCAGGACAAAGTCTGCCTGTGAAAACCAACTGCGGGACTTTAAAATTCACAAACTCAGGGCCCCTTCCATTCATCTCCGTGACAGGTTCCCGCTGGAGGAGAAGGTGTTTCAAGATGGTGACTTGGTTTCTGGAAACTGCTCTTCAGACTCCATTTATGAAAAAGTCTATGTGCAAGTATCAGGTCCCATGAGGATTGGAGTATTGTCTGGTGAGTTGTTGAGGATTTTTTGGGTGATAGAATCATATCTGAGACCCCAAAGGTGGGTGTCAGAGAAAGATGGCCGGTCTCTTGTCCTCACTGCCTCCCTTTATTTTGGACCTCGCAGGGGCTGTCTGGGAAAGGCAGCAACCTCAAAAAGGCAAGTCCAAGATGGAGCAGTGTTCTCACACCGCGGACTGTCTTCTCACAGGTGCAGATGAGATTGAGACAGTGTCTCCAAGGCTGTCTGTGGCCATGCAAACCTGAAAAGTGTGTCAAGTACTGCTGTTGATGGGCACTATGCATACCTTATGAAAGCAAAGAAAAATCAATGCTCGCCTGAAAGAATGATCTGACTTGGGCTGCAGTCCAAGCAATGTTCAAAGATTCCTGTCAGAGGACCCAAAAGCCTCCTGTAAAGTGCAAACAACCTCAGCCCCTATGATGACACCATGGCTTACAACCTGGATTTCAGCCAGCATAACCAAAGTTTCTTTTGCTCCCTGAAATCCCTGGCATCCAAAAGATCTGTGATGAGAGGTAGTACCATCCAGCAACAGTCCAGTGAAAGGTCCCTTCCACAATGAGAAAGGATGTGCAGATGAAATGGAATAGTGCCTAGAATGCCAGGCAAAAGTGAGATATGGCTTCCTGCTTCTCACCCTACAGAAATCTTGCATCCCCCGATAGAAGTGGTAGAACAAGAGTTTCCTTGATGGCAGCTGTAACAGGAAATCTTGGTTTTAAAAGTATCACAGCTGCCAAGTAATTAAAATGTTAAAATGTGACATTGTTAATATGAAATACTCACAATGGATTCTCATAAGGGTCATAATCACTGTATGGGGAAATGTTTAGTGTGGAAGATATTGAGCCAAACCCAGAAAACCCTAGGCTGGTGAGGATCATGGAAGTCAGGAAAAAAAGAGGCAAGTGTGGATGCCACATCCTACCTAGGATAAATTCATCGTACTCCCATTTGGCTCTAGTATGAAAGCCCTCAAATTGACAGTTTGCAAGATGGCTTCAGTTTGCACTCCAAATGTTCCCTGCACCTTGTAGTACTACCACCTCAACATCAGGCCATGGCGTGGACTGCTGTGCAATTAAGGGAATGCAGGGATGCAGTGTGAAGCACCTTCTGTCTTCTGTCTTCATCTTTTTTACATGTGAAGGTGCAGGTTCTCATCCACCCCTCACCACATTATATCTTCATCTCTCTGTGACCTTATTGCTGCTGACATTCTCTGTTCTAGAATGAAATCTCACGATGATAGAGGAATTCTCCTTCACGACGTGAAGCAGTTGCTTGGCTGGGAACTGAATTTGAGCTACATTTAAAAAGCCCTGCAGACAGGACTGCTGCTGTCTCTCCCTGGGTTGGCTGAAGGACGATAAAACACTGGGAGATGTCTGTTCTTGGGAGTGGTGTGGTCTTCTTTCTAGGAAAGTGGTTTTTGTTGGGAGAAGGAGGTGGTTTGTTACCTGGCAGGTCTCATCCTGCCTTAGACTTCATTACAGAGTCATAATCCATAGAAAAAGAAAGAATACAAAGCCCCGCAGCCTGAGACAATCCACTAAAAAGTTGGAAGACTTGAAAAAGGGGGGGCTGCAGTTCTTTAGCAAAATTGTTTTAAGCAGACTCCCCTTACACACACACACACACACACACACAGCCACACATACATGCAAACATCCAACACTCACAACACTCTCAACAGAAAAACAAAGCTTGGCAGATTCTCAGGCTTTGTGATTCTTCAGGAAGCCCCCCCTGGGAGACAGCCACCCCAGGAACAGAGGTATGCTTTACCTACAAATCACAGTGGGGCAAGTTTCAAAATGACTCACCCCTGCAACATCTAGGCAGGCATTAGAAATACTGCATGTCTTTTAAATCATTAGGAATGCTGCAGTTTATTCCTGAGGCTGCCCTTGAAGTTTCTTGAGGCTGGCTTCTGTCTGCCCTCTCCTAGCCTCATAGGACTATCCCATGCAATTTACATAGAAGACAGGTGAGAGTCCACTACCTATGCCCCTACATAGAGGTTTCCTCCCTCAATCCACATTGACTTGTCACTAGGCAATGGCGGCATTTATTGTGACACTAGCCAGAACTCCCAAACAGGCCTTTTGCACTGAGACTAGAGCATGAACATTTGCCAGGTAGATTCAAGTGCCTGGCTGTCAGAGCTGTCAGCCTGCCTAAGCAGAGGAAAATGATATAGACAGAGATGATCTGCTATCATGAAAAAGTCTGTCTGTGATAATCAACTGTCAGACCCTAAAATTATTGACCTTAGAGCCCCTTCGGGATGACTCTGTGGCTGAGACCCACTGAAGGAGGAGGCTTTTCCAAACTGAGATGGTCACTGAAAACTGCTCTTCTGGCTCCATTCGTGAAAGAGGCTGTGTGCAAGAATCAGGTCCCACGGAGATTGGAATATAGTCTGGTGAGTTGTTGAGGGGATTTTATGTGATGGAATCATACCTGAGATCCCAGAGGCAGCTTTCAGTGAATGGGGCTGGGCCCTTGACTTCCTTGCCTCCTATCATCCTTGTCCTGGCAGGAGATCTATGAGAAAGGCAGGAACCATGACAAAGGCAAGTCCAAAGTCAAGCAGTATTCTTACACATCAAACTGGCCTCTCACTGCTGCAGATGATGTTGAAAAATGTTCACAGAGGGTGTCTGTGGAAATTGCTAGTCTGACAAAGGTGTCCAGTAATGCTGTTGAGGGGCAAAGTGGACCCAGCCTGGAAAGAAAGAAAAATCAAGGCTTGCCAGAGAGAAGGAGCTGACCTGAGCTGGAATATAAGAAACTTTCAAAGATTCCTCTCAGAGGAACCAAAAGCCTCCCAAGAACTGCAAACAACCTCAGCTCTCACAAACAGACCACAGACCTTTCTGAAATCAGTGGCAGGAAATCTGTATATAGAGGCAGCCCTATCCAGCAACAATCAATGCTATACACCCTCCACAATGAGAAAGGATTTGCAGATGAAATAAAACAGAGTGTAAATTACCAGAAAAAAGCCAGACATGGCTGTCTGCTTCTCATCATACTGGAATTATGCAGCCTTTTGACAGAAGTGGGGAACAAGTGTTTCCCAAGGGCCGGACACGGTGGTTTATTCCAGTAATCCTAGAACTTTGGGAGGCTAAGGTGGGAGGATCATGAGGTCAGGAGATTGAGACCATCCTGGCTAAAATGGTGAAACCCCATCTCTACTAAAAGAACAAAAAATTAGCCAGGCATTGTGGCAGGTACCTGTAGTCCCAGCTACTCAGGAGGCTGAGGCAGGAGAATGGCATGAACCCGGGAGGCAGAGCTTGCAGTGACTGGAGATCATGACGCTGCACTCCAGCCCAGGCAACGGAGTGCAACTCTGTCTAAGAAAAAAAAAAAGGAATTTATCTGTTGGTGCCTGTAAAGGGAATTTATGGTTTTAAAAGTATCACAGCAGCTCTGTCATTAAAATGTGACAGTGTTTAGAAGGAAACACTGATGAAATACATTCCCATGAGGGTCATCCTCTGTGAACTGGGAAACATTTAGTGTGAAAGACATTTAGCAAGACCCAGGAAATTCTAGGCCAATGAAGAATATGAAAGTGAGGAAAAGAAAAGGCAAGTGTGGAGGCCATATCCCACACAGCATCATTCCATTCCACTCCCCCTTGGCTCCATGTACTGAAGCCCTCCAATAGGGAACTTGCCAGCATTGCCAAAGTTCACACTAACACTGTTTCCTGAAACTTGGAGTACTCACACCAGAAAACTGGGCCATGGTGTGGAATCCTTTTGCAATTAAGGGAATGCTTAAATGCAGTTGGAAGCACCTTCTGTGTCATCTGTTTTTACCATTTCTACAGGGGAAGGCATGGGACCCCATCTACCCTTCACCAGATTGTATCCTCACCCATATCTGACCTTATTGCTGCTCACACTCTGTGTCCCAGAATGAAATTCTAGGATGATGGAGGAGGGCCCCTTCACAACATGAAGCACCTGCTCATCTGGAAACCTAATTCGAGGTTAATTCAAGGGGCCCTGCAACATGACTGGTAGTGCCGTTTTTGGGTTGGCTGTAGGACAATAAACCATCCTCCAGCAATCATGCAGCTTTTCTGTAGAAGTGGGAGAACAAGAGTTTCCTTGTTTGTGGCTGTTGCAGGGATTTACAGTTTTAAAAGTATCGCTGCTGCCCAGTCATTAAAATACAACAGTGTTTAGGAGGAAATACTCACACAAGGGAATCCCATGAGGGTCATTTTCCATGAACTGGGAATGGTTGAGTTTGGAAGACATTGAGCCAGACCAAGGAAACTCTAGGCTGACGAGGAACATAGAAGTCAGGAAAAGAAGAGGCAAGTGTGGAAGCTACATCCCACCCAGTATCAATCCATCCCACTCGCATTTGGCTCCGTGTTTGAAAGCCCTCAAATTGAGAGTTTGCCAGGATGGCCCCAGTTTGCACTCCAAATATTCCCTGTGTGTTAGAGTACTCCCATCTGAAAATGGGGCCATGGTCTGGACTGCTTGTGATATTAAGGGAATAGAAGGCTGCAGTTGGAAATAACTTCTTTGTCATTTGTGTTCACCTTTTTTTCAGGTGAAGGCGTGGGACCCCATCAACCCCTCAACAGATTGTATCCTCAACCCTATCTGACCTCATTGCTGCTCACACTCTCTGACCCAAAGTGAAACCCCAAGATGATGGATTAGTGCCTCCGTACAAGGTGAAGCACCCGCTCAGAACCGAATTCGAGGTAAATTCAAGGAGCCCTGTGGACAATACTAGTGTCTATCACTGGGTTGGCCGCAGGATTAAAAAACACTGGGAGATGTCTGTTGTTGAATGTGGTGTGCTCCTCTTCTTTCTAAAAGAGAGACTGTTTTTCCAGGGAAAGGTGATTTGGACCTCTGCCAGCCTCCCAAATCACAATGGATTCATTATCCACAGAAAAACAGAGAACATAGAGCCCTGCAACCAAAGCATAACGACACCGACAGGCCACCAAAATGTTGGGAGACTTGAAAAATGAAGCACCACAGTGCGTTAGCCATATTTTTTTAAGCAGACTCCACTTACAGGTACACACACACACAAATACACAGACACAGGAAGCCACACACACACACGCACACACACAGATATCCAGCATTCTCAGTGCTCCCACAGCAACACCCAGCCCAGCAGTTCCTGGGTTGTGTGGGTCTGCAGGGAGCCCCACCTGGGAGAGAGCAACTATATGGAAAACAGGCTGTACCTAGGAATCACAGTAGGACAATTTTCCAAAAGACTCACCCCTACAATATCTAAGCAGACCTAAGGCATTCTGCAGATCTTTTTAGATCCTTATGGATTTCAGGGCTTATTCCTGGCTCTGCTTGATGTTATTTCAGCCTGGCTCACATCTGCCCTCTCCTGGGATCACGGGACTATCCCATGAATCCTACAGAGATGATAGGTGAGAGTCCAATGCCAATGCCCCTCCATGAAATTCTCCTTTTCCGCCAAGCCATAGAGACTTGTTGCTAGTCAATGTCAGCATTGATTGTAATGCTAGCCATAGTTCACATCTCATGCCTGTTGCCCTGATACTAGCACATGTCCATTTGTGAGGCAGGTGGTTGTGCCCAGCTCTAGGAGATGTCAGCCTGCCTAAACAGGAAAATGGTACAGACACAGCCGACCAGGTGTCAGAAATAATGTTGCCTGCGATAATTCACTGTAGAACTCTAAAATTTTGAGCTTAGGGCACCTTTGGGCCATCTCCGGGTAATTTCCTCTGGAGGAGGAGGCGTTTTGATACTGTGAGGTGGTTGCTGGAAAGTGCTCTTCTGACTCCACTCCTAAAAGAGGCTGTGTGCAGGAATCAGGTCCCATGGGTATTGGAAAATAGTCTGGCGATTGTTGAGACGTCTTTGCGTGATGGAATCATACCTGAGACCCCACAAGTGCATATCAGTGACAGATTACCAGGGCCTTGGCCCTGAAGATGAAAGTGTGGAGGCCACATGCCACCAGCATCAATCCCTCCCAATCCCAAACTGGCCCTGTCTTTGAAAGAGCAACCCCGGGGAATACAGGCAGCCTGTACCTGCAAATCACAGTTTTAAAAAGACTCACCCTGACAAAGTCCGGGAGGCCTTAGGCATCCTCCAGGTCCTTTTGGATCTGTAGGAGTTTTGCGGCTTATTCCTGGGGCTGTGCTTGACTTTTCTTCAGGCTGGCTCACCTCCTCCCTCTCCTAGCCTCATGGGACTATCACGGGAATCCCACAGAGAAATGAGGCGAGAGTCCACCACTGACTAACCTCCACAGAGTTCTTCTCCGCAAAGCCGCAGAGACTTATGCCTAGGCAATGGTGGCCTTCGTTGTGATGCTAACCCGAGCCCATAGCTCAGTCCTTGTGCCTAAGAGTATGCAGACTTGGGCGACGGGCTGTCAGAACTGTCAGCCAGCCTAAGCGAAAAAAAAGAAAAAAAAAATACATGAAGAGACGGCATGGTATTGAAAAAAATGCTGCCTGCAATAACCCAGAGTGGGACCATAAAAGTCTCGACCATAGTGTCCCTTTGGGTCATCCCTCTGCTCAGGTCCTGCTGGAGAAGGAGGTGATTTGAGACTATAAGGTGGTCTTTGGAAATGCTACTCTGACTCCATTCCCAAAAGAGGCTGTGTGCAACAGTCGGGTCAGATGGAGATTAGACTATAGTCTGGTGAGTTGTTGAGGGCTCTTTGGGTGGTGGAATCATACATGAGAGACCAGAGGTGGGTGTCAGCAAAAGATGGCTGGGCTCTTGACCTCACTGCCTCCCTTCATGCTGGGCCTTGCAGGGGATCTCTGGGAAAGGAAGGGACCATGAAAAAAGCAAGTCCAAGGCAGAGCAGTGTTCTCTCACCTCCAGCTGACCCCTAAAGGATTCAGATGAGGTTGAGACAGTGTTTCAGAGCCCGTCTGTGATGATTGCAAGCCTAAAAGGGGTTTCCAGTAGTGCTGTTGAGGGGCAATGTGGACCCATGATGAAAGTAAAGAAAAATCAAGGCCCTCTTGAGAGAACCACATGACTTGTGCTGGAGTCCAAGCAACATTCAAAGATTTCTGTCACAGGACGGTAAAGCCTCCTGCAAATTGCAAACAGCATCAGCTGCAACAACGAGACCATGACCCACAAGCTGGAGCACAGCCAGCCTACCCAAATTCCCTTTTGCTTTCAGAAATCCCTGGCAGCCAAAAGATTTGTGCTGAGAGGCACTCCCATCCAGAAACAGGCCAATGAAAGATCCCCTCCACAATGAGAAAGGACATATAGATGAAATGAAACAGAGTCTAGTTTACCAGGCAAAAGACAGAAATGGCTGCCTGCTTCTCATCCTAGAGGAACTGTGCAGCCCTCTGATAGAAGTGGGAGAACAACAGTTTCCTTGCTGGCTTCTGCAATGGGAGTTTACAGTTCTAAAATTATTACAACTCTCCAGTCATTAAAACTTGATATTGTTTAGAAGGAAATATTCACTCAGTGGATTCCCGTGAGTGTCGTCCTCCATGAACTCGGAAGTGTTTAGTTTGGAAGACATTGACCCAGACCAAGGAAACCCTATGCTGACCAGGAACACGGAAGTCAAGAAAACAAGAGGCAAGTGTGGAGGCCACATCCCACCCAGCATCTATCCGTCGCCCTCCCATTACGCTTCAGATATAAAAGCCCTCAAATCAGGACTTTGTCAGAATGGCCCCAGTTTGCACTCCAAATATTCCCTGAATATTGGAGTACTCCCACCTGAACAACAGGGATGGTGTGGACTGCTTGTGCAATTAAGGGAATTCGGGGATGTAGTTGGAAACACCTTCTGTGTCATCTGTCTTCAACTTTTTTGTAGGCTAAGGTGTGGGACCCCATCCACCCCTCAGCAGATTGTATCCTCACCTGTATCTGTCCTTATTGCTGTTCACACTCTCTGTTCCAGAAAAAAAATCCTGAAATGATGGAGGAGTTGCCCTTCATGACATGTAGAACCTGCTCTCCTGGGAAACAAATTCGAGGTAAATCCAAAGGGCCTTGTGAACAGCACTGCAACTGTCTCTTCCTGAGATGGCCGCATAACAATGAAAAACTTTGTGATGTCTGTTCTTAGGTGTGGTTTCCTCCTATTCTGTCTTGAAAAGTGACATTTTTTCAGCGGGAGGGGACTTGGACCCTGGTGTGTCACAGCCAGCATCTCAATTAACTGCAGATTAATGACCCACAGAAAAATAAAGAACATGCATCCCAAGTAAAGCAGCAGAGACAGACCACCGAAAGTTCTGGAGACTCAAAAAAAAAAATGCTACAGTGTGATAGCCACATTCCTTTAAGAAGACTCCACTTACAGACACACACACACACACACACAAACACACAATGCTACACACATGCAGACTTCCAACATTTGCAACACTGCCACAGAAACATACATCCTGGCAACTCCTGAAGCTGCATGGTTCTGTAGGAAGCCCCACATGGTATAGAGCAACCATGGACAACACAGCTGGGCTCTAACTAGAAATCATAGTGGGGCAAGTTTCAAAAAGACACCCCTACAATTCTTAGGTAGGCCTGAGGAATCCACTTCTGCCCTATCCTAGGATCATGGGACTATGTCGTAGATCCCACAGAGAAAAATAGCAGGAGTCCACTTTGCATGCATCCCCATGAATGTCTCCTTTTTCTGCCAAGTCACAGGGCCTTGTCGCTAGGCAATGATAACATTCATTGTGATGCTCAAAAAAGCTCACAATCAGGCCTGGTGCCCTGAAACTAGTGCATGCACATTCTGGAGGTAAGCTCAGGCACCTGGCTGTCAGATCAGTCAGCCTGCCTAACCAAGGAAAATGGTACAGGCAGAATCTGCCTGGTATCAGGAAAAAAGCAGCCTGTGAAAAACCATTGCTGGACCCAAAAAGCCTCCATCTCAGGGCCCCTTTGTCTGTCTCTGTGGTTGGGTCTCACTGGAGGAGAAGGCGTTTTGAGACTGTGAGGTGGTTTCTGGAAACTACTCTTCTTACTCCATTCCCAAAAGAGGATGTGTGCCAGAATTGGGTCCCATGGAAATCGTTTTATAGTCTGGTGTGCTGTTGAGGGGTTTTTGGGTGATAGAATCTGACTTCGTTGAGGGATTTTTGGGTAAAAGAATCATACTTGAGACCCCAGAGGCAGTTGTCAGCAAAAGATGGCCGGGCACTTGACCTGTTCTTACACATCAGACAGGCCTCTCACTGCTGCAGATGACGTTGAGACAGTGTCTCAAATGCCATCTGTAGCGATGACAAGTCCGAATAGTATGTGCAGTAGTGCTGTTGAGGGGCACTGTGGATTCCCCATGAAAGCAAAGAAAAATCTAGGCTCAAATGAGAGAACAAGCTGCCTTGTGCTGGAGTACAAGCAATGTTCAGTGATTCCTGTCTGAGGACCCAAAATCCTCCTGCAAATTGCAAACAACCTCAGCCTTGCCAACGAGACAACAACCACAATGCGGAACCCATCCAGCCTACATGAATTCCCTTTCACTCTCTAAAATCCCTGGCAGCTAATTCAACTGTAGTGAGAGGGATTCCCATCCAGGAAGAGCCCACTGAAAGAGCGCCTCCACAATGAGAAGGCCATGCAGATGAAATAAAACAAGCTAGATTATCAGGCAAAATCTAGACATGTTTGCCTGCTTCTCATCCTTCAGAAATCATGCAGCTTTCTGATACAAGTGGGAGAACAGGAGTTTCTGTTTTGGTGGCTATAACACAAATTTACAGTTTTAAAAATATTAAAGCTGTGCAATCATTAAAATGTGACAGTGTTTAGAAAGAACCACTCACGCAATGGATTCTAATGAGGGTCGTTCTTCATGAGCTGGGAAATGTTTACTGTGGAATTTGTTAAGCCAGACCCAGGAAACCCTAGGCTGACAAGGGACATGGAAGTCAGGAAAAGAAGAGGCAAATGTGGAGACCACATCCCACCCAACATCAGAACATTCCACTCCCTTTTGGCTCCGTGTAGGAAAGGCCTCAAATCAAGAGCTTGCCAGCATGGTCCCAATTGGCACTCCCAATACTCCTTGCACATTGCAGAACTTCCACCTGAACATTGGGCCATGGTGTGGATTGCTTGTGCAATTAATGAAACGTGAGCATGGGGTTAGAAGCACCTCCTGTGTCATTTGTCTTCATTTTTATTGCAGGTGAAGTTGTGGGATCCCTTCCACTTCTCATCAAATCATATCCTCACTCCAATCTCACCTTATTCCTTCTTATACTCAGTGTCCCAGGATGAAAACCCAAGATGATGGAGAAGTGCCCCTTCATAACACAAAACACCTGCATAGCTGGAAACTGAATTCATGGTCAACTCAAGGGGACCTGCAGACAGGACTGCTAGTTCCTCTCCCTGGGTTGGATGCAGGACAATGAAACGGTAGCAGGTGTCCATTTTTTGGGTGTGGTGTGCTCTTCTTCTTTCTAGCAGAGTGGATTTTTATTTTTATTTTATGTTTATTAATTAATTTATTTATTTATTTTTGCAGGGGGAGGGATTTGGACACCAGCAGGTCTCAGCCTGCCTCCCAATTCACTGTGGATTCATGATAACCAGAAAATTCAAAAACATGGAGCCCCACAGGCCAAGCAGAGCACACATAAAGGTCAAACAAAAGGTTTGGAGGCACAAAAAAAGAAGCGTTGTATTGCAGGATCTGGCCAGAAGCCCACAATGCAATGGAGTTCTCTCTTTGTTCCTAGGTGGATTGGCAGGTTGAGAAATAATAGACACACACAAGATAGTGAAAGCTGGGTCCAGGGGGGTCACCGCTTTCTGGTCCTGTGGTGCCAACAATGCACTGGATATACCAGCATTTATTATTAAGTGTAGTGAGGGCAGGTGTAGGTTAGTGAGGGATTTAGGGTCATTTCATTATAAGGTGAGATGGTCACATGGGGATGAAGTAATTCTTTAACATAGCATTTGTATGTACAAGTACAGTACATTTTTTATGTAGAAGTACAGTATACAGAGAGATAAGAATTTACAATATAGTGTGTGCATCAGTAATTTCTAACAGAGCCTTAGAACAGAAACACAGTCTTTCCATAACCTATGATTAGCAAGATATTAATCAGCAGTAACAATTGCAACAAAGCTGGTTACAAACAATCCATGGAAACAAGATGTGAAGCTAGACAACCAGTTAGACCAGAAATTCTCAGAAAGGAGTATGCCTTAACCCTAAAGAGGCCTAGAAGAGCCGTGGCAAGATGAGGGCATTTATAGCCTTATCTTATCCATATGGACAGGCGCCCCCCATGTGTCCATTTATAGGCTCTCTATGAGGATTGCATTCCATTCCCAGAGCTACGGACATCTGCTTTTCTGGGACAGGAGTCTTGGTGATGTGAAACCTGACTGCATGTCCATTCATAGGGTCTCTGCAGGGGGAAGCACATCACGTGCTGTTGGCTCATTCTGGCAGTCCAATCTGGCATTGTCTTTACACAATCCTGCATGCAACTTTGTATTTACAATAATCAGGTCATTTCATCTTTTATTCTGTAGTAATAGTTTCATGGGGTCTCCCTACAGTGGTGAAGTGTGGTAGCCACATTTCTTTAAGAAGCCTGCACTTACAAGAGCACACACACACACAAAATCACGATGTGACACACACGTAGACTTCCAACACTCCCAACATTCCCACAGAAACACACAGTCTGGCAGCTCCTGAGGCTGTGTGGTTCTGCAGGAAGCCACATCTGGCATAGAGCAAGCCTGGGGAACACAGGCGGGCTGTAACTAGAAATCACAGTGGGGCAAGTTTCAAGAAGACTCACTCACACCTACAAGGTCTAGGCAGCCCTAAGGTATCCTGCAGATCCCTTTGGATTCCTAAACATTTTGTGGTTTATTCCTGGGGCTGTGCTTATGTTTCCTGACTCTGGCTCTCATCTGAAATCTCCTAGGATCATGGGACTATCCTGCGGATTCCACAGAGAAGACAGGCAACAGTCCACCATTGACGAACCTCTACAAAGGTCTCCTTCTCTGCCAAGAGGAAGGTACTTGTCTCTAGGCAATGGTGACATTCTTTGTGATGCTAGCTAGAGCTCACAATCTGGCCTGGAGACTAGTGTATGTGCATTTGTGAAGTAGGCTCAGGCACCCAGCTCTCAGAACTGTCAGCCTTCCTAAGCAGAGAAAAATGGTAGAGGCAGAGCTGGCCTACCATCAGGAAAAATGTTGCTTGTCAAAAACCACTTCAGGACTCCAAAACTCTCAGCCTCAGGGCCCCTTCAGGCATCTTCTGTGGTCAGGTCCTGCTGGAGGAGGAGGTGTTTCAAAACTGTGAGGTTGTCACTGGAAACTGCTCTTCCAGCTTCATTCCCATAGAAGGCTGTGTGCCAGAATCGAATACCATGGGGAATGGAATCTAGTCCAGTGTGTTGTCAGTGTGTTGTTGAGGGTTGTTTGGGTGATAGAATCATACTTAAACCCCAGAGGCAGCTATCAATGAAAGATGGCCGGATTCTTGACCTCACTGTCTCCCTTCATCCTGGGTCTTTTAATAGTTCTTTGGGAAATGAAGGAACCATAACAAAGCCAAGTCCAATGTGGAGCAGTACTTTGGGCTGGCCTCTCATGGATGCAGATAAAATTGAGACCGTGTCTCAGAGGTTGCCTGTGGTGATGGCAAGCCTGACAAAACTGTCCAGTGGTGCTATTGAGGGAAACTATGGATTCAAAATGAAAGCAAATGAAAATCAATACTGGCCTGAGAGAATGGGCTGCCTTGTGCTGGAGCCCAAGAAATGTTCAATATTTCCTGTCAGAGGACCCAAAACCCTGCTGCAAAGTGCAAACAACCTCAGTCACCACAATGAGATAACGACCCAAACCTGCAGCGCAGCCAGCCTGCCCAAAGACCTTTTTGCTTTATGAAATCCCTGGCAGCTAAATAATTTGTGATGAGAGGCAGCCCAATACAGCAGCAGCCCAATAAAAAAACACTTCCACAATGAGAAGGTGGTGCAGATGAGACGAAACAAAGGCTAGATTACCAGACAAAAGCCAGACATGGCTGCCTGATTTTCATTCTTCAGAAATCATGCAGCCCTCCAATGGAAGAGGGAGAACAAGAGTTTTCTTGTTGGTGGCTGTAATGAGAATTTATAGTTTTAAAAGTGTCTAAGATTCCCAGTCATTAAAATGTGACTGTGAGAAGGAAACACTCCTGCAATGGATTCCCATGAGGGTTGCTCTCTTTGAACTGGGTAATGTTTAGTGTGGAAATTCTTGAGCCAGTCATAGAAAATGCTAGGCCAATGATGAACATGGAAGTCAGGAAAAGAAGAGGCAAATCTAGGGGCCACATCACACAGAGCACCAATGCATTCCGCTCCCATTTGGCTCTGGATATGAAAGCCCTCATATAAGGAGTTTGTCAGAATGGCCCTAATTTACATACCAAAAGTTCCTGGTAGGTTGGAGTACTTGCACCAGAAACCAGGTCATGGTGTGGACAGCTGGTGCAATTAAGGGAATGCGGGGATGGTGTTGGAAGCACCTTCTGTGTCATCTGTCTTCCTTTTTATTTTTGCAGGTTAAGTTGTGGGACTCCATCCACCCCTCAGCAGGTTTTATACTCACCGCATCTGACCTTATTTCTGCTCACATTCTATGTCACAGGATAAAATCCCAAGACAATGGAAGTGGACCCCTTCATGACATGAAGCACGTGATCGAATTCAAGGTAAATTCAAGGTGCCCTGCAGACAGGACTGCTAGTGTCTCCCCCTTGGTTGGCCACAGGATGATAAAACACTGGGATATGTTCGTTTTTTGTGTGTGTGGTGTGCTCCTCATCTTTCTAGAGAGGGCCTTTTTTTTCAGGGGGAGGTAATTTGGATGCTGGGGGGTCTCAGGCCACCTCCCAATTCACTAAGGATTCATGATCAACAGAAAAATAAAGAACATGGAGCCCTGCAGCTCCAGCAGAGCCACATAGACAGGCCAAGAAAAGATAGGAATCTAAAAAACAAAAAAAAAAAAGAAGCACTGAAGTGTGTTAGCCCCATTCCTTTAAGGTGGCTCCACTTATGGGCACACACACACACAAACACACACAGACACACACACCCACACATCCAACATTTGCAACACTCCCACAGAAACACACAGCCTGGCAGCTCTAGAGGCTGCATGGTTCTTCATGAAGCCCTACCTGGGAGACTGCAATCCTGGGGAAAAAATGGGGGCTGTACTAGTTATCACAGTGGGGCAGTTTCTAGGAGACTCATTTCTACAACAATTTCATGGACCTGATAAATCCTGCAAATGCTTTTGGATCTTTGGGGATTTCACAGTTTATTCCTTGGGCTGTGCTTGAAGTTTTTCAGACTGGCTCATGCCTGTCCTCTCTTAGGATCTTGGGACTATCCCATGGATCCCACAGTGAAGACAGGCAAGAGTACACCACTGATGCACCTTCACAGAGGCCTCTTTCTCAGCCAAGCAGCAGGGACTTGTCACTAGGCAACGATGACATTTAATGTGACACTAGCCAAAGCTCACAATCAGGCCTGGTGCCCTGAGACAAGTGTATGCATATTTGTGAGGTCAGTTTGGGAACTCTTCTGTCAGAGCTGTCAGCCTGCCTTAGCAGAAAAAGGGTACAGGCAGAGCCAGTTTGGTATCATGAAAAAGGCTGCTTGAGAAAATCCACTCTGGGACATTAAGAGTCTCAACCTCAGGGCCCCTTTTGGCCATCCCCATTTTCAGGTTTCTCTGGAGGGGGAGGTGTTTCAAGACTGTGAGTTAGTTCTGTAAACTGCCCTTCTGAATCCATTTTCAAAAGAGGTTGTGTGCAAGAATCAGCTCACATGGGGATTGGAATATTGTGTGGCGTGTTGTTGAGAACTCAGATGCAGGTGTCAGTGAAAGATGGCTGTTTTCTTGACCTCACGGCCTCCCTTCATCCTGGTCTTTGCAGGGGCTCTCTGTGAAAGGCAGGAACCACGACAAAGGCAAGTCCAAAGTAAAGCAGTGTTCTGACACCTGGGACTGGCCTCTCACGGGTGCAGATGACGTTGAGACAGAGTCTCAGAGGCTGTTTCTGGTTATGGCAAATCTGAAAAGGGTGTCCAGTACTATTGTTGAGGAGCACTGTGGATTCCGCATGAAAGCAAAGAAAAATCAACTCTCACCTGAAAGAATGAGCTGCCTTGTGCTGGAGTCCAAGCAGTGTTCAATGACTCATTTCAGAGGACCCAAAAGCCTCCGACAAAGTGCAAACAACCTCAACACCCACAGCAAGACAACGACACATAACCTGGATCTCAGCCAACCCACCTGAAGTCCCTTTGGCTCTCAGAAATCTCTGGCAGCTAAATAATCTGTGGCAAGAAGCCATTCCATCCAGCAACAGCCCAATGAATTAGCCCCTCCATAATGGGACAGCCATGCAGAAGAAATAAAACAGAAGCTAGATTACCAGGCAAAAGCCAGAAATGGCTGCCTGCTTCTCATCCTACAGGAATCCTGTAGCCCTCGATAGAAGTGGGAGAACAAGAGTTTCCTTACTGTTGGCAGTAATGGGCATTTATGTTTTTAAAAGTATCAAATCTCCCCAGTATTTAAAACATGATAGTGTATAGAAGGAAACATTCACGCAATGGATTCTTATGGGGCTTGTTCTTAGTTAACTGGGAAATGTTTAGTATGGAAGTCATTGAGCCAGACCCAGGAAACCATATGCCAATGAGAAACATGAAAGTCATGAAAAGAAGAGGCAAGTCTGGAGGCCACATCCCACCCAGCATCAATCCATTCCATTCCCATTTGACTCCAGGTAAGAAAGCCCTCAAATCAGGAGTTTTCCAGGATGGCCCAAATTTGCACTCCAAATAGTTCTTTTGCTTTGGAATACTCCCACCTGAATACTGGGCCATGGTGAGGACTGCTTGTGCAATTAAAGTGACGGAAATGGAATTGAAAGCTCCTTTTGTGTCGCCTGTATTCATAGTTTTTTGCAGATGGAGTTGCAGAACCCCATCCAAACCTTACCAGATTGTGTCCTCACCCGTATCTGACTTTATTGCTGTCACACTCTCTGTTCCAGCATGAAATCTCAAGTTGATGGAGGAGTGCACCCACAGGACATGAAGCACCTTCTTGGCTGGAAACTGAATTCTGGGTAAATTCAAGAGGTTATGGGGACCAGAGTGCTACTGTCTCTGGGTTGGCTGCATTATAGTGAAACATTGGGAGCTATCTGTTCTTGGGTGTGATGCTCTCCTCTTCTTTCTAGAGGAGTGCCTTTTTTTTTCAGGGGCAGATAATGGGGAACCCAGCTTGTCACAGACTGCTTAACTAGTCATTGCTGATTCATGATCCACAGAAAAATAAAGAACAGGGAGCACCACAGTCCAAGCAGAGACACACAGACAGGCCACCAAAAGGTTGGGAGAATAAAAAATAAAAAAGCACTGCAGTGTGTTAGTTACATTCCTTTAAGCCGAATTCACTTACATGCACACACACAGACACACACACATAAACACATAAAGCCACACACACATGCAGACATCCAACACTTGCAATACTCCCGCAGTAACA
Source organism: Homo sapiens (assembly GCF_000001405.40). NCBI lineage: Eukaryota > Metazoa > Chordata > Mammalia > Primates > Hominidae > Homo > Homo sapiens. Next base: position 22,116,261 of record NC_000024.10, read on the forward strand.
CACAGCCCAGTAGCTTCTGAGGCTGCTTCATTCTGCAGGAAGCCCCTCCTGGGAGAGAGAAAGCTTGGAAAACAAAGGAAGGCTAAACTTAGAAATTACAGTGGGACACATTTCAATAAGACAAACTGCTACAATGTCTAGGCAGGCCTGAAGAATTCTGCAGATCCTTTTGGATCTGTACGGATTTTGTGCTTTATTCCTGGGGCTCTGCTTGACATTTCTTCAGGCAGGCTCACATCTGCCCTCTCCTAGGATCATGGGACTAGCCCATGGATCCCACGGAGAAGACAGGTGAGAGTCTACTGCCGATGCACCTCCACAGAGATCTCCTTCTCCATCAAGCCAAAGAGAATTGTCACTAGGCAAAGGTGGCATTCATTGTAATGCTAGCCAGAGCTCGCAGCTCAGGCCCATTGCCCTAAGACTAGCACATCCACATTAGTGACTCAAATTAGAGCACCAGGGTGTCAGGGCTGTCAGCCTGCCTAAGCAGAGGAAAATGGTACACACAGAGTTGGCCTGGTATCAGGAAAAAGGCTGCCTGTGATAACCCATTGCAGGATCCTAAAAGTCTCAACCTTAGGGCCCTTATACGCTGTCTCCATGGTCAGGTCACACTGGAGGCAGAGCCATTTCAAGACTGTGAGGTTGTCACTGGAAACTACTCTTCTGACTCCATTCCTGAAAGAGGCTTTGTGCAAGAATCCTGTCCCATGGGGATTGGAATATATTACGGTGAGATGTTGAGGGTTCTTTGGGTGATGGGCTCTTACTTGAAATACCAGAAAAAAGTTGTCAGTGAAAGATGGCCTGGCCTTGACCTCACTGCATTCCTTCATTCTGGGTTGCTCAGGTGCTATCTGGGAAAAGCAGGAACCATGACAAAGGCACGTCCAAATTGAAGCAATGTTCTCAGACCTCGAACTGGTCTCTCACAGGTGCAGATGAGGTTCAGACAGTGTCTCAGAGGCCACCTGTGGAGATTGCAATCCTGAAAAGTGTATCCAGTAGTGTGGTTGAGGGGCAATGTGAATCCCCCATGAAAGCCAAGAAACATCAAGCATCACCTGAAAGAAAGAGCTGACTTGTGCTGGGGTCCAAGCAACATTTCCATATTCCTGTCACAGAAAGAAGAAGCCTCTTTCAAAATGCAAACAACCTCAGCTCCCACAAGATAATGATTGAAAACCCAACGTGCAGCCAGTCTACTCTACAACGATTTTTCTTCCTGAAATTCCTGGCAACGAAAATATCTGTGGCAAGAGGCAGTCCCATCCAGCAACAGGCCAATGAAAGAGCCCATCCACAAAGAGAAGGATGAGCAGATGAAATGAAGCAGAGGCTATATTACCAGGCTAAATCTAGACACGGCTGCCTGCTTCTCATCATACAGGAATCATTCAGCCCTCTGATAACAGAGGGAAAAGAAGAGTTTCCTTGTTGGTGGCTGTAATGGGAATTTACCGTTTAAAGGTATCAAAGCTGCCCAGTCATTAAAATGTGAAAGTGTTTAGAAGAAAACACTCACTCAATGGATTTCCATGAAGGTTGTTCTCCATGAACTAGGAAACATTTAGTGTAACAGTTGTTGAGGCAAACCCAGGAAACCACAGGTCAATGAGGAACATGCAAGTCAGGAAAAGAAGAGGCAAGTTTGGAAGCCACATCCCACCCAACATCAATTCATTCCAGTCGCATTTGGCTCTCAGATTGAAATCCTTCAAATCAGAAGTTTGCCAGGATGTCCCCAATTTGCACTCAAAATGTTCCTTGCACGTTGCTGTGCTCCAATCTGAAGCTGAGTTATGGTGTGGACTACTTCCGCAATTAAGGGAATGAGGGGATGGAGTTGGAATCACCTTCTGTGTCATCTGTCTTCATTTTTTTTTTCAGATGAAGTTCTGGGGCTCCCTCCACCCATCACCAGATTGTATCCTCACTCCTATCTGACCTTATTCCTGCTCATACTGTATGTCCTGGGATGAATGCCCAGATGATGGAGGAGTGCCCTCTCATGACCTGAAGAACCTGCTCAGCAGTGAAACTGAATTCGTGGTATGCCCGTTTTTTGGTGTGGTGTGCTCCTCTTCATTCTAGAAGGGTGGCTTTTTTTTTTTTTTTTTTGCAGTGGCAGGTGACTTGGACACTGGCAGGTCTCAGCCCACCTCTCAGTTCACTGCGGATTCATGATCCACAGAAAAATAAATAACATGGAGCCCCACAGCCCAAGCAGAGCCACACAGACAGGCCACCAAAAGTTTGCAAGACTCAAAAAAAACCAAGCGCTGAAGTGTAGTAGCCACATTCTTTAAGCAAACTCCACTTACAAACACACACACACACACACAAAACAATGTCACACACCCATGCCAACATCCAACTCTCACAACACTCTTTCAGAAACACAGTTTGTCAGCTCCTGTGGTTTTGTGGTTCTGCAAGAAGCTAACCTGGGATAGGCAACCCCAGGGAATACAGGTGGGCTGTTCCTAGAAATCACAGTGCTGCAACTTTCAAAAAGACTCACACCTACAAAGTCTAGGCAGGCCTAAGTTATCCTTCAGATTTTTTTGGATCCTTAGGGATTTTGAGGTTTATTCCTCGTGCTGTGGTTGACGTTTCTTCAGGACGGCTCTCATTTGCCCTCTCATAGGCTCATGGGACTATCCTGTGGATTCCACAGAGAAGACAGATGAGAGTTCACCAACCACGCAGCTCCATGTATGTCTTTTTCTCTGCCAAGATGAAGGGACTTGTCACTAGCCAGCAATGACAATCATTGGGATGCTCACTAAAGCTCAGTAACAGTCTTGGTGCCCTGAGACTTGTGCATGCACATTCATGAGGCAGGCAGGCTTGGGCACCTGGCTGTCAGACCTGTCAGCCTACCAAAGCAGAGGAAAATAATACAGGCAGAGCTGGCCGGTATTGAGAAAAATGCTGCCTGTGAAAACCCACTGCAGGACCCTAAAACTCTCAATCTAAAGACCCTTTCTGGCCATCTCTCTGGTCAGGTCCTACTGGAGGAGGAGGTGTTTCCAGACTGTGAGGTGGTCACTGGAAACCTTCTGAATCCATTCCCAAAAGAGGCTGTGTGCCAGAAATGGGTCCCATGGTGATTGGAATATTGTCTGGTGTGTTGTTGAGGGTTCTTTAAGTGATAGATTCATACCTGAGACCCCAGTGGTGGATGTGAGCAAAAGATAGCCTGGCACTTGACCTCATTGCCTCCCTTTATTTTGGGCCTTTCAGGGGCCCTCTTTGAAAAGCAGGAACCACGGCAAGGCAAGTCAAAGGTAAAGCAGTGTTCTCACACCTCATACTGGCCTCTCAGGGGTGCTGATGAGATTCAGATGGTGTCTCAGAGGATATATGTGGTGATGGCAACTCTGAAGAAGGGTGTCCAGTAGTGCTGTTGAGGGGCACTGTTGAATCCCCATGAAAGCAAAAAAAAAAAAAAAATTCACTGCTCACCTGAGAGAACAAGCTTCCCTGTGCTGGAGTCCAAGTAATGTTCAATAATTCCTGTCAGAGGACCCAAAATCCTCCTGGAAAATGTAAACAACCTCAGCTCCCACAATGAGAAAAGCACCACAAGCTAGAGTGCAGCCAGCCTACCCAAAGTCCCTTTTGCTCTCTCAAATCCCTGGCAGCCAAAAGATGTGTGGTGAGGGGCAGTTCCATTCAGCAACAGCCCAGTGAAAGAGACCCTCCCCAATTAGAAGGCCATGCAGACAAGGTGAAACAGAGGCTAGATTACAAGGTCAAAGCAGACATGGCTGTCTTCTTCTCACTTTTCGGGAATCATTCAGCCCTCTGATAGAAATGGGTGAACAACAGTTTCCTTATGATGGCTGTAATGAGAATTTATGGTTTTAAAAAATTCAAAGCTGCACAGTCATTGACACATGACAGTGTTTAGAAAGAGGCAGTAAGACAGTGAATTTTCATAAGGCCCATTCTCTGTGAATTCTGAAATGTTTAGTGTGGAAGTCGTTGAGTCAGACCCTAGGCTCAGCCTAGGAAATCCTAGGCTGATGAGGAACATGGAAGTCAGAAAAGAAGAGGCCAGTGTGGAGGCCACATCCCACACAGCATCAACCCATTCCACTCCCATTTGCCTCTGGGTGTAAAAGGCCTCAAATCCAGGGTTTACCAAGATGGCTTCAATTTGCAGTCCAAATGTTTTTTGCACATTAGAGTACTCCCACCTGAACACTGGGCCAAGGTATGGACAGCTTGTGTAATTAAGGAAATGCAGGGATGGAGTTTAAAGAAGGATCTTTGTCATTTGTATTTATTTTTTTTTTGCAGATGAATTTGCAGAGCCCCATCCACTCCTCACCAGATTGTATCCTCACCCATATCTGAATTTCTCCCTGCTCATATTCTATGTCCCAGGATGATATCCCAAGACAAAGGAGGAGTGCCCCATCATGACATGAAGAACCGCTCAGCTGGGAGCCAAATTCGATGTAAATTCAGGGGTTTCTGCAGAGGACTGCTAGTGTTTCTTTCTGGGTGGGACACAGGACAATGAAACACTGGGAGATGTCTGTTTTTTGGTGTGGTGTGCTTCTCTTCTTTACAGAAGTGTGGTTTTCTTTGCAGGGGCAGGTGATTTGGACATTGGCAGGTCTCTGCCCACCTCTCAATTTGCTGCAGACTCATGATCCACACAAAAATAAATAACACAAAGCCTCACAACTGAAGCAGAGCCACACAGACAGGCCAACAAATGATTGGGAGACTCAAAAAAGATGAAGCCCTGGAGTGTGTTTGCCACATTCCTTTAAGCAGAAGTGACTTACAGGCGCACACACACACACACACACACACACACACAAAATACCACACACACAGGCAGACATCCAACACTTGCAAGAATCCTGAAGAAACACACTGCTTGTTAGCTTCTGACGCTGCATGGTTTTGCTAGATCCCCTTTTGGGAGACAGCAACCCAGGGGAACATGCAGGCTGTAACTAGAAATCACAATGGAACAAGTTTGAAAAAGACTCACCCCTACAACATCTAGGCAGGCCTGAGGAATCCTGCAGATCTTTTGGATCCTTAGGGATTTTGCAATTTATTCCTGGGCCTCTGTTTGATGTTTCTTTTGGCTGGCTCACATCTACTCTCTCGTAGGATCATGGGACTATCTCTTGGATCCCACAGAGAAGACAGGCAAGAGTCCACAGCCGACATACCTACAGGGAGGTCTCCTTCCTCAAGAGGCAGGAACTTGTCTCTAGGCAATGATGACATTCATTGTGATGCTAGCCAGAGCTCACAATGAGGACTGGTGTCCTGAGACTAGTGCATATGCATTCCTGAGGCAGGTACAGGCACCTAGCTGTCAGAGCTATCAGTCTGCCTAAGAAGAGAAAAATTGTGCAGGTAAAGTCAGTCTGGTCTTGGGAAAAAGGTTTCCCATGAGAAACCACTGTCAGACCCCAAGGTCTCGACCTCAGGGCCCCTTCTGGCCATCTCCATGGTCGAGTCTTGCTGGAGGAGGAGGCATTTTGAGACTCTGAGGTGGCGACTAGAAACTGCTCTTCCTACTCCATTCCGAAAGGATGCTTTTTGCAAGAATCCCATCCCATGAGAATCAGAATTTGGTCTGGTGTGTTGTTGAGGGTTCTTTGGGTGACAGAATTATACCTGAGATCCCAGAGATGGGTGTCAGTGAAAGATGGCTGGGCTCTTTACCTCACTGTCTCTCTCCACCCTGGGCCTTGCTGGGGCCCTCCACAAAAGGCAGGAACCATGACAAAGGGAATTCCAAAGAGGGCCAGTGTTCTCACCTCGATCTGGTCTCTCATGGGTGCAGATGAGGTTCAGACAATATCTCAGATGCCCTCTGTGGTGATGGCAAGCCTGAAACTGGTGAACAGTAGTGCAGTTGAGGGGCACTGTGGATTCCCTATGAAAGCAAAGAAACATCAAAGCTCACTTCAGAAAATGACTTGCCTTGAGCTTGCATCCAAGCAATGTTCAATGATTCCAGTCAGAGTATCCAAAAACCTTCTGCAGACTGCAAACAACTTTAGCACTCACAATGACACCACAAACTACAACCTGGATGAAGTCAGCCTACCCAAAGTCCCTTTTCATCCTTGAAATCCCTGACAGCCAATTGGTCTGTGGTGAGAGGCAACCCCATCCAGCAACAGCCCAATGAAAGACCTCATTCGCATTGAGAAAGGACTGGCAGATGCAATGAAACAGGGGCTAGATTACCAGGCAAAAGCCCAACACAGCTGCCTGCTTTTCATGCTAGAGGAATCATGCAGCCCTCTGATAAAAGTGGGAGAACAAGAGTTTCTTTATTGGTGGCTGTAACGAAAACTTACAGTGTTAAAATTATCACATCTTTCCAGTCTTTAAAATGTGACAGTGTTTAGAAGAAAACACTCATGCATTGGATTCCCATGAAGGTCATCCCCCATGAACTGTGAATTGCTTAGTGTGGAAGATGTGGAGCCAGACCCAGGAAGCCCTAGGCCGATGAGGAACATGGAAGTCAGGAAAAGAAGAGACAAGTGTGCAGGGCACATCCCACCCAGCATCAACACATCCCACTCTCATTTGGCTCAGGGTATGAGAGCTCTCAAATCGGGAGCTTGTTAGAACCGCCCCAGCTTGCACTCCAAATGTTCCCTCAACATTGTATTACTCCCACCTCAACACCAGGACATAATATGAACTGCCTGTGTAATTAAGGGAATGTGGGCATGCAGTTGGAAGTACCTTCTGTGTCATCTGTCTTCACCGTTTTTGCAGGAGAATGTGCTGAACTCTATTTACCCCTCACCAGATTGTATCCTCACCCCTATTTTACCTTGTTACTTCTCACACTCTCTGTCCCAGAATGAAATCACAAGATGATGGAGGAGTGCCATATGAGGACATGAAGCACCTACTCAGCTGAGAACAGAATTCAAAGTAAATTCAAAGGTCCCTTCACATAGGACTGCTAGTTTCTCACACTGGGTTGGCTGCAGAACAATGAAACACAGAATGAAACACATTGTTTTGGGGTGTGATGTGCTCCTCTTCTTTCTAGAAGAATGGCTTTTTTTGCAGGGGGAGGTAACTTGAACCTATGCCTCTCTCAGACAGTCTCCTAATTCACTGCAAATTCATAGTCCACAGAAAAATAAGGGACACAGAGCCCTGCAACTCAAGCAGAGCCACACCAACAGGCCACCAAAAGGTGTGGAGTTTCAAAAAAAGGAAGCGATGCAGTGTGTTATCCACATTCCATTAAGCAGACTCCACTTAGCCACACACTAACACATAAACACACACACACAAAGCCACACAAACACGGAGATATCTAACACTTGCAACACTTCCACAGAAGAACACAGCATGGCAGGTTCTGAGTTTGCGTGGTCCTGCAGGAAGCCTTAATTGAAAGACAGGAACTTTGGGGAACACAGGTGGGCTGTAGTTAGAAATCAAAGTGGGGTAGGTTTCAAAAGACTCACTGCTACAACATCTAGGCATGCCTGAGACATCCCGCAGATCTTTTAGATCCTTATGAATTTTGTGGTTTATTCCTGAAGCTCTGCTTGATGTTTCTTCAGGCTTGTTCATATCTGCCTTCTTCTAGGATCATGGAACTATCTTGAGGATCCACAACTCCACAGAGGTCCCCTTCTCTGCCAAGATGTGTAGACTTAGGCCACTGTGGCATTCATTGTGATGCTAGCCAGAGCTCAAAACTAAGGCCTCGTGCCCTGAGACTAGCAAACGTGCATTTGTGTGGATGGCTCATGTACTGGCTGTCAGCCTTCCTAGGCAGAGGAAGATGGTACAAGTAGAGCCGCCTTCATACTGAGAAAAAGTTTGCCTGGGGTAATATCCTGTGGTACTCTAAATGTCTCGACCTTAGGGCTACTTCTTATCGTCTCCGTGGTTGGGTTCCGCTGGAGTATGAGGCATTTCAAGACTGTGAAGTGGTGGGTGGAAACTGTTCTTCTGACTTCATTTCCGGAATAGGCTGTGTGCAAGAATCTGGTCCCAAGGGGATAGGAATGTAGTACCGTGACTTTCCTTGTTGGCAGCGGTAGTGGTAATTTATGATTTTAAAAGTATCAAAGCTGCCCAGTCATTTAAACATAACAGTGCTTAGAAAGAAACACTCACTCAATGGATTCCCATGAGGGTCGTTCTCCGTGCAGGGGGAAACCTTTAGCGTGCAAGTGATTAAGCCAGACTCAGGAAACCATAGGCTGACAAGGAACATGGAAGTCAGGGAAAGAAGAGGCAAACATGAAGGCCACATCCCCATTCAGCATCAGTCCTTTCCAGTCCCATTTGGCTCCAGGTATGAAAAACCCCAAATCTGGAGTTTGTCAGAATGGCCCCAATTTGCACTCCAACTTTTCCTGGCACGTTGCAGGACTCCACTTGAACACCAGGCCATTGCGTGGACTGCTTGTGCAATTAAAAGAATGTGGGGATGGAGTGGGAAACCACTTCTGTGTCATCTGCCTTCATTTTTTTTTTTTTTTTTTTGGCAGGTGAAGTTGCAGGACACCATTTACTCTTCACCAAATTGTATCTTCACTCCTATCTGACTTGTTCACAATCTATTTCACAGAAGGAAATCCCAAAATGATGGAGGAGTGTTTCCTCATGACGTGAAGCACCTGCTGGGCTGGGAACCGAATTCAAGGTACATTCAAGGGGACCTGCAGACAGGACTGCTATTGTCTCTCTGTGGGTTGGCCACAGGAAAATAAAACACTGAGAGATGCCTCTTTTTTGGTGTGGTGTGCCCCTTTTCTTTCTAAAGGAGTCAATTTTCTTGCAGGGTGAGGTGACTTGGATGCCCACATGTATCAGCTCACCTTCAAATTCACTGCGGATTAATAGTCCACAGAAATATAAAGAACATGGACCTCTGGAGCCCAAGCAGACCCACACAGAGAGGCCACCAAAAGTTTCTGAGACTCAAAAAAAAAAAAGTGCTGAAATTCGTTAGCCACATTCCTTTAAGGAGATTCCACTTACAGGCACACACATAAAAACGCGCGTGCACACACACACACACACACACTCTAAGCCACAAACACGTGAAGACATCCAACACTTGCAAAACACTTCCACAGAAACACAGCCTGGCTGCTTCTGAGGCTGCCTGGTTCTGCAGGAAGCTCCACCTGGAGGAATAAACCTAGGGAAAACAGCTCGGCTGTACCTAGAAATCACAGTGGGGTAAGTTTCAAAAAGATTCATCCTACAACCTCTAGGCAAGCCTGCGGCATTGTGCAGATCTTTTTGTATGTGTAGGGATTTCTCAGTCTATTTCTAGGACTCTCCTTGACATTTCTTCAGGCTGGCTCACTGTACCATCTCTTAGGATCATGGGACTGTTCCTTGGATCCCACAAAGAAAACAAGGGAAAGTCCAACACCAAAGCACCTCCATGGAGGTCTCCTTTTCTGTGAAGCTGCAGGAGTTGTCACTAGGCAAAGGTGGCATTCATTGTGACTCTAGCCAGAGACCACAGCTCAGGCCTTGTGCCCTGAGACAAGCACATGGATATTCATGAAGCCAACTCTGGCATCTGGATGTCAGAGCTGTCAGACTGCCTAAGCAGAGGAAAATGGTACAGGCAGAGAATGTTTGGGAGCAGGAAAAAGGCAGCCTGCAATAAGCTAAGGCGGGACCCTAAAAGTCTCCACCTGAGAACATCTTCAGGACACCTCTGTGGCTGGGTCACACAGTAAGGTGAGGTGTTTCGAGATGCTGAGGTGGTTACTGAAAAATTCTCTTCTGACTCCATTTATGAAAGAGGTTGTGTGCAAGAATCAAGTCCCCTGGGGATTGGAATATAGGCTAGTGTGTTGTTGAGGGATCTTTAGTTAATGGAATCATAGCTGAGACACCAGAGGTGGTTGTCAGTGAAAGATGACTGGGTCCTTAACCTCACTGTCTCCCTCCACACTGGGCCTCACTGCCACTCTCTGGGAAAGCCAGGAACACCAACAAAGGAAAGTCCAAAGTGGAGCTCCATTCTCACACCTCCAAAAGGCCTATCATGCATGCAGATGATGTTGAGACAATGTCTCACATGCCCTCTGTGGTGATTGCCAGCCTGGAAAAAGTATCCAGTAGTGCTTTTGAGGGACACAGTGGACCACACATGAAAGGAGTGAAAAATGAAGGCTCTCCTGAGAGAATGAGCTGATTTGTGCTGGAGGCCTAGCAACGTTCCAAGATTTCCATCAGAGGACCCAAAATCCTCCTGCAAAATTCAAACAACCTCAGCCCCCAGATGGAGACCATGACCCACCACCTGGAGCACAGCAATCCTATTCAAAGTCTCTTTTGGTCCCTGAAATCCCTGGCAGCCAAAAGATCTGTGGCAAGAGGCAGTCCTGTCCAGCAACACCCTCCATGATGAGAAAGGACGTGCAACTGAAATGAAACAGAGTCTAGTTTACCAGTTAAAAGCCAGGCACGATGGCCTGCTTCTCATCCTACAGGAATCATGCAGCCCTCTGATATAAGTGGGAGAAAAACAGTTTCCTTGTCAGTGGCTGTAATGGGAATTTATCATGTTAAAGGTATCACAGCTGCCCACTCATTAAAATGTCACAGTGTTTAGAAGGAAACACTCAAGCAATGGATTCCCATGAGGGTCGTCCTCCGCAAAATGGGAAACATTTAGTGTGAAAGACTTAGAGCCAGACCCAGGAAACCCTAGGCCCACAAGAAATAAGGAAGTCAGAAAAAGAATAGGCAAGTGTGAAGGCCACATCCTACCCATCATCAATCCATCTCACTCCCATTTGGCTGCGGGTATGAAAGCCCTCAAATCCGGAGTTTGCCAGGATATCCCCAGTTTGCAATTCAAATGTTCCCTGCCCGTTGGAGTACTTCCAACTGAACACTACGCGATGAGGCTGAAAGCACCTTCTGTGTCATCTGTCTTCATTTTTCTTGCAGGTAAAGTTTTGTCACCCCATGCACCCCTCACAAGATTGTATCTTTACCTCTGTCTGAACTTAATGCTATCCACACTCTATGTCCTAGGGTGAAATCCCAAAATGATTTTTAAAATGTGCCCCCCACCCCAGCAAGATGTGAATCACCTGTTCAGCTGGGAAGGGAATTCGAGGTTAATTCAAGAGACCCTGTGGACAGGACTGCTAATGTCTCTCCTGGGTTTGCCAAAGGACAATAAAACACTGAAAGATATCTATTTTTTGGTGTTGTGTGCTCCTCTTCTTTCTAGAATGGTGGTTTTTATGGCACACACAATGCCACACACACACAGACATCCAACATTTGCGACACTCCTACAGAAATACCCAACCCAGAAACTACTCAGGATGCATTGTTGTGCAGGAAACACCACCTGGGAAAGAGCCCCACAGCCCAAGCAGAGCCACACAGACAAGCCAACAGAAGTTGGGTAGACACAAAAAAAGGAAGCACTGAAGTGCGTTAGCAACATTCCTTTAAGCAGACTGCACATACAATCACACACACGCATATACACAAACACTCAATGCCACACACGCATTCAGACATCCAACACTTGCAACACTCCACCAGAAAGGTTTGGAGACAAAAAAAAAAATGAAGCACTGAAGTGCATTAGCCACATTATTTTAAGCAGTCTCCACTTACAGGCACACAAACACACACAAACAAATACACAATGCCACACACACAGGCAGACATCCAAGATTCACAACACTCCCACACACAAAAAAAAGTTGGATAGCTCCTGTGGCTGCGTGATTCTGCAGGAATCCCAACTTGGGAGAGAGCAACACCAAGAAACACAGGAGAACTGTACCTAGAAATTTCAGTGGGGCAAGTTTCAAAAAGACTCACTCCTACAATGCCTCGGCAGGCCTGAGGATTCCAGCATATCCTTTTGCATCCTTAGGGATTTTGCAGTGTATTCCTGGAGCTGTGGTTGATGTTTCTCCAGGCTAGGATCATGGGACAATCCCGTGGATACCACAGAGACAGGTGACTGTGCATTCTTGAGGAAGGATCAGGCACCTGGCTCTCAGAGCTGTCAGCCTGCTTAAGCAGAGGAAATTGGTACAGGCAGAGCTGGCCTGGCATGGCCAAAAATACTACCTGTGATAACCCACTGCCAGATCGAAAAAGTCTAGACCATAGGGCCATTTTGGCAGTCTCTGAGGTCAGGTTCCACTGAAGGAGGAGTCGCTTTGAGACTGAACTGGCCTTTGTAATCTGCATCTCTGCCTTCATTCCCCAGAGAGGCTGTGTGCAAGATTCCATTCCCATGGGGATTGGAATGCCCTTTGGTGAGTTTTTGATGGGTCCTTTGGTGATGGAATCATTGCTGAGACCCAAGAGGCAGGTGTGAGCAAAAGATGGCTGGCCCCTTGACCTCACTGTCTCCCATCATCCTGGACCTATCAGGGACTCTCCGGGAGAGGCAGAAACCACGACAAAAGCAAGTCCAAGATAAAGTATTGTTCCCACACCTCAAACTGGCCTCTCATGGGTGCAGATGAGGTTGTGACAGTGTATCAGAGGCATCTGTGGTGATAGCAAGCCAGAAAAGGCTATCCAGTAGTGCTGATGAGGTGCAAAGTGGACCCCCCATAAAAGCAAAGAAGAATCTAGGTTCATCTGGGAGAACAAGCTGACTTGTGTGGGAGTTCAAGCAATGTTCAAAGATTTTTGTCAGAGGACCCAAAAGCCTCCTGAAAAGTGTGAACAACATCAGCCTCCACAAGGAGACTGATGACACAAAACCTGGGGCATAGCCAGTCTACACAAAGTTCTTTATGCTTCCTGAAATTCCTGGTAGCCAAAAGATCTGTAGTGAGAGGCAGTCCAATCCGGCAAGATCCAATGAAAGATCCACTCCACAGCGAAGAAGGACGTGCAGATGAAGTGAAACAAAGCCAAGATTACCAGGCAAATGCAGAACGACTGCCTGCATATCCTCCTACAGGAATCATGCAGCCCTCTGATAAAAGTGGGAGAACAAGAATTTCCATGTTGGTGGCTGTAAGAGGAATTTAAGTTTTTACAAGTATCACAGCTGCCCAGTCATTAAAACTTGACAGTTTAGAAAGAAACACTCACGCAGTGGATTTCCATGAGGGTCTTCCTCTGTGAACTCAGAAAGTTTTAGTTTGGAAGACGTGGATTCAGACCCAGAAAACCCTAGGCTGAAGAGCAACATGAAAGGCAGAAAAAGAAGAGGTAAGTATATAGGCCACATCCTATCCAGCATCAATCCAATACACTCTCCTTTGGCTCCGGATATAAAAGCCCACATAGTGGGAGTTTACAAGGATGGCCCCAGTTTGCTCTTGAAATGTTCCCTGCTCGTTGGAGTACTGCCAACTGAACAACTAGCTATGGAGTTGGAAGCACCTTCTGGGTCATCTGTCTTCATTTACTTATCTATTTATTTTTTTGCAGAGATATTGTGGGACCCCATGAACCACTCACCAGATTGTATCCTCAACCCTACCTGAACTTATTGCTGCTCACCCTCTATGTTCCAGGATGAAATCTCAAGGCGATGTTGGAGTGCCCACTCACGACATGAAACACGTGCTCAGCTGTGACCCATATACGAGGTAAAGTCAAGCGGCTTTGCAGACAGTACTGCTATATTTTCTCCCTGGGTTCACCACAGGACAACAAAACACTGGAAGATGTCTTATTTTTGCTGTGGTGTGTTCCTCTTCTTTCTAGAAGAGTGGCATTTTTTTGCAGGGGGAGGTAACTTGAATGCCCATGTGTTTCAACTTGCTTCCCAATTCACTGCAGATTCATGATCCACAGAAAAATAAAGAACATGGAGCCCCACAGCCCAAGCAGAGCCACACTGACCACCCAACAGAATGTTGGGATACTCAAAAAAAGAAGCGCTGAAGTGCATTAGCCACATTATTTTAAGCATACTCCACTTACAGGCACATACACACACACACAATGCCACACACACACACAAACAACACTCACAACACTCCCACAGATAAACACACACTGGCAGCTCCTGAGGCTGCATGGTTCTGTGGGAATCCCCATCTTGGAGACAGCAACCCAAAAAAACATTTGGGCTGTACCTAGAAATCACTATGAGGCAAGTTTCAAAAAGACTCACCCCTACAACATCTAGGCTGTCCTGAGGAATCCTGAAGATCTTTTGCATCCTTAGGGATATTATGGTTTATTCCTGGGGCTGTGCTTGATGTCTCTTCAAGCTGGCTCACGTCTGCCCCCTCCTAGGAATGTGGGTTATGTCATGGATTCCACAGAGAAGACAGGTGAGAGATCAAAACCAACACACTTTCATGGAAATCTTCTCCACCAAGTAGCAGGGACTTGTTGCTAGGCAACGGTGGCATGCACTGTGATGCTAGCCAGAACTCAAAAATCAGGCCTGGTGCCCTAAGACTAGCACATGCACATTCGTGAGGGAGGCTCGGGTGCAGTGCTGTCAGAGCTGTCACCCTACCTAAGCAGAGGAAAATGGTAAAGGCAGAGCCGTGCTGGTGTAAAAAAAAAAACGCTGCCTGCAAACACTCACTTCAGGACCCTAAAACTGTCAAACTGGTGAACACTCCAGGCTGTCTCGGTGGTCGGGTCCTGCTGGAGGCAGAAGCATTTTGTTACTGTGAGGTGGTCACAGGAAACTGCTCTTCTGACTCCATTCAAGAAAGATCTATATGCAAGAATCCGTTCCAGCAGGGATTGGAATATAGTCTGCTGTGTTGTTGACAGCTCTTTCAGTGATAGAATAATACCTGAGACCCCAGAGGTGGGTGTCAGTGAAAGATGGCCAGGCTCTTGATCTCAATTCCTCCCTTCATCCTGAGCCTCGCAGGGCTCTCTGGGAAAAGCCAGAACCAAGACAAAGGCAAATCAAAGTTGGAGTAATGTTCTCACACTATGGCCTGGCCTCTCACAAGTGCAAATGAGTTGAGACAGTGTCTCAGAGTCCAGCTGTGGTGATGGCAAGCCTTGAAAGGGTGTCCAGTATTGCTGTTGATGGGCACTGTGGATTCCCCATGAAAGCAAACAAAAATCAAGGCTCACTACAGAACAAACTGTCTTGTGCTGGAGCCCAAGCAATGTTCAATGATTCCTGTCACAGGGCGCAAAACCATCCTGCAAAGTGCATACATCCTCAGCCCCCGCAAAGAGGCAACAGCCCAAAACCTGGAGAGCAGCCAGAATACCTGTCATTTTTTATGATCTCTGAAATCCCTGGCCACTAAATAATCTGTGGTGAAAGGCAGTCCAATCCAGCAACATCCCAATGAAAGAGCCCCTCCACAATGAGAAGGCCATGCAGATGACATTAAACAGAGGCTAGATTACCAGGAAAAGCAAGACACTGTTGCCTGTATCTCATCCTGCAGGAATCATGCAGGCCTCTGATAGAAGTGAGAGGACAAGAGTTTTCTTGTTGGTGTCTGTGACAGGAATTTATGGTTTTAAACCTATCAAAATGTCCCACTCATTAAATTGTGACAGTGTTTAGAAGAAAACACTAAACAATGGATTCCCATGATGATCATTCTCCACAAACTGGGAAACCTTTAGTATTTGTGCTCCTTTTCTGTCTAGAAGAGTGGCATTTTTTTTTTTTTTTTGCAGGCGGATGTTATTTGGATGCCAGCACATGTTGGCATGCCTCCCAGTCCACTGCAGGCTCATGATTCACAGAAAAATAAAGAACACAGAGCGATGCAGCCCAAGGTAAGCCACATAGACAGGCCATCAACGGGTTGGGAGACAAGAAAGAAAGAAAGAAAGAAAGAAAGAAAGAAAGAAAGAAAGAAAGAAAGAAAGAAAGAAAGAAAGAAAGAAAGAAAGAAAGAAAGAGAAAGAAAGAGAGACAGAGAGAGAGAGAGAGGGAGGGAGGGAGGGAGGGAGGGAGGGAGGGAAGGAAGGAAGGAAGGAAGGAAGGAAGGAAGGAAAGAAGGAAGGAAAGAAGTAAGGGAGAGAGAGAGATGCTGTAGTGTGTTAGCCACATTGTTATAAGCAGACTGCACTTACAGTCACACACACAGAAACACACACACACACCCAATGCCACACAGACACACAGACATCAAACACACAGATATTCAACACTCACAACACTCCCACAGAAACACACAGTCCAGGAGCTCCTGAGGCTGTGTGGTTCTACAAGAAGCCCCACCTGGAGAGAGCCACCCTGGTGAACACAGGGGGCCTGTACTTAAAAATCACAGTGGGGCAAGTTTCAAGAGGACTCACCCCTACAATGTCTAGGCAGGCTGGAGGAATCCTGTAGATCCTTTTGGATCCTTAGGGATTTTGTGGTTTATTCCTGGAGCTGTATTTGATGTTTCTTCAGGCTGGCTCACATATGCCCTCTCCTAAGATCATGGGACTATCTATGGATCCCACAGAGAAGACAGTTGAGAGTTCACCACTGAGACACCTCCACAGAATTCTCCTTTGCCGAGACAAAGGGACTTATTGCTAGATAATGGTGACATTTATACTGAGGCAAGCCAGAGTTCACAATGAGGCCTAGTGCCCTGAGGCTAGTGCATGCACATTCATGAGGCAAGCTGGGGAGCATGGCTGTCAGAGCTATCAGCCTGCCTAAGTAGACAATAATGCTACAGGCAGAGTTGGCCTGGTATCAGGAAAAAGGCTGCCTGTGAAAAAGGCTGCCTGTGAAAAAGACTGCAAGGTCCTAAAACTCCCAACCTCAGGGACCCTCCAGGCCATCGTGGTGGTCGACTTCCACTGGAGGAGGAGGCATTTTGTGACTGTGAGATAGTTTCTAGAAACTGCTCTTCAGATTTCATTCTGGAAAAAGGCTGTGTGCAAGAATTGAGTACCATGGGGATTAAAATATAGACTGGTGTGTTGTTGAGGGTTCTTTGTGTGATAGAATCATACCTGAGACCCCAGAAGTGGATATCATGAAAAGATGGCCAGACTCTTGACCTCACTGCCTTCCTTCAACTTTGACCTCACAGGGGCTCTCTAGGAAAGGCAGAAACTACAACAAAGGCAAGTCAGAGTTGGATCACTGTTCTCCCACCTTGTACTGCCCTCTCTTGGGTGCAGATGAGGTTGAAACAGTGTCTCAGAGGCCGTTTGTTGGGATGGCCAGCCTGAAAATGGTGTCCAGTAGTGCTGTTAAGGGGCAATGTGGATTCCCCATGAAAACGAAGAAAACCCAAGGCTTGCCTGAGAGAATGAGCTACCTTGTGCTGGAGTCTATGCAATGTTCAGTGAGTCCTGTCAAAGAACCCAAAAGCATCCTGCATAGTGCAAACATTCTGAGCCCCCACAACCAATGACATGGAATGCAGCCAGACTACTTGATGACCCTTTTGCTCTCTGAAATCCCTGGCAGCTAAATAATCTGTAGCTAGAGGCAGTCCCATCCAGCAACAGCCCAATGAAAAAGACCCTTCACAGTGAGAATGCCATGCAGATGAAATGAAATAGAGGCTAGATTACCAGGAAAAATTGACACATCTGTGTGCTTTTCATCCTGCAAGAATCATGCAGCCCCCTGGTAGATATGGGAGAACAAAAGTTTTCTTGTTGGTGGCAGTAATGGGAATTTACAGTTTTAACAATGTCAAAGCTTCCCAGTCATTAAAACCTGACAGTGGTTAGAAGAAAACACCCATGCAATGGATTCTCATGAGGATCTTTCTCCGTGAAATGGAAAACATTTGTTGTAGAAGTCACTGAGCCAGACCCAGAAAACCCTAATCCAATGAAGAACACGGATGTCAATATAGGAAGAGGCAAGTGTAAAGGCCACATCACAGCCAGCATCAATCCATTCCACTCCCATTTGTCTCTGAATATGAAAACTCTCAAATCGTGAGTTTGCTTGGATTGCTCCAATTTCTACTCCAAATGTTCCTTGCATGTTGGAGTACTCCCACCTGAACACCGGGTCATGGTGTGGACTGCTTTTGTAATTAAAGGAATGCAGGGATGGAGTTGGAAGCACCTTCTGTGTCATCTGTCTTCATTTTTTTTTCAGGTGAAGTTGTGGGACCCCACCCATCCCTCACCAGATTGTATCCTCACCCCTATCTGACCATACTGCTCCTCACACTCTATTTCACAGGATGAAATCCCAAGTCAATGTAAGAGTGCCCCTCATGACAGGAAGCATCTGCTCAGCTGGGAACTGAATTCAAGGTAAATTTAAGGGGCCTTGTTTACAGGACTGCTAGTGTCTCTCCCTGAGGTGGTTGCAGGACTATAAAATACTGGGATATGTCTGTTTTTTTGTGTGTGTATGGTGTGCTCCTCTTCTGTCTAGAAGAGTGGCTTTTTTGCAGGGGGTGGTGACTTGGAGGTTGGTGCATTTTGGCGTGCCTCCCAGTTCACTGATGGGTCATGATCCACATGAAAATAAACAACATGGAGCTCTGCAGCCCATGTAAACCACACAGACCAAAAATAGGTCATGAGACTCAAAAAAAAAAAAAAAAAAAAAAGGCTGAAGTGCATTAGCACATTCCTTTAAGCAGACTCCACTTACAGGCACACACAGACAATGTCACACTCACATGCAGACATCCAACACTCACAACATTTCCAAGAAATGCACAGTTTGGCAGCTCCTGAGGCTGCATGATTCTGCAGGAAGCTTCACCTGAGACACAGCAACCCTGGCGAAAACAGGCAGATTTTACCTAGAAATCACAGTGCAGCAAGTTTCAAAATGACTCACCCCTACAACGTCTAGGCAGGGCTGAGGAGTCCTGCAGATCTTTTTGGATCATTAGAAATTTTGCGGTTTATTCCCAGAACTGTACTTGATGTATCTTCAAAATGCCTTATGTCTGCCCTATCCTAAGATCATGGGACTATTGCATTGATCCCACAGAGAAGAAAGGCAAGAGTCCACCACCGATGCACGTCCATGGAGGTCTCCTTTTCTGCCAAGATACAGGGTCATGTCGCTTTGCAATGGTGATGTTCATTGTGAAGCTAGCCAGAACTCACAGTCAGGACTGGTGCCTTGAGACTAGCCAATGTGCATTCACTGGGCAGGTTCGAGTGTGCAGCTGTTAGAGCTGTTACCCTGCCTAGGCTCAGGGTAATGGTACAAAAAGAACTGGCCCGGTATCTCAAAAAATGCTGCCTGAGAAAACCCACAGTGGGACCCTAAAAGTCTCAAACTCAGTGCCTATCCAGGCACTCTCCTCTTGCTGGAGGAAGAGGCCATTCAAGACTGTGAGGTGGCTCTGGAAACTGGTCTTCTGACTCAATTTCTGAAAGACGGTGTGTGCAAGAATCAGGTCCCATAGGGATTGTAATATAGTCTGGAGTGTTTTTGAGGGTACTTTAGATGATAGAATCATACCTGAGACCCTAGAGGTAAGTGTCAGTGAAAGATGGCTGGGCTCTTGATCTCACTGCCTCCCTCATCCTGGGTTTTGAAGGACCTCTCTAGGAAAGGCAGGAACCAATAAAAAGGCAATTCCAAGGTGAAGCAGTGTTCTCACACCTCATACTGTCCTCTCTTGGTGCAGATGAGGTTGAGACTGTGTCTCAGAGACCCTCTGTGGAGACGCAAGTGTGAAATGGGTGTTTCAGTGCTGTTGACAAGGAAGAGTGGATGCCCCATGAAAGCCTTGAAAAATCAAGGCTCACTTGAGAGAATGAGCTGCTTTATGCTGGAACCCAAGCAATGTTCACTGAATCCTGTCAGAGGATCCACAGGCCTCCTGCAAAGTGCAAACATCCTTAACCCCCACAAAGAGACAATGACCAAGTATCTATAATGCAGCCAGCCTACCCAAAGTCCATTTGGCCCTCTGAAATCCCTAGCATCTAAATAACCTGTGGTGAGAGTCAGTCCCATCCAGCAGCAGCCCAATGATAGAGCCCTTCCAGAATGAGAAGGCCATGAAGATGAAAGAAATAAGAGGCTAGATTAATAGGCAAAAGCCAGGCATGGCTTCCAGCTTCTCATCCTACAGGAATCATGCAGCTGTGCAATGGAAGTGAGAGAACTAAAATTTCTTTTTGGAGGCTGTAACAGGAATTTATGCTTTTAACAGTATCAATGAGATCCATTCATTAAAATGTGACAGAGTTTAGAAGGAAACACTCACACAATGGATTCCCATGAGGGCAGATTTTCATGAACTGGGAAATGTTTAGTGTGGAATTCATTGAGCCAAACTCAGGAAACCCTAGACCGATGAGAAAAATGGAAGTCAGAAACAAAGAGGAAAGTGTGGAGGCCACATCCCACACAGCGTCATTCCGTTGCACTCCCGTTTGACTCTGGGTATGAAAGCCATCAAATCAGGAGTTAGCCAGGATGGACCCAATTTGCACACCAAATGTTTTTGGCGTGTTGGAGTACTCCCACCTCAACATCGGGCCATTGTATGGACTGCTTGTGCAATTAAAGGAATGTGCGAATGGTGTTGGAAGCACCTTCTGTGTCATCTGTCTTTCTCAGTGTTGCAGGTGAAGTTGTAGGACCCAATCCATCTCTCACCAGATTGTATCCTCACCCCATCTGACTGTATTGCTTCTTACACTGTATGTCCCAGGATGAAATCCTAAGATGATGGAGGAGGGTCCCCTCATGATGTAAAGTACCTGCTCAGATAGGAATCTAATTTGAGGTAAATTCCAGGGGTCCAGTGGACAGGATTGCTAGTGTCTCTCTCTGAGATGGCTGCAGGACAATAAAATACAGGAAGATGTCTGTTTTTTGGTGGGGTGTGTTCCTCTTCTTTCTAGAAGAGTGGCTTTTCTTTTGCAGGGGGAGTTGATTTGGATGCCGGCAGGTCTTGGCATGCCTCCCAATTCACAGTGGATTCATGATCCACAGAAAAATCAAGAACATGAGGTCCCGCAGCCCAAGCAAAGCCATATAGGGTGCCCACAAAAGGGTTACAGTCTAAAAAAAAAAAAAAAAAAAAAAAAAAAGAAGCACTGACGTGTGTTAGCCACATTCTTTTAAGCATTTAAGCAGACTCCACTAACGGGCACACACAAATACAAAACACACACAGTGCCACACACGAACACAGACATCCAACAGTCACAACAATCCCACAGAAAGAAATATCCTGGCAGCACCTGAAGCTGTGTGATTCTGCAGGATGTCCCACCTGGGAGAGAGCAACCCCAGTGAACACAGGCGGGATGTACCTAGATATCATAGTGGGGCAAGTTTCAAGAAGATTCACCCCTACAATGTCTAGCAGGCCTGAGGAATTCTGCAGATCCTTTTGGATCTTAGGGATTTTGTGGTTTATTCCTGGGGCTGAGCTTGACATTTCTTCAGGCTGGCTGAAGTCTGCCCTCTCCTAGGATCATGGGACTATGCCATGTATCTCACAGAGAAGAGAGGTGAGAGTTCAACACTGATGCACCTCCACAAAGGTCTCTTTCTCTGCCAAGCCACAGGGACTTCTCACTATGCAGCAGCCACAGTCATTGTGATGCTAGCAAGGTCTCACAATCAGTCCTGGTGCCCTGAGACTAGTGTATGTGCATTCGTGAAGCAGGCTCAGGTGCCTATTTGTCACAGCAGTCAGTCTGCTTAAGGAGAGAAAAATAATACAGGCAGAGCCAGCCTGGTATCGGAAAAAATATGACTGCAAAAACCCACTGCGGGACCCTAAAAGTCTCTACATCAGAGCCCCTTCAGGCTGTCTCTGTGGTCAGTTTTTCATCGGAGGAGGAGGCATTTTGAGACTGGGAGATAGTCGCTGCAAACTGCTTCTCTGACTGCATTCCCAAATAAGAATGTGTGTGTGCAAGAATCAGGTCACATGGGGATTGCAGTATAGTCTGGTGTGTTGTCAAGGATTATTTTGCTGACACAACCCCAGAGGCTTGTGTCAGCAAAAGATGGCTGAGATCTTGATCTCACTGCCTCCCTTCATCTTGGGCCTAACAGGGGCTCTCTGGGAAAGGCAGTTACAATGACAAAGGCAACTACAAGGTGAAGCAGTGTTCTCACACCTCAGACTGGCCTCCAACGGGCACAGACGAGGTTGAGACAGTGTCTCTGAGGCCATCTGTGGTGATGGCAAACCTAAAAAAGGTGAATATTAGTGCCGTTGAGATTCACTGTGAATTACCCATGAAAGCAAAGAAAAATCAAGACATGTCTGACAGAATGCGATGCTTTGTGCTGGAGTCCAAGCAATGTTCAGTGATTCTTATCAGAGGACCTAAAAGCCCCCTGCAAAGTGCAAACAACCTTAGCCCCCCAATAAGGCAACGACCCATAACCTGGATGGCAGGAGCCTGCCCGAAGTCCCTTTTGCCCTCTAAAATCTCTGGCAGCTAAATAATCTGTGGCAAAAGGCAGTCACATCCAGCAACAGCCCAGTGAAAGTGCCCCTCCACAATGAAAAGGCCATCCAGATGAAATGAAACAGAGGCTAGATTACCAGGCAAAGGCCAGACAAGGCTGTTCATCCTACAGGTATTATGCAGCCATTTGAAAGAAGTGGGAGAAAAAGAGTTTATTTTGGCAGCAGTAATGGGAATTTTCAGTTTTAAAATATCAAAGCTACCCAGTCATTAAAAGGTGACAGTGTTTAGAAGGAAACACTCTGTGAACTGGGAAAGCTTTAGTGTGGAAGTGGTTGAGCCAGACACAGGAAACTCTAGGCAGGTGAGGAATATAGAAGTCAGAAGAAGAAGAGGAAAATGTGGAGGCCACATCCCACCCAGCATCAATCCATTCCACTCTTATTGATCTCTGAATATGAAAGCCCACAAATCGGCAGTTTGCCAGGATGGCCCCAATTTGCCCTCCAAATGTCCATTGTATGTTGCAGTATTCCCACCTTAACACCATGCCATTGTGTGGACTGCTTCTGCAATTAAGGGAATGTGTGGATGGAGTTGGAAACACTTTCTGTGTCATCTGACTTTATTTTTATTGCAGGTGAAGTTACAGGGCCCCAACCACCTTTCACTAGATTGTATCTTCACCTGTATCTGACCTTACTGCTGCTCACACTCTATGTCCCAGGATAAAATCCTAGCATGGTGGAGGAGTGTCCCCTCATGATGTGAAGCACCTGCTAGGCTTGGAACTGAATTCAAGGTGAGTTCAAGTGGCCCTCTGCACAGGACTGCTAGTGTCTCCCCCTGTTTAGCTGCAGGACAATGAAACACCAAAAAATGTCTGTTTGTGGGGGAGTTTTTTGTTTGTTTGTTTTTTTGATGTGGTGTGCTCATCTTCTTTCTAGAAGTGTGGGTTTTTCTGCAGGGGGAGGTGATTTGGACACCAGTGGGACTCAGCCCACCTCCCAATTCATGTCGGATTCATAATTCACAGAAAAATAAAGAACATGAAGCTTTGCAGCCCAGGAAGAGCCACACAGACAGGCCACCAAAAGGTTGGAAGACTCAAAATAACAATAATAATAATAACACTGAAGTATGTTAGCCACATTGCTTTAAGAAGACTCCCTTTACAGGCACACATACACACACAAACACACACAGAGAAACACACAATGCTACACACACACAGAGACATCCAACACTCACAACACTGTCACAAAAACACACAGCCCAGCAGCTCCTGAGGCTGCTTGGTTCTGAAGGTAACCCCACCTGGGAGAGAGCAACCCTGGGGGAACACAGGCAGGCTGTACCTAGAAATCACAATAGGGCAAGTTTCAAAAAGACTCACCTCTACAATGTCTAGACACATCTGAAAAATGTTGCAGATGTTTCTGGATCCTGAGAAATATTGTGGTTTATTCCTGGGCCTCTTCTTGATGCTACTACAGGCTGGCTTACATCTGCCCTCTCCTAGGCTCATGGGACAATCCTGTGGATCACACATAGAAGGCAGGTGAGAATTCATGACTGATACACCTCCACGGACATCTCCTTCTTTGCCAAGATGCAGAAATTGTCACTAGGCAATGGTGAAATTCATTGTGGCACTAGTTAGAGCTCACAGTCAGGCCTGGTGCCTCAAGACTACAGCATGCGCATTTTCAGGCCCTGCTGTTAGAGCTGTCAGCCTGCCTAAGCAGAGGAAAATGATACATGCAGAGCCAGAAAGTTATCCAGGAAAATGCCACCTGTGATAACCCACTCTGGGACCCTAAAAGTCTCATCCTTAGTGCCCCTTTGGCCATCTTTGATGCTGGGTCCCGCAGGATGAGAATGCATTTCTATTTTTAGACTGTGAGTTTGTCGTGAAAAACTGCTCTTGTGACTCCATTCCCGAAAGAGGCTGTGTGCAAGAATTGGGTACCATGGGGATTGGAATGTAGTCTGGTGCATTGTTTAGGGGTCTTTGGGTGATAGAATCCTACCTGATACCCCAGAGATGGGTGTCAATTAAAAATGACCAGGGCCTTAACCTCAGTGCCTCCCTTCATTCTTGGCCTCATAGGATCTCTCTCGGGTAAGCGGGAACCACACCTCAAACTGGCCTCTTACAGGGGCAGATGAGGTTGAGACAGTGTCTCAGAGGCTGTCTTTGGTGATTGTAACCCTGAAAAGGGTGTCCAGTAGTGCTAGTGACTGGCATGAAAGCAAAAAAATCAAAGCTCGTATGAGAGAAAGAGCTGCCTTGGGCTGGAGTCCAAGCAATGTTCAAAGATTCCTGTCAGAGGGCCCTGAAACCTCCTGCAAAGTGCAAACAACCTCATCCCACAAAATGAGACCAAGACACAGAACCTGGGATGCGGCCAGCCTGCCTGAAGTCCCTTGTGCTCCTTGATATCCCTGTCAGCCAATAAATTTGTGGTGAGAAGTAGCCCCATCCACCAACAGCCCTATAAAAGACCCCCTACACAATGAGAAAGGATGTGCAGATAAAATGAAACAGAGCCGGTATTACCAGGTGAAATACAGACACGGCTGCCTGCTTAACCTTTCGATAAAACCTAGAGAACAAGAGTTTCCTTGTTGGCAGCAGTAACAGGAAGTTACTATTTTAAAATTATCACAGCTGCCCAGTCATTGAAATGTGACAGTGTTTAGAAGGAAACACTCACTCAATGTATTCCCCTGAGGGTCAACTTCCATGAACTGGGAAATGTTTAGCATGGAAGACATTGAGCCATACCCAAGAATCCATAGGATGATGAGGCACACGTATGTCAGGATATGAAAAGGCAAGTGTGGAGGCCACATCCCACCTTGTATCAATCAATCTCACTGCCATTTTGTTCTGCCTATGAAAGCCCTCAAATCGATAGTTGGCCAGGGTGGCCGCAGTTTGTACTCCAAATATTCCCTGCACATTGGAGTACTCCCAACTAAACACTGGGCCAAGTTGTGGACTGCTTGTGCAATTAAGGAAATGTGGGAATGCTGTTTGAAGCACGTTTTGTGTCATCTGTCTTTATACTTTTGCAGGTGAAGGTGTGGGACCCCATCCACCCCTCATCAGATTGTATCCTCACGCTATCTGACCTTATTGCTACTCACACTGTATGTCCCAGGATGAAATCTCAAGGTGATGGAGGAGTGAATCCTGATGATGGGAAGTATCTGCTCGGCTATGAACCAAAATTGAGGTAAATTCGTGGGGCCCTGTGGGCAGGACTGCTAGTGTTTCTCCCTGGGATGGCCACAGAAAAATGACACACTGAAGGATTTCTGTTCTTGGCTGTGGTGTGCTGCTCATCTTTCTAGAGGGTGGCTTTGTTTTTTTCCAGCGGTTGGTTATGAGGACCCCGCGTGTCACAGCCAGCCTTGCAATTCACCGCAGGTTCATAATTCACAGAAAAATAAAGAACAGGGAGGCCTCCAGACCAAGCAGAGCCACACAGATGGGCAAACAAAATGTTGGAAGTCTCAAATAAAAGAAGCTCTGCAGTGTGTTATCCACATCCCTTTAAGCAGATTCCACTAACAGGTGCATGCGTGTGTGCACGCACGCACACACACACAAAAACACACAAAGCCAAAAAGCCACACCACACCCAGACATCCAACCCTTTTAACACTCCCTCAGAAACAGAGCCTGGCAGCTTCTGAGGCTGTGTGTTTCTGCAGAAATCCCCACCTGGGAGAGAGAAACCCCGGCAAACACAGTGGGATCTACCTAGAAATCACAGTTGGGTGAGTTTCAAAAAGACTCAACCCTACATCTAGGCAGGCCTGAGAAATCCTGCAGATGCTTTTGTAACCTTAGGGACTTTGCAGTTTATTCCTTGGGCTCTGCTTGAAGTTTCTTCACGCTGGCTCACGTCTGCCCTCTCCTAGGAACATGGATCTATCCTGTGGATCCCCCAGAGAAGACAAGCAAGAGTCCACCACAAGGCACCTCTATGGAGGTCTCCTTCTTGGCCAAGCAGCTGGGACTTGTAGCTGTGTAAGGGTGACATTCATTGTGATGCTAGCTAGAGCTCACAATCAGGCCTGGTGCCTGGAGACTAGCTCATGCGCATTTGAGGGCATGCTCAGTGGCCTGGCTTTCACAGCTGTCAGCCTGTGGAAGCAGAAGAAAATGGTACAGGTAGAGCCAGCTGGTAATGGGAAATAGGCTGCCTGTGATAACACACTGCGGGACCCTACAAGGCTCGAAATTAGGGTCACTTCGGGCTGTCTCTGTGTTCAGTTCCCACAGGAGTAGGAGGCATTTAGAGACTGTGAGGTGGTCGCTAAAAACTGCTCTTCTGACTCCCTTTCCGAAAGAGGCTGTGTGCAAGAATCAGGTCTTATGGGGATTGGAATGTAGTCTGGTGAGTTGAGGAGGGGTGTTTGGGTGATGGAATTATACCTGAGACCCTAGAATTGGGTGTCTATGAATGATGGTTGGGCCCTTAACCTCACTGTCTCCCATCATTCTGGACCTCGCAGGGTCTCTCTGTGAAGCACAGGAACCAAGACAAAGGCAAGTCCAAAATGGAGCAGTGTTCTCAAACCTCAAACTGGCCTCTCATGGGTACAGATAAGGTTGAGACAGTATCTCAGAGGCCATCTGTGGCCATGGCAAGCCAGAAAAGGGTGTCCAGTAGTGCTGTTGAGGGGCACTGTGGACTTCCCAGGAAAGCAAAGAAAAATCAAGGTGTGTGTGTGAGAAAAAGATGGCTTGTGCTGGAATCTAAGCAATATTCAAAAATTCCTGTCAGAGAACTCAAAAGCCTCCTTCAAAGTGCAAACAACCCATAACGAGACAGCGACCCACAACCTGGAGAGGCACTAAACCTACCCAGAGTCCATTTTGCTCACTGAAATCCCTGGCAGCCCATAGATCTGTTGTAA
The DNA here is from genome assembly GCF_000001405.40 of Homo sapiens. NCBI lineage: Eukaryota > Metazoa > Chordata > Mammalia > Primates > Hominidae > Homo > Homo sapiens. Next base: position 22,143,492 of record NC_000024.10, read on the forward strand.
GAGGCAGCCCCATCCAGCAACAGCCCAATGAAAGACCACCTCCACAATGAGAAAGGATGTGCAGATGCAATGAAACACAGTGTAGATTACCAGAAAAAAGCCAAACATCGCTGCCTGCTTCTCTTCCTACAGGAATCATGCAGCACTCCAATAAAATTTGGAGAGCAAGAGTTTCCTTGTTGGCAGCTGTAAAAGGAGTTTATGGTTTTAAAATTATCACAGCTGCCCAGTCATTAAAACGTGACAGTGTTTAGAAGGAAACACTGGAAAACCTTTACCGTTGAGCCATCTGGGAAGATGTTGAGCCAGATCCAGGAAACCCCAGGCTGACAAGGAATATGGAAGACATGAAAAGAAGAGGCAAGTGTGGAGGTCACATCCCACGTTGTATCTATAGGTCTCACTTTCATTTGGAGCAGAGTATGAAAGCCCTCAAATTGGGAGTTTGCCAGGATGGCCCGGTTTGCATTTCAAATGTTCTCTGCACATTGGAGTACTCCCACCTGAACATCAGGCCATAGTGTGGACTACTTGCGTAATTAAGGAAATTTGAGAATGCAGTTGGAATCACTTTCTCTGTCATCTGTCTTCACATTTTTTGCAATTGGAAGTGTGGGACCCCACCCACTTCTCACCAGATTGCATCCTTACCCCTTCTGACCTTATTGCTGTTCATGTTCTCTTTCCCTAAATGAAATCCCAAGATGATCTAGGAGTGCCTTCTCAGGATCTGAAGAAACTGCTCAGTTATGAACTGAATTCAAGGTAAATTCAAGGGCCCTGAGGACATGAATGCTAGTGTTTCTTCCTGGGATGACCACTGGACAATGGAATACTGAAGGATGTCTGTTATTGCGTGTGTTGTGCTCCTTTTCTTTCTAGAAGAGCAGCTTTTTTTGGCAGGCAGAGGTGATGTGGACCTTGGTGTCTCACAGCCAGCCTCCCAGTACACTTTGGATTCATGATCCAGAGAAAATTAAAAAACACAGAGCCCTGCAGCTTAAGCAGAGCCACACAGGCATGTGACCCAAAGGTTGGGAGACTTAAAAAAAAAAATAGTGCTGCAGCGCATTAGCCACATTCCTTTAAGCAGACTTCACTTACAGGTGCGCACACACACACACACACACACACACACACACACACACACATAAACACACAGTGCTAAAAAAAGCCACACCCATACACAGACATCAAAGACTCACAATAATTTTACAGAAACACACCACCCAGCAGTTTCTGAGGCTGTATGGTTCTGCAGGAAGACTTACGTGGGAGACAGCAACTCTGGGGAACACAAGCGGGGTGCACCTAGAAATCATAGCAGTGTCAGTTTCATAAAGATTCACCTCTACATGTGTAGGCAGGCCTGAGGCATCCTGCAGATCCTTTTGGAACCTTACAGATTTTGCGGTTTATTCCTGGGGCTTGGCTTGACATATCTTCTGGCTAGCTCACGTCTGTTCTCTCCTAGGATCATGAGACTATCCTGTGTATCCCACAAAGAAGACAGGCAAGATTCCTTGGCTGATGCACCTCCACAGAGGTCTCCTTCTCAGCCAAGCCTCAGGGAATTGTGGCATTCATGGTGAGGCTAGCCAGAGCTCACAGCTCAGGCCTGGTGCCCTGAGACTAGCACATGTGCATTCACCAGTGGGCTTGGCACTCGGCAGTCAGAGCTGTCAGCCAGCCTAAGCCGAGGAAAATGGTACAGGCAAGAGTGGGCCTGGTACTGGGAAAAAAAAATGCTGTATGCAATAACCCACTGTGGAACCCTAAAAGTCTCATACTTGGGGCCCCTTTCAGCTGTACCCGTGATCTGTTCCCACTGGAGGAGGAGATGTCTAGACTGTGATGGGGTCTCTGAGAACTGCTCTTCTGACTTTATTCCTGAAAGAGGCTGTGTGCAAGAATTGAGTCCCAGGGGGACTGGAATGTTGTCTGGTGAGTTGTGGAGGGTTCTTTGGGTGATAGAATCATACCTGTGACTCCAGAGGTGGGTGACAGTGAAATATGGCCAGGTTCTTAACCTCACTGCCTCCATTCATCCTGAGTCTTGCAGGGGCTCTTGGTGAAATGGAGGAACCATGACAAAGGCAAGTCCAAGGTGGAGCAGTATTCTCACAGCTCTAAGTGGACTCCCACAGGTGCAGGTGAGGATGAGACAGTGTCTCAGAGGACATCTGTGACAATTGCAATCCTGAAATGTTTGTCAGGTAGTGCTATTGAAGGGCACTGTGGACCCCCCATGAAAGCAAAGGAAAATCAAGGCTCACATGAGAGAATGAGCTGCCATGTGCTGTAGTCCAAGCCACGTTTAGAGATTTCTGTCACAGGACCCAAAAGCCTCTTGAAAAGTGCAAACAATCTCAGCCCCCACAAGTAAACCATGACCCCAAACCTAAAGTGCAGTCAGCCTACCCAAAGTCCCTTTTGCTCTCTGAAATCCCTGGAAGCCAATAATTCTGTGGTGAGAGGTAGCCTCATCCAACAACAGCCCGATGAAAGAGCCCTCCACAATGAAACAAGACAAGCAGATGAAATGAAACAGAGCCTAAATTCCCAGGCAAAAGCCAGGTACAGCTGCCTGCTTCTCCTACAGGTATCAAGCAGCCCTCTGATAAAAGCTGGATAACAAGAGTTTCTTTGTTGGCTACTGTTACAGAAATTTAGTTTTAAAACTATCGAAACTGCCTAGTCATTAAAATCTGACAGTGTTTAAAAGAAAACACTCATGAAATGGATTACTTTGAGGGTCATCTTCCGTGAAGTGGTAAATGGTTAACGTGGAAGATGTGGAGCCAGGCCCAGGAGAACTTAGGCCGATGAGGTACATGGAAGTCAGGAAAAAAGAGACAAGTGTGGTGGCCACATCAAACCTCACGTGAAATGATCTCACTTCCATTTAGCTCCTGGTATGATAGTCCTCAAATAGGGAGTTTGCCAGGATGGCTCCAGTTTGCACTCCAAACATTCCCTGCACATTGTGGTGCTCTCAACTGTACACCAGGCCATGGTATGGACTTGCTTGTGTAATTAAGGAAATGTGGGGATACAGTTGGAAGCACATTCTGTGACATCTATCTTCACATTTTTTGCAGGTGAATGTGTGGGACCGCATCCACCCCTCACCAGCTTGTATCCTCACCTTTATCTGATGTTATGGCTGCTCAAAGTATCTGTCCCAAAATGAAATTCCAAGACAATGAAGGAGTGACGTGAAGGTCCTGCTCAGCTAGGAACTGAATATGAAGTAAATTCAAGGGGCCCTGAGGACTGGACTGCTAGTGTTTCTCCATGGGATGTACACTGGAGAATAAAGCAGTGAAATATTTCTGTTCCTGGGTTTGATGTGCTCCTCTTCTTTCTAGAAGAGTGGCTTTTTTTTTTCCTCAGGGGGAGGTTATTTGGACCTGGCAGGTCTCAGCCAGCCTCTCAATTTACAGCGGATTCATGATCTGCAGAAAAATAAAGAACATGGAACCCAGCAGCCCAAGAAAAGCCACAAAGACAGACCACCAAAAGGCTGGGAGACTCAAAAACAAGAAAGCGCTGCAGTGTGTTAGCCACATTTTTTTAAGCAGATTCCACTTACAGGCATGCACACAAACAGGGAAACACACACACAAATGCAGACATCCAACACTCACAACACTCCCACAGAAACACACTCCTGGCAGCTTCTGAAGCTGTGTGGTTCTGCAGGAAGCCCCATGTGGGAGAGAGCAATCCCGGGGAACACAGGCATGCTGTATGTAGAAATCACAGTGGGACCAATTTCAAAATACTCACCCCTACAACATCTAGGCAGGCCTGAAGCATCCTGCAGATCCTTTAGGATTGTTAGGGAATTCACGGATTATTCCTGCGGCTCTGCTTGAGGCTTCTTAATGCTGGCTTACATCTGCCCTCTCACCCTCTCCTAGGATCATGGGACTCTCCCGAGGATTCCACAGAGAAGAGACCACAGTCCACCATGATGCATCTTCACGGAGGTCTCCTTCTCTGCCAAGCCTCAGGGACTTTTCACTAGGCAAAGAGTTATTGATTGTGATGCAAGCCAAAGATCACAGCTCAGGGGTGGTGCCCTGAGGCTAGCAGATGCACATTCGCAAGGCAGGCCCAGGGGCTCAGCTGTCAGAGCAGCCATTCTGCCTAAGCAAAGGAAAATGGTATAGGCAGAGCCGGCCTCATATCAGGAGAAAGGCTGCCTGTGATAACCAACTGGGGGACCCTAAATAAGTCAACCTTAGGACCCCTTCCATCCATCTCCTTGGTCGGGTCCCACTGGAGGAAGAGGTGTTTTGAGACTGTTAGGCTGTCATGCAAAACTGCTCTTTTGACTTCATTCTTGAAAGAGGCTATTTGTAAGAATCAGGTCCCATAGGGATTGGAATAGAGTCTGGTGAGTTGTTGAGGGGTCTTTGTGTCATGGAATCATAAGTGAGACCCCAGAGGTGGTTGTCAGTGAAATATGGCCAAACCCCTGTCCTCACTGCCTCTCTTCATTCTGGGTCCCCCAGGGGCTCTCTGGGAAAGGCATAAACCACAACAAATGCAAGTCTAAGATGGATCAGAGTTCTCACACCTTGAACTTCCCTCTCAGGGATGCAGATGAGGTTGACACATTGTCTTAGAGGCTGTCTGTGGCTATTGCAAGCCTGAAAACTGCGTCCAATAGTGCCGTTGTGGGGCAATGGCGACACCCCATGAAAGCACAAAAAACTCAAGGCTCACCCGAGAGAATGAGCTGACTTTTGCTGGAGTCCAAGCAACATTCAGATACTCCTGTCAGAGTACCTAAAAGCTTCCTCAGAAGTGCAAACAACCTCAGCCTCCACAATGAGACAACGACCCACAACCTGAAGTGCAGCCAGCCTACCTGAAGGCCATTTTGCTCCCTAAAATCGCTGGCAGCCAAAAGATCTGTGGTGAGTGGCAGTCGCATCCAGCAATGGCTGAATGACCCTCTCCACAATGAGAAAGGACCTACAGTGGAAATGAAACAGACCACAGATTACCAGGCAAAAGCCAGACATGACTGCATGCTTCTCATCCTATGGGAATCATGCACCCATCCGACAGAAGAGGGAGAACAAGAGTTTCCCTGTTGGTGTCAGTAACAGGAATTTATGGTTTTAAATGTATTACAGATGCCCAGTCATTAAATTGTGACAGTGTAATCTGTCTTCACCATTTTTGCAGGCGAATATGCATGACTCCAACCACCCCTTACCAGACTGTATCTTCAAACCTATGTGACCTTATTACTGCTCGTACTCTGTGTCCAAGAATAAAATCCCAAGACAATGGAGGATTGTCCCATTGTGATGAAAAGCACGTGTTCAGCTGGGAATCAAATTTGCGGTAGATTCAAGGGGCCCTGAGAACAGGACTGCCAGTGTCTCTCCCTGGGTTTGCTGCAGAACATGAAACACTGGGAGATGTCTGCTCTTGGGTGTGGTTTGCTATTCTTCTTCCTAGAAGAGGGTTTTGTTTTGTTTTGTTTTTTGCAGTGGGACATAATTTAACTTTGGCATGTCTCAGCCAATCTCCCAGTTCACTGTGGATTCATGATCCACACAAAAAAATGAAGAAGTTGTAATCCCATAGACCAAGCAAGGCCACACAGACAGGCCACCAAAAGTTAGGAGTCTCAAAAATAAGAAGTGCTTTAGGGCAATAGCCACATTCCTTTAAGAGATTCCACTTACAGGCACACAGATACACACACACACACACACCCCAACACTCACAACACTCCCACAGAAACACACAGCCCAGCAGCTTCTGAGGCTGCATGGTTCTGCAGGAAGCCCCACCTGGAAGAGACAATGCCTAAGGAACACAGGCTGGCTGAAACTAGAAATCACAGTGTGGCAAGTTTCAAAAAGACTAACTGCTACAATGTCTAGGAAGGCCTGAGGCCTTTTTCAGATCCTTTTGGATCCTTAGGGATTTCACAGTTTATTCCTGGGGCTCTGCTTGATGTTTCTTTAGGCTGGCTTGCACCCAGCATCAATCGATTCCACTTTCATTTGGCTACAGCAATGAAAGCCCTCAAATCAGGAGTTTGCCAGGATGGCCCCAATTTGCACTCCCAATCTTCCTTGCATGTTGGAGGACTCCCACTTGAACAGCGGGCCTTGGTGTGGACTGCGTGTGCAATTAAGGAATGTGGGGATGGAGTTGGAAGCATCTTCTGTGTCATCCGTCCTCTTCTTCTTTTTTTTTTTTTTTTTGCAAGTGAAGTTGCAGGACCCCATCCGCCCCTCTCCAGATTGTATCCTCACTCCATCTGACCTTATTGATTCTCACACTATATGTCCTACAATGAAATCCCAAGATGATGGAGCAGTGCCCCCTCATGACATGAAGCACCTGCTAGGCTGGGAACCAAATTTGAGGTAAATTCAAAAGGCCTGCAGATGAGACTGCTAGTGTGCTCCCTGGGTTTCCCACAGGACAATGAATCTCTGGGAGACATCTGTTTTTTGGGTGTGGTGTGCTCATCTTCTTTCTAAAAGGGTGCCTTTTTTTTTTTTTTTTTTTTTTTTTTTTTTTGCATGGGGAGGTGATTTGGATGTTGGCATGCCTTGGCCCAACTCCCAGTTCTTTTTGAATTAGTGATCCACAGAAAAATAAAGAACACTGAGCCCTGCAGCCCAAGCAGAGCCACACAGACATGTCAACAAAAGGTTGGGAGACTCAAAAAAAAAAAAAAAAAGAAGGACTGAAGTTCTTTAGCCACATTCCTTTAAGCACACTCTACTTACAGGCACACACAGACATACACATAGACACACAAACCCAAAATAACACACACACACACGCAAACATCTATCACTCACAACTTTATCACAGAAACACACAGCTCAGCAGCTCCTGAGGCTGCTTGGTTCTGCAGAAAGCCCCACCTGGGAGAGAACAACCCTGGGGAACACAGGTGGGATGTACCAAGAAATCAGAAAGGGCCAAATTTCAACAAGAGTCATTCCTACATCTAGGCAGGCCTGAGGAAACCTGCAGATCACTTTGGATCGTTATGGATTTCACAGTTTATTCCTAGGGCTGTGCTTGACATTTCTTCAGGCTGGCTCATGTCTACAGTCTCCTAGGATCAGAGGAATATCCAGGGGATCCTACGGAGAAGATAGGGGAGAGTCCACCCCCAATGCTCCTCCGTGGAGGTCTCCTTCTCCGCCAAGCTGCAGGGACTTGAGAGTAGGCAATGGCAAAGTTCATTGAGACACTAGCCATAGCTCACAGTTAGGCCTGGTGCCCTGAGACTAGCACATGTGCATTTGTGAGGCAGGCTTGGGAACCTGTGTGTCAGAGCTGTCAGCCTGCCTAAGCAGAGGAAAATGGTACAGCCAGAGCTGGCCTGGTATCGGGAAAAAGGCTGCCTGTGAAAACCCACTGTGGGATCTCAAAATGCTCAACCTCAGGGCGCTTTTGGTGGATCTCCATTGTCAAGTTCCACTGGAGAAGAAGGCGTTTTGAGACTGTGAGATAGTCGATGGAAACTGCTTTTCTGACTCTATTTCTGAAAGGGCTGTTTGCAGGAATCAGGTCCCATTGGGATTGGAATACTGTCTGGTTTGTTTTTGAGGGTTCCTCAGATGACAGAATCACATCTGATACCCCAGAGTTGGATGTCTGCAAAAGATGTCTGGGATTTTGACCTTCCTTCCTCCCTTTATTCTATGCCTTACAAAGGCTCTTTGAGAAAGGCAGGAACCAGAAGAGAGGCAAGTCCAAGGTAAAGCAGTGTTCTCACACCTCAGACAGGAGGCTCACGGGTGCAGATGAGGTTGAGACAGTGTCTCAGTGGCAGTCTGTGGTGATGGCAAGCCTGAACAAGCCTGGACGGTAGTGCTGTTGAGGGGCACTGTGGATTCCCCATGAAATGAAACAAACAAAAAAATCAATGCTCGCCTGAGAGAACGAGCTGCCTTGTGCTGGAGTCCAAGCAATGTTCAATGCTTCCTGTCAGAGGACCCAACACCCTCCAGCAAAGTGAAAACCACCTCATCCCACACAACCAGAAAACAACCCACAACCTAAAGCACAGCCAGCCTACACGAAGTCCCTCTTTCTCTCTTAAATAGCTGGCAGCTAAATAATCTGTGGCAGGAGGAAGTCACATCCGACAAAAGCCCAATGAAAGAGACCATCCACAATGAGGAGGCCAAGCAGATAAAATAAAACAGAGGCTTGACTGCCAGGCAAAAGCTAGACATGACTGCCTGCTTCTTATCCCACAGGAATCAAGCAGCCCTCTGATAGAAGTGGGAGAACAAGGGTTTCCTTGTTGGTGGCTGTAACAGGAATTCATGGTTTTAAATGTCAAAACTGCCAAGTCATTAAAATGTGAGTGTTTAGAAGGAAACCCTCATGCAGTGGATTCCATAAGGGTCTCTCTTCATGAACTGGGAAACATTTAGTGTGGAAGTCCTTGACCCAGACACAGCAAACTCTAGGCCGATGAGGTACATGAATGTCAAAAAAAGAAGAGGCAAGTGTGAAGGTCCACATCCCACGCAATGTCAATCCATTCCACTTACATTTGGCTCCAATTATGAAAGCCCTCAAATCAGGAGTTTGCCAGGATATCCCCAATTTGCACTCCAGGTGTTCCTTGCACGTTGGAGTACTCCCACTTGAACAATAGGCCATGGTGTGGACTGCTTGTGCAATTAAGGGAATGAGGGGATTGTGTTGGAAGCAATCTGTGTCATCTGTCTTCATTTTTATTGCAAGTGAAGTTGCAGGACCCATCTACTCCTTACCAGATTGGATCCTCCACCCTGTCTGACCTTACTGCTGCCCACACTCTGTGTTCCAGGATGAAATCACAAAACTATGAAGGAGTTCCCCACAACGATGTGAAGCACCTCCTCAGCTGTCAACTGAATTCAAGGTAAATACAATCAGCTCTGCAGACAGGACTGCTAGTGTCTCTACCTGGGTTGGCTGCAGGACAATGAAACACTGGAAGATGCCTGTTTTTCGGTGTGGTGTGCTCCTCTTCTTTCCAGAAGAGTGGCTTTGTTTTTACAGTGGGAGTTTATTTGGATGCCAGCGGGACTTGGCAAGCTCCCAACTGTGGATTCATGATCCACAGAAAAATAAAGAACACACAGCCCAAGCAGACCCACACAAACAGGCCACCAAAAGGTGTTGAGACTCAAATAAAGTAGCACTGAATTGGGTTATCCACATTTCTTTAAGCAGACTCTACTTACAGGCACAAACACACACACACACAACACAAACACACAGTGCCACACACACACATGCAGACATCCAACACTCGCAACACTCCCACAGAAACACACAGTGATGCAGCTCCAGAGGCTGCATCATTCTGCAGGAAGCTCCACCTAGGAGAGAGCAACCCTAGGAACAGAGGTGTGCTGTGCCTAGAAATCACAGAGGGGAACGTTTCAAAAACACTGACCCCTGCAATGTGTAGGTAGGCCTGAATAATCGTGTGGATACTTTTGGATCCTTAGGGACTTTGTGGTTTATTCCTGTGGCTGTGCTTGATGTTTCCTCAGGCTGGTTCACATCTGCCCTCTCCTAGGATTATGGAACTCTCCCGTGGATCCACAGAAAAGACAGGCGAGAGTCCACCATGGACACACCTCCACAGAGGTCTCCTTCATTGACAAGTCGCAGGAACTTGTTGCTAGGCAACGGTGACATTAATTGTGATGATAGCCAGAGCTCACAATCAGGAATGATGCCCTGAGACTAGCTCATGCGCATTCATGAGGCGGCCTTGGCACCTGGCTCTCAGAGCTGTCAGCCTTCCTTAGCCGAGGAAAATGCTACAAGCAGACCTAGCCTGGTATCAGAAAAGGGATGCCCGCAAAACCACTGGGGGACAGTAAAAGTCTTGACCTCACATCCCATTCAGGCCATCTCTGTGGTCAGGTCCCGCCAAAGGAGGAAGCATATCAATACTGTGAGGTGGTCTGTGGAAACTACTCTTCTGTCTCCCTTTTTGACAGAGGGTGTGTGCAAGAATCGGGTCAGGTGGAGATTGGAATAAAGTCTGATGTGTTGTTGACGGTTCTTTCGATGATAGAATCATACCTGAAGCCCCATGGGCTGGTGTCAGTGAAAGATGGCCGGGCCCTTGACGTCACTGCCTCCCTTCATCCTGAGCCTCTGAGGGGCTCTGTGGGAAAGGCAGGAGCCACAGCAAAGGGAAGTCCAAGGTGGAGCACAATTCTCACAACTTGGACTGACCTCTCACAGGTGAAGATGAGGTTGAGATCAGTGTCTCAGGGGCCGTCTGTGGTGATGGCAAGCCTAAAAAGGGTGTCCAGTAGTGCTGATAAGGGGCACTGTGGATTCCCCAAGAAAGCAAACAAACATTAAAGCTCACCTGAGAGAATGAGTTGTCTTGTGCTGGAGTCCAAGCAATGTTCAATGATTCCTGTCAGAGGACCCAAAATGCTCCTGCAAACTGCAAGCAACCTCAGTCCCCCAAACAAGACCATAAACCACAAACTTGAGCACAACCAGCCTCCACAAAGTCCCTTTTGCTCTCTGAAATCCCTGCTAGCTAAATAATCTGCGGCAAGAGGCAGTCCCATCCAGCAACAGTTCAAGAACCCCCCTCCACAATGAGAAGGCCATGCAGATGAAATGAAACAGAGGCTAGATTACCAGGTAAAAACCCACACATGGTTGCCTGCTTCTCATCCTACAGTAGTCATGCAGCCCTCTAATCGAAGTGGGAGAACAAGAGTTTTCTTGTTGGCGGGTTTAATGGGAATTTATGGTTTTAAAAGTATTAAAGGTGACCAGTCATTAAAATGTTACAGTGTTTAGAAGGGAACAATCACCCAGTGGATTCCCATGATGGCCATTCTCTATGAACCGGGTAACCTTTCGTGTGGAAGTCATTGAGCGAGACCCAGGAAACCCTAGGCTGATGAGGAACATGAAATTCAGGAAAGGAAGAGGGATATCTGGAGGCAATATCACATCCAGCATCAATCCATTCGACTTCTATTTGACTCTGGGTATGAAAGCTTTAAATCAGGAGTTTGCCAAGGTTGCCCCAATTTGCACTCCAAGTGTTCCTTCCACGTTGATGTACTCCCATCTGAACATATGGCAATGGAGTTTGAAACACCTTCTGTTTCATTTGTCTTCTTTTTTTTTTTTTTTTTTTTTTTTTGCATGTGAAAGTGTGGGACACTATCCACTGCTTACCAGATTGTATCCTCACCCTTATCTGACCTCATTGCTGCTCACACTCTATGTCTCAGGATGAAATCCCAAGAAAATAGAGGAGTAACCCCTCATGATGTGAAGCATCTGCTCAGCTGTGAATTGAATTTGAAGTAAATTCATGAGGACCTGAGGACAAGACTGCTAGTGTGTCTCCCTGTGTTGGCCACACGGAAATGAAACACTGGGAGATGTCTGTTTTTTGGTGAAAGAATCTGATTTCATGGGTATTGGTATATAGTCTAGCTTGTTGTTGAGTGTTCTTTGGCTGATAGAATTATACCTGAAACCCCAGAGACTGGTTTCAGTGGAAAATGTCTGGACTCTAGATCTCACTACCTCATCCTGGGTCTTGTAGGGGCTCGCTGGAACAGGCTGGAACCAAGACAAAGGCAAGCATGTGATGGAGGAGTGTTCTTGCACTTTGGACCTTCCTGTCACGGGTGCAGATGAGGTTGAGTCACTATCTCAGAGACCATCTGTGGTGACGACAAGCTTGAAAATCATGTCAAGTAGCACTTTTGAGGGGCATTGTGGATTCCACCATGAAAACAAAATAACAAAAAAAATCATGGCTCGCATGAGAGAATGAGCTCCTCAGGCTGAAATTTAAGCAATGTTCAATAATTCCTGTCAGAGGACCCAAAACTCTCCTGCAAAGGGCAAACAACCTCAGCCCCCATGAAGAGAAAATTACCCACAACAAGTAGCACAGCCATTTTTCCTAAAGTCCTTTTTGCTTTGTGAAATCCTTGGCAGCTAAATAATCTGTGGCATAAGGCAGTCCCATCCAGCATCATCCCAATGAAGAGTCCCTCCACAATGAGAATGCCATGCAGATGAAATGAAACTGAGGTTATACTACCAGGCAAATCCAGACACGGTTGCCCACTTCTCATCCTACAGAAATCATGTGGCATTCAATAGAAGTGTGACAATAAGACTTTCCTTCTTGGTGGCTGTAATGGAAATTTATGGTTTTAAAAGTATTAAAGCTGCACAGTTATTCAAACCTGAAAGTGTTTAGAGGGAAATACTCATGCAATGGATTCCCATGAGGATCATTTTCCATGAACAGAGAAATATTTAGTGTGGAAGTTGTTGAGCCATACCCAGGAACCCCTAGGTCAGTGAGGAACATAAAATTCAAAAAGAAGAGGCAAATGTTGAGGCCACACCTTACCCAGTATCAATCATTTCCACTCCCCATTTAGCGTTGGGTACGAAAGCCCTCAAATCAGGAGTTTTCCAGGATGCCCCCAACTGGCACTCCAAATATTTCTTGCATTCGAGTACTCTTACCTCAGCACCTGGCAATGGTGTGGACTGCTTTTGCCATTCGAGTACTCTTACCTCAGCACCCGGCAATGGTGTGGACTGCTTTTGCAAATAAGGGAATGCGGGGATGTATTTGGAAGCACCTTCTGTGTCATCTGTCTTCGTTTTTTTTTGTTGTTTTGTTTTGTTTAGGTTTTGGTTTTTGCAGGTGAAGTTACAGGACACCATCCATTCCTCAGCAGATTGTATCCTTTCCCCATCTGACCCGATTTCTACTCACACTGTAAGTCCCAGGATGAAATCACAAGATGATGGAGAACTGCCCTCTCATGATGTGAAGCATGTGCTCAGCAGAGGACAAATTCGAGGTAAATTCAAGGGGCCCTTTGGACAAGACTGCTATTGCCTCTCCCCAGTTTGGCCACAGTACAGTGAAACTCTAGGAAATGCCTGTTTTTTTGGTGTCATGTGACCCTCTTCTCTCAAGAAGAGTGGCTTATTTTGCAGGGGTGGGTATGACTCAGATGCCTGCACATCTCAACCCGCCTCCCTATTCACTGAGGATTCATGATCTACAGAATAATAAGGAACATAGAGCCCCACAGCCCAAGAAGAGCCACCAAGACAATCCACCAAAGTGGGGAGACAAAAAAAAAAAAAAAAAAAAAAAAGAATTGCTGAAGTGTGGTAGCCACATTCCTTGAAGTAGACTCCACTTATAGGCACACACACAGAAATCCAACCCTCACAATACTCCCTCAGAAACACACAGCCCGGCAACTCCCAAAGTTGTGCAGTTTTGCGGGAAGCCCCAACTGGGAGAGAGCAACCCCAAGGAAAAAAGGCAGGCTATACCTAGAAATCACAGTGGGGCCAGTTTCAAAAAGACTCACCCCTACAACATCTAGGCAGGCCTGAGGAATCTTGCAGATTATTTTGTATCCTCAGGGATTCACAGTTTATTCCTGAGGCTCTGCTTGACATTTCTTCAGGTTGGCTCACATCTGCCCTCTCCTTGGAACATGGGACTATCTGGTCGATTCCACAGAGAAGACAGGACACAGTCCACCAAAGACACATCTCCACGGAAGTCTCTTTCTCTGCCAAGGCACAGGGACTTGTCACTAGGCAATGGTGACTTTCATGGTGAGGCTAGCCAGAGGCTTTTAGACTAGGGCATGCGCATTGTGAGGCAGGCTCAGGTGCCAGGCTGTAAGAGCTGTCAATTGCCTTAAGCAGAGGAAAATGGTACAGGCAGAGCCAGCCTGGTATCAGTAAAAACACTGCCTGTGAAAACCCACTTTGGGACCATAAAAGTCTTGACCTCAAGGCCCCTTCGGGTCATCTCCATGGTAGGATCCCACTGGAGGATGAGGTGTTTCAAGACTGTGAGGTGGTCGCTGGAAACTGATCTTCTGGCTCCGTTTCAGAAAGGGGCTGTGTGCAAGAATTGGGTCCCATGGGTTTGGGATATTGTCTGGTGTGTTGTTGAGGGTTCATTGAGTGATAGAATCATACCTGGGACCCCAGAGGTTCGTGTCAGTGAAAGATGGCTGGGCTCTTGACCTCACCCTCTCCCTTCATCCTGGGCCTTGCAGAGGCTCTCAGGGAAAGGTAGAAACTACAAAGGCAAATCCAAGGTGGTGCATGTCCTCACACCTCAGACTGGCCTCACATGGTTGCAGGTGAGGTTGAGAGAGTGTCTCAGAGGCCATCTGTGCTGATGGCAGCCTGAAAATAGTGTCCAGTAATGCTGTGAAGGGGCACTGTGGATTCCCCATGAAAGCAAACAAAAATCAAGGCTCTCCTGAAAGAAACAACTGCATTGTGCTGGAGTTGAAGCAAGGTTCAATGATCCTTGTCAGAGGAACCAAAAGCCCCCTGTAAAGTGCAAACAATCACAGTCCCCACAATGAGACAATGACCCACAACCTGCAGAGCAGCCAGACTAGCCGATGTCCCTTTTGCTCTCTGAAATTCCCAATAGCTACATAATCTGTGGCAAGAGGCTCTTCCATCCAACAACAGCCCAATGAAAGAACCCCTCCACTATAAGAAGGCCAGGCAGACAAAATGAAACAGAGGCTATATTATCAGGCAAAAGCCAGACACGGCTGCCTGCTTCTCACTCTACAGGAATCATGCATCCCTCCAATAGAAGTAGGAGAAGTATCAAAGCTGCCCTGTCATTAAAACATGACAGTGTTTAGAAGGAAATTCTCATGCAATGGATTCCCATGAGGGTCATTCTCTGTGAACTGGGAAATGTTTAGTGTGGAAGAGGCCAAGCCAGACCCAGGAAACCCTAAACTGATGAGTAACATGGAACTCAGGAAAAGAAGAGGCATGCATGGAGGCCACATCCCACCCAGCATCAATACATTCATCTTCCATTTAGCTCCAGGCGTGAAGGTCCTCAAATCGGGAGTTTGCCAGCATGGCCCCTATTTGCACTCCAAATATTCCTTGCACATTGGAGTACTCTGACCTGAACACCGTGCCATGATGTGGACTACTTGTGCAATTAGTGGAATGTGAAAATGGAATTGGAAACACTTCTGTGTAATGTCTTCATTTTTTGCAGGTGAAATTGGGGGACCCCATCCAGCCCTCACCACATTGTATCATTACCCCTTTCTAACCTCATTTCTGCTCATACTCTATGTCCCAGGATGAAATCCCAAGACGCTGGAGGAGTTTTCCTTTAAGACATGAATCACCTATTCAGCTGGGAACTGAATTCAAGGTAAATTCATGGGGCCCATGGGATAGGACTGCAGGGGCTCTCCCTGGTTTGGCTGCAGGACAATGAAACACTAGAAGATGCCAGTTTTTTGGTGTGGTGTGCTCCTCTTCTTTCTAAAAGACTGAATTTTTTTGCAGGGGGAGGTGATTTGTACACATGCCTCCCAATTCACTGTGACTTCATGATCCACAGAAAAATAAAGAACACAGATCCCCACATCCCAAGCAGAGCCACACAGACACACCACCAAAAGGCTTGGCGATGGCAATCCTGAAAAGTATGTCCAGTAGTGCTGCTGAAGGGCAAGACGGTGAGTAAGACCAAGCAAACCCTAATTTGATGAGGAAGATGGAAGCCAAAAAAAAAAAAAAAAAAAAAGAGGCAACTGTGGAGGCCACATCCCACACAGCATCAATCCATCCTACTCCCATTTGGCCCAGTGTATGAAAGCCCTCAAAGTGCAAACCCCTAGGTTTGCACTCCACAGGTTCACGGCACGTTGGAGAATTCACACTTGAACACTGGACCTCGGTGTGCACTGCTTGTGCAATTAAGGGGATGTGGGGATTCAGTTGGAAGCAACTTCTGTGTCATCTGTCTTCATCTTTTTTGCAGGTGAACATGCGGGATACAATCCACACCTCACCAGGTTCTATCCTCTTTTCTATCTGACCTTATAGCTGTTCACACTCTCTGTCCCAGAATGAAATCCCAAGATGATGGAGAGTGCCTCCCCATGACATTAATCACCTGCTTGGCTAGACTCATGTATTGATTAATTATTCTTATAGTTGTTTGTATTCATTGTGAGACACAATGCTTCATTTTTCTTCCTTATTCTTCACCATTTATTTTCTTCTCAGATTAGTTATAGTTTGTAACTTACTTTGTCAAATATATGCAATAAGGTAACACTGCAGTATTGTAGAAAGCACACTGCATTGGAAGCAGACTCATTAAAATGGGAAAACCTCTCTTATTACCTGCAGCTGGGCGATCAGTGAGGACAGGTTGCGGGGCTCTGACCCTAGGCAGCATCTAGGGGTGAATGCATACAGCTCCTGAATCCCTAGCGGGCATGTGTTGCACGGTGTTAATTTAGTTCATCCATCTGTAGACTACTAGTGTTAGTTCAATTAGACATCCAGCCTTACTGCAAAGACAGAGGGCTTTCTGGATCCTGGGATTACCTGCCTTGGTGTACCTGAAGAATTGGCTCCCATGTGGGTTTGGAGAATAAGTGCAAGTTTTCATTGATTGGAAGTGTTCAGAAAATCGATGGGGAGCCAGAATGGAGATGGAATGGGAAGGTGGTTTTCTCTCGGAATGGGGCAGCTCAGTGCTCTCCTCCCACAGCCCCATGAAACTTCGTGTTCTTCTGCAGTGGATGGCCTGCAGCCTCAGTCCTTGTGCTCTCCTTTCTCTGGTGTCCTCTCCAGGTCCAGATGTTGTGTCTTCTTCTGGTGATCATTCCTCTAAAAGTCCAGCTGCTGTGTATCTCCCTGCTAGCGTCTCAGGATTTCTTATAGAACAGGATGGGAGTATGGCAGGCGAGGGTGGTCTTGGAAAATGCAACACTTGTGCAAAAAAACCCAGAAACACATGTCCTCACCAATTTAGGCAAGAAAACAGAGGTGCGTGTCTTCAACTAAGTCAGTGAGCACAGGCCTGATGGTGGAGCCCTAGCCAAGAACCACAGCCTTCTCTACCAGGCACTTCTCTGCCCCTCTTCCATATCAATATTTTTTAAATTTAAAACTCCAAAATAGTACCCAAATCCTTTACAGATGACAACTGGAGAAAATGGCATTTGAAGAGCCAGTCTGGGATTAGGGTCACTATATGGAAAATGAAAACAGAGAGAGCATGTCCTGTAGGCATGGAATCACTGCAGAAACATATCCCTTATTGAGAAAGAGAAGGAAACAAACTGACTTCTCATATCTTCTTGTTCTCTAATCTCTGCAGTGTCACCCCTTGACTGAACTGAAACAAGAAGTAATTTTTATAGGAGCCTAGGAACCATGCCTTCCTGGGGCCAGGCCTCTCTCTATTACAGAACAGTGCCAGGGAGAAGGGAGTGATATAGCTGTGGGCATGCAAACCCAGGGCCTCCCACAAAGGAGTATTAGAGACAAATACAGTGTCAGGAGATAAAGAGAGAATTACTCTCAGGAATGATTCATTCATGATATTCGTGAAAAGACCAAAAAGTAAAACAGCTTGTGAGGTAGTAAACATAAAAAGATCATAAACAAAAGCAGGCAAAATTGTAAAGTCCAGGGTATTTACCTTCCCTTTATAGGATTTTAATGATCCCTTCCAGAAGCCTTTTCCCAATATCTTCCATTCATGGATTCATTCAAGAAATATTTATTGAGCTAGAATGCTCTAAGCATTCGGCAGATGGCATCATATGCACTGTTGGTACTTCTATCATTGATAGAAAGAATGTTTCTTTTTTCTCTACAACGTTTTCTCGCAAACATTCTTCTCGAAAATTTGTATCCTTACAGATGCGATCAATTGTTCCTTCCCTAAGGTTCTCCACACCCCTGTTAACGCAGTTAAGAACTTCCTTCCTCTGCAACTAAGTTACTAAATTGTATATATTGTAACACTTGCCAGAGTACATTCCAATTATGGCTGTTTTCTTCATTCTCCAATTAAACTATGAATATTTTGAAGGAAAAGTCTATAAACACAATGGCTTGACATTTGTCAACATTTATTGCACAAAAGGTTATTAGATATTTATATATAACATTATAATACATTCATCCTAATTTCTGGAAAACAATATAAACAATCACTCTCCACTCCCCCATTGACTGCTCAACTTTAAACAATGTCTCTACTTTTAGAGCAATTATACAAACTTCCAAAAAACACCTGAAAGTGTTTTTATTTTAATTTATTTTGTTTTTTATATTGAATTATTTTGTAGAGACAAAGTCTTGCCTCATGGCCCAGGCTGAAATGCAGTGTGTGATAACAGCAAACTACAACTGTGAACTCCTAAGTGGAACAACAGATGTGTGCCATCATGCCCAATTTAACTAATTAAATATTTAGTTACATTTTAAAAATGGTTCTTGCTGTGTTGCCTATGCTGCTGTCAAACTCTGGGTTTGAAGCAGTCCTCCCTTCTAAGCCTCCCAGAGAGCTGCAATTCCAGGCATGAACAACCAGACCTCAAAGAGGAAATTTTAGATTTTAGAATATTGCAATATATTAGACTTAATTTCTTCTTTCAGTTTTGCATTTGCAGTGGCACTTGAGAATAATTATTACTTATGGTGAGAGTGTGATTTCTCATATTTGGTCACCAGATTTTGAAATCTTTATTCTGTTTGCTTAAATCCTAATAACTGGTAGTCAACTCAGCTGAAAGTCAAGTACATGGGTGACTTGTTTTGAGGCTATGGAGACAAATGTACAGATGTATTAAGAACCAAAGACTATTTTTTATATAGGCTAAAGCTTTATCCTTGCTGGTGAAGCATCATACGTGGCATGGATAGTTTTATAAAATACCCTGAAATACATACTTTAGTAAGCAATTTAGCACTCACAATTTCCCAACTTTGTTTTCATCTGAAGTTAATGATGTATGGCACTTCTAGTAAGTAAATGAATGTTTGAATTGCTGTGAGTTATTTTAGTCATTTCTCAGTTAACCATTTAAGTTATCAAAGATCTTTACTTGTGCAATATCATAAATGATAGACATTAAAAATGAATCAACAGAATTGATCTAACTAAAAGCTGTCATCTAATGTGATATTTTTTCAGTAAGATGACAGCAGTAATTATGCCAAAAAAAATAGTCATTCCCCTAGCTTGAGCCATTATAGCAACTTCTAACCAAAGATTTCACAGGCAGGGTCCAGATCTGGGCAACAGTTATTAACATAATGGTTATTGTTGAGAATAAATTTTGATACGTCTAGCTGTGCTTGGATGTCAGTGCCTTGAAGGGACAGGTTTGGCATATTAATAAGAAAGGGTGCATTGGACTGAATACTAAGAAATGAATTGTTTTTCTTATCTTCTATAACATGAAAGGTCAATTTGAGATATAGAAACACTGGAACATTTCACAGCATGGCCTGACATTTCACTGCACTTTTATTTTTTTAACCATGTACAAAGTTGATTAAATACACAAAGGTAGGACTGCTATAGGATGAAAGTGGTGGAGTCAGAGGTCACAATCCAAAGCAAGGTGATAGTCTCTTGAGGATGACACCCTGATTGCTGAATTAGGGTGAGAATCAACTTTCAGCTGTTAACAGGGGACAAGGAGAATGAAGTTATCAACAGTTAACATTATTGGATTAATTGAAATGAATGTTGGCAGAGATTTTGCTGGCTTTACATCAAATTGAGTATAGTACTTCAAACTGAGTATTTGATGAGGGTAAACACTTAATCAAGTTTTCCACATGTAAAATTGAGAATTAATTAAAAGATTATACAACCCACACGTTATGGGTATCTCATATAAATTTATATACACATGTGCAAACTTGCAGTGTGCATATATTTGTCTATATCTAAATATATCCAAATCCATTGATGAACAGTTAGAAATTTAGAAATTATTCTCCCATTTTATCATTCCCTTTCCTAGAATTTTGTCACAAATATAATTTTTCCATCTGTTTGAAGCCTACTCTCTGGAGGCATGTAATGTATGGACACAGTAAAGCCCTGAGGTATCACAGGGTTTTTATCAGAGAAAATAATAACACTGGTGTTATAAAAGATCCATTGTGAGGAGAAAGATATATTTCACATGATTACAAATACAGAAGTATTATTTCATCAAAAGCTGGTATCAGTGAATACAATTTGTTTTTAATGTTTTATTTAAAATATTTAATCTCAAAAGAATTTGTTGAGTAGAATAATGATATTGGTAAGAAATAATGATTCAGAATTTCCTTTAATTTGTTGACTTTTAAAATTAAGTGAAATACTAAAAAGTACTATTTAATGTAGTTTCATGAAGCATTCTCTATGGTTTTATAAAATTAATAGTCTCAATGGAATTTTTTGACACAGAAATGTCCTTATATAATTTTATGATTTATTATTGTACTTTCACTTTATTACTTGCTTGCATGTCACAACTGATAGAAATAAAAATATTTTCATTTACACATATACAAAACATGGATGTTTGTTTATGTTTTCTAGTGAAAGAAAGTCACCAATAATTGTATCTATGTAGGAAAATTTTGACAAGCCCAAAGTTCTTAACTTTCTTTTCTTTTGAAGTTTCATATTTCAGTCTAGGTATGAGATCAAATTGACTATGATTATTTTTTGATTTTACTATGACTACTGAGTTTCTGATATAGTGTTTTATATATGTGTGTGTACATATATATATATATATTCATATAGCGATATATATAGTGACACTCCCCTTAACCCAGGTGGACTCCTCATCCTCACTACATGGTATGGCCCGAAGTGTTACTCCTGGGGCCCCAGCCACTGTTTCAAGGTCCAGAGACTGACCAGCAGACCCCTGAGTCCTTGTCCTCCTGTCCAAGTAATAGCCATAGAAATAGTAAAAGAGTGGCATATTAGACTTCATAATATTTTTAAGGCTGATCTCTTTATAAGCATTTCATGCAGATATTTATGACATTATCTCATTTGTTTTATAGATTTGTAGCTCTAATTTCAAAATCAATTTTTGCTTGAGAGTTATTTCAACATATAACCAAATGTTTGGAGCTATTACATAAAGGTTTCAAGGTTAAAAGTCTGTATCAGCTATTACGTTGGGTAAAACCCATCCAGCACTTAAAAAAATAAGTAATTATTAGGCATGGCCACAGTAGTGGTCTAAAATACACTTTGAAATTCTTCACAAACCAATTTGAAATTATTCCTGATGTAACTGAACACAGTACTTGCTTCTAATTAATAGAAAACAGTGAAAGCATTTTCTGGATACTGGGCCACCTCTGGCCTAGGTTAGACAAGGTGATACAGCTCTGCCTAAGTCTCCTGCTCTCATGGGGACAAACCCCTTGGAAGCCATGGACCAGGACATTATGAAGTCTAACACCCTGATAACACTATGCAGTAGGGACATCCCATGGAGAGATGCATAGAAATAGAAGGAGATGCCCAAGAATCTCAGCAGTCCAGCCCCACAATTTGAGTTATGCTAGCTATGGCACCAGGGAGATGAGAAGACACCTGACAATGTCCCCATCCTGAGCCGTCACTAGATTGTAAACTCCTGAGTGCCCCTGAACCACATTCATTTGGCTGAGAGACTGAGGGCGATTGCAGAGACTGACAGTTAGTAAATTATAATTATGGTTTTAAGCCACTAAGTTTTAGATAATTCTGAAAAGCACTTTAGACTCCTAGAAAAACTGTGTTGTCTACTGACTTCATTGCAGAGAGCTGTAAAGGCCAACATCATGAATGCTAATACCCTGGAAAAGTCAAATCATCGAGACTCTTCTAAGCACAACAGATCTTTAATGTCCCTTCGCTATGGCTGGAGAATAATCTAACATGTATCTGATAGAGTTGTTGGAAAGCCTCTGTTCACATCTCTCAGCCTGGTATGGGTCAACTCTGGTCTGCTTTAATTCTAGGCAACTGCAGCAGCTCACCTTTCATTTAGGTCGTGGCCTACACTGATTTTTTTTGATCACTGACTGTGTCTTTGTCTGTGTGTGTATGTTTTGTGTGTTACCATATTTTATCTGAGGAGGCTAAATAGTAGTACTATAATTGTTTTGTAAACATAAAACATTCCAGGAAGTCAATATTGCTTATCAATCGAGCTTTAAAACAGATACGAAATTAGACATGACAAGATGCCACGTCTAGTATCATACCAAAGCTAGCCAAGCTTGGTGGCCCGTGGATGTTATCCCAGCTACTTGGAAGGCTGATGCAGGAGAATCCATTGAACCCTGGTGATGGAGTTTGCAGTAAAGTGAGATCACACCACTGTGCTCCAGCCTGGGCACCAGAGCGAGACGCTGTCTCAGAAATAAAAAGAGAATAAAATAATAAAATAGGAGAGATCACGGGAGAGAGAAATGCATACCACTGGGTGGGCACTGTGGCTCATGCCTGGATCCCAGCATTTTGAGAGGCTGATGTGGGTGGATCACTAAAGGAAAGGAATTCAAGACCAGCCTGAGCAAATATTGTGAAACCTGGTCTCTACTGAAAATACAAAATATTTGCCAGGATTGGTGTCACATGATTGCAGTCGCAGCTGCTTAGGAGGGTGTGACTGGACAATTGCTTGAACCCGTGATAAGGAGGGAGCAGTGAGCTGAGATCACGCCACTGCACTCCAGCCTAGGTGACAGGGCAGGATTCTTTCTTAAAAAAAAAAAAAATCAGTGAGAGAAAAAGATACAGAGACAAAAAGAAAGAAAGACAGGAAGGAAGAAAGGAAGGGAGGGAAGGAGGAAGGGAATGAAAATTTGTACCTAACAGTTGTAGATACTTTTGGCATACATGTGATATTTTGATACAAGTAATGTGAACTGGTAAGCGAGGGATCAAAGAGGGGATGGGGGTGGGTTAAATTATACTTGCTTAGAAGGAATAATATCTAGTGTTCAGTGGCACAGGATGACTACACTTAATAATGATTTATTGTACATCTCAAAATAATTAATAGAGCGAAGGTGGAATGTCGCTGATACCAAGAAAAGATACGCCAGACTCAGTGAGGTGGAATGTCGCTCATAATGAGAAAAGATATGCCAGACTCAGTGGCTCACGGCTATAATCACAACACTTTGGGAAGCCAGGGAAGGAGGATTATTTCGGTCTGGGAGTTTGAGACCAGCCTGAACAATATATCCAAAGCATTGTCCCTACCACACACACACAAACACAAAAGCTGGGCACGGTGGTTGGTGTGTGTCTGTAATTCCAGCTACTTGGGAGGCTGAAATGGAAGGCTTGCACATTTCAAGCCCGTGTTCAAAGCTGCAGTGAGCTATGATGGTGCCACTGCAGTCTAGGCTGGACAACAGTGTGAGACCTTGTCTCTAAAAAAGAAAAAAGAATCGGTAAGTGCTTGAACTGAAGGATACCCTATTTATTATGTATATATTTGTTCATTGATATAATTATTTTTGTGTTGGAGTCGCACTCTGTCACCCAGGCTAGAGTGCATGGTGCAATATCGGCTCACCGCAGCATCAGGCTCCCAGGTTCAAACCACTGTCCTGCCTGAGCCTCCCAATTAACTGCAACGTACTACAGGCAGGCACCACCATGCCCGGCTAATTTTTGTATTTTTGGTAGAGATGGGGTTTCATGGTGTTGGCCAGCCTGGTCTTCAACTCCTGTCCTAAAGTGCTCTGCAAGCCTCGGCCTCCCCAAGTGTTAGAATTAGAGACCTGAGCCGTCACACATGGACAGTAAGATACACAAGACTCGGGAGATTTATCTTTTCACTTCATCCTCACAATGCTACAGGTGAATGAAAACACTCCATAACATGAATAACTCACTTGAAAATCAAAGTTGGTAACTTCTCCCTTTAAAATTATTTGTACCCTTACCCTGTAAAAATTGATGATTGTGTCAAAATTTTTCAAGAAAATACTTCCTCCTTGCAGATTAGTCTGTCAATTGTAAGAATTATGGACTGCAAAACTTCTGGAACTTGATGTATTTCATTTCTTTAGTTTGTATAATCAGGAAAATTAATTCATTTAGTTATTTCGGTCTAAATATTTGTATCATTCAGTGATGTCTTAAAACTTTAAGCAATCCCGTCGGAAACTTTATGCTGTTGTTTATGTTTTATACACTTCACTTTCCCCTAAGTATGAGGTTTAAAGCGTTTCCATTCATATTATCAATTAAATACGATAGGCTGACAGTGGTGGCACATGCCTATAATCTTAGCACTTCGGGAGTCTGAGGAGGGTGGATCAGGATTTTAAGAACAGCCTGGCAAACAAGGTGAAACGCTGTCTGCACTAAAAATACAAAAATTGGCCCCGCTGTGCGGCACACATATCTAATACCAGTTACTCAGGATGCTGAGGCAGGAGAATAGCTTGGATCCAGAAGGCAGCGGTTGCCATAAGCCAAGACAGAGCCACTGCACCCCAGCCTCGGCGACAAAGCTGTACACTTCATCTCAAAAAAAACTGATACTATCCCAACCACTCTAGATTATTCCTATCTGTAAGAACATATTACTAAACCATTACTTACAACATCCACTGTCAAAATATTCAAGAAAAAATTAACGTGGGAACCTCACAAGACAAAACACTTACTTTCCACTATTTAAACTACGAACATTTAAATTCATTATGCTACGCGCCTGAGAAACTTAGCTGGTTCACTTCTGATTTAGGTGAAAAAAAAAAGTTTTCATTACCGTTATCCTCTTCAGTCACAGAATGCTTCACATAGAATGTTCCGGATGTCTTAAACTTTAGTATCAATACATCTAATGATTTCCTTTGACCTGTACTATTCCTCTAAAAAATAAACGTTTTATGGTGAGGCAGACGGTTTTGTAGTCTTTCTGAAGACTTCTCCAACATTTTAACCTTGTTAGTTTTTAAAGAGAAACAGCCTAATTAGAAAACTTGAGCAGCTTGCAAGGGCGACATAACACATCCCTAATTTTGTACCTATGTTCAAACAAACAAAGGAAAATGTACAACAGACTACACAATTTACTCTCCTATTGAATTTGCTTTAAGCATGCGCGGCTAACAATAACACCAGGCATCTTGCAGTACATGTAAAATTTTATTGTGAAAATTTTAAGGTAGATATTACATCTAAACACTTTTCAAATAGCATCAACAAGTATGAAATTACTTTGAAAACAATTCCTTTTCCTTTGAATACCTCAAAAAATTCATGGAGGAAGTTAGTATCTACCTCTCTCCACAAAACCAACATGTTTCTTTCAGTAATATGCAGGTAACAATGCAGAAATAACATTTCAATTTTTGATTTGCAAACAAGGATTGGTATGCAATAACTATTATTTTCAATGCTTGCTTTAATATCTGCTCGAGTCTCCTTTTTCAGATCGACTCTCCCCACCATCTACTATAGATGCCACATAACTTGAGCTACCATATGCTTCACGAGGATCAGGGAGCACCCTACCCAGAGAAGGCGGATTCCTTTGGTCTTTTCTGCAAACATGCTCACGATCACAATAATGAAAATCACCACAGCTCGAGTAACTCTCCCAACTTCTGCCATATCTATCTCGTGTATTACTATATGCGTGGCAGGTGCTTCCACCATAAGACATCCGAGGCCCTCTTGCAGGTGGTGCACCATGAGAGGTCCCTGCAGGGTTGGTAAAATAATATGTGGGACTACATTTAAACATTTTTACTGCTATCATTAAAGCATGAATTAGTTAAAGTACTATTTGGAAATATCTGCTTTCCTCCGCCTTTGTTGACAGGATATTAATCAAGTCTTTAATAGTCAGAAGGTTTTATTTAAGAGAAGTGTAAGAGTAGTATTTTGCAGCTTAACAAACTTAATTCTAAAGTAAATGCTCAGTCACATTTTCTTAACGTTAACTGAAGTTCTCACCTTCATATCATTCCCTAGGCTTTATACTGTTAAGAATACTCAATATTTAAACATGTTGCATATGCCCTTTACAATTTTCCTTAGAATTTCATTAAAATAACAATCTGGTCTATTAAATAAAATTCTGTAATTTACAAATCCATCCTGGACCCTTACCGTACCTCTGAAGTGCATCTCTATAAGAACTTCCACTTAGATGTTCAGAATGATCTCTACCAAGGGCCTCACCGTAGCCATCATGATAACTAAATTGAAAAAAAAAAAGTCTTTTCAATTTCAGAATGAACAATTTAAGAAATCCATTTGATAAATCCAGATAACATGTTAGTACCTATATCCTCTAGAGGAATGTTCATCCCAACTAGAATGACCATAATCACGGTATGCATAGTCTCTATGTGGTGGAGCATAATCCCTGGTTTCTCGGGAACTTGGATGATTTCTGCGTGCACGAGTTGAAGCAAGGAATTTTAAATTGTCACCTTCTAGTATCCAAAACATAACTACATTACAACTTAAACACAATTAAATTGCCAAACATCTAAATAAAATGCCCACAGAGCCCAAATGCCCAAAATGCCCAAATGCCCAAAAAGCACATGAAACAGATACTCATAATCAGTGATTCAGGAAATGCATTTCAAATAAAAAAGGAGCTTCCACACTTCACACACACACACACTGGAAGGGCAAAAAACTTACAAAAGCAGGAAATAACAAGTGTTTGAGAGGATGTAGATAAATTGCAGCCCTGATACAATGTTAGTTGGAATGAACAATTTAAGAAATCTATTTGATAAATCCAGAAAAAGTTACAGTATCTATATCCTCTAGAGGAATGTTCATCCTGCCTAGAATGACCATAGTCTCAGTATGCCTAGCCTCTAGATGGTGGAGCATAATCCCTAGTTTCTCGGGAACTTGGATGATTTGTGTGTGCATAAGTTTAAGCAACAAATTTTAAATTTTCATCTTCTAGTATCGAATACATGACTAACTTACAACTTTAAATTAAAAGGCCAAACATCTAAATAGGTATTTCTCCAAATAAAATAGGCAAATGCCCAAAAAGGACAAGTGACAGATACTCATATTCAGTGATTCAGAAAATGCATTTCTTTTTGTTTTATTATACTTTAAGTTCTAGCATACATGTGCATGATGAGTTAATGGGTGCAGAAAATGCATTTCAAATCCAAAATGAGATATCATATTTCACACACACAGATGAATGGCAATAGATTTTCAAAAGCAGGAAATAACAAGTGTTTGAGAGGATGTAGATAAATTGGAGCCCTGATACAATGTTAGTTGGAATGAACAATTTAAGAAATCTATTTGACAAATCCAGAAAAATTACAGTACCTATATCCTCTAGAATAACTTTCATGTCGACGAGAATGACCATAATCACGGTATCCATGGCCTCTAGATGGTGGAGCATACTCCCTAGTTTCTCGGGAACTTCGATGATTTCTGTATGCATAAGTTTAAGCAACAAATTTTAAATTTTCAACTTGTAGTATCCGATATATGACTAACTTACAACTTAAACAAAATTAAAAGGCCAAACATCTAAATAGATATTTCTCCAAATAAAATGGGCAAACGCCCAAAAAGCACATGGGACAGATACTCATATTCAGTGATTCAGAAAATGCATTTCTTTTTTTTATTATACTTTAAGTTCTAGGGTCCATGTGCATGATGAGTTAATGGGTGCAGAAAATGCATTTCAAATCCAAAATGGGATATCATATTTCACACACAGATGAATGGCAATAAATTTTCAAAAGCAGGAAATAACAAGTGTTGGAGAGGATGTAGATAAATTGGAGCCCTGATACAATGTTAGTTGGAATGAACAATTTAAGAAATCTATTTGACAAATCCACAAAAAGTTACAGTACCTGTATCCTCTAGAATAACTTTCATCCCGACGAGAATGACCATAATCACGGTATGCATGGCCTCTAGATGGTGGAGCATAATCCCTAGTTTCTCGGGAACTTCGATGATTTCTGTATGCATAAGTTTAAGCAACAAATTTTAAATTTTCAACTTCTAGTATCCGATATATGACTAACTTACAACTTAAACAAAATTAAAAGGCCAAACATCTCAATGGATATTTCTCCAAATAAAATGGGCAAATGCCCAAGATGCACATGGGACAGATACTCATATTCAGTGATTCAGAAGACGCATTTCTTTTTTTTTTATTATACTTTAAGTTCTAGGGTCCATGTGCATGATGAGTTAATGGGTGCAGAAAATGCATTTCAAATCCAAAATGAGATATCATATTTCATACGCACACACTGGAAGGGCAATAAATTTTCAAAAGCAGGAAATAACAAGTGTTTGAGAGGATGTAGATAAATTGGAGCCCTGACAGAACGTTAGTTGGAATGAGCAATTTAAGAAATCTATTTCACAAATCCAGAAAAAGTTACAGTACCTATATCCTCTAGAGGAATGTTCATCCCGATTAGAATGACCATTATCACGGTATGCATAGCCTCTAGATGGTGGAGCATAATCCCTCGTTTCTTGGCAACTTGGATGATTTCTGTGTGCATAAGTTTAAGCAACAAATTTTAAATTTTCAACTTCTAGTATCCAATACATGACTAACTTACAACTTAAACAAAATTAAAAGGCCAAACATCTAAACAGATATTTCTCCAAATAAAATCGGCAAATGCCCAAAAAGCACACGGGACTGATACTCATATTCAGCGATTCAGAAAATGCATTTCTTTTTGTTTCATTATACTTTAAGTTCTAGGATACATGTGCATGATGAGTTAATGGGTGCAGAAAATGCATTTCAAGTCCAAAATGGGATATCATATTTCAAACACACATTTGAATGGCAATAAATTTCAAACAGCAGGAAATAACAAGTGTTTGAGAGGATGTAGATAAATTGGAATGCTGATACAATGCTAGGTTGGAACGGGAAATGATGCAGCTACTATGGAGAAATGTGGTGGTTCCTCAAGAAAACAAACATCATTATCATAGGACCATGCAATTCCACTCATATACACCCAGAACCGAATAAGCATACTCAAACGAATATTGGTGCGTAGAAATACTCGGGTGGAAACAATGCAGATAAAATAATGGGTTAATAGCTTGTGGAAGGAGTGAAGTGCTATGATGTAAATGAACCTTCAGGACATCATGCAAAAGGAGAGGAGACAAATACAAAAAGTCATGTAGTGTTTGAGCACATTAACGTTAAATACCCACAACAGGTAAGTTCAGAGGCAGAACACTGACTGGTGTTATCTAGCAGCTGAGGAAAAGGAGAAAACGGGAGGGACTGCTTAACTGGTAGTAGGAGTTTTAATTTGGAGTGATGAAAATGTTCTGGAACTCGATGGAGGTAGTTGTTGCATGGCACAGAATGTATCAAACACCACTTAACTGTTCACCTTATAATATTTAATTTTGTTATGTGAATTTCATCACCACAGGAAAAAAAAATCAACTGTGCTTTTTAATTTTTCCTTTACCCATCGTTAGTTGCATAACCATCATGTCTTGTTGACATGCGATCATTTCTCCAGGAAGATATTGTCGCTCTGCGTGGAGGAACTCCATAATTCTCTCTTCTTTGTGACATGGGACCTTTAACATTCAAATGATGGAACATTATGTAAAGAACACCAAATCTGAAACGCTATTTTCTCTTCTCTCAAACAACTTTTTAAAATTATTTCTTCTATGACTCCATTCTTTGTTTCCTAAATTACTAGACAGACATGACACTGTGAATATTTCTCATGGCTTTGGATAATCCCATGGCTCCCACAAGGCCAGTTCTTCTAATGAAGCTGAAGGCAAACATTAATGCTTAGGTAAAAGTTCATTTGTAATGGTTAATAACTACTTAGTTATTATTTTCCTTTCCATATAAATTACTGATGACTGTGAGTGACACAGGGAAAACACGTAAAACCATCAAACTCTTCACTGATTTTAAAGTTTACATACATTGTCCTTTCTCAGCCAAAGAAGGTAGATTTTCCAATATCATTCAGTCCATCTCACACACACATAAATACAGCTACCTTTAAATGACTATATGCTAAATGTTTACATAAAAGTTCTTTAGCTGGTTGGCTCTATCTTAAATGTTGACAAATTAAAATGTATTAGTGAAGATTTTCTAATGATGGTCAAGATTTGCTTTTACTGCAAAGAAAGCAATGCTATGCAAGGGGTCATTACAACATTGTTGCTGTTTCAAAATAGAAAGTTTCTCCTCTAATATATTCTTCACTTGCTATTCCTTAGAGGTCAGTGTTTCACATATGATACCTTCACTGGCTAATTTTCCAATGGAAATGTGTTGGCTTGGGTATCCTGAAGCCAATAAATACCTCCCTTCACCGATACTCTACGTATGAAATGTAAAATTGAAAATGGCAGTTTTTAACTTCCTCCATATGCGGATGGAGGACTAAGAAAGAATTTTAATTTGCTCTGCTTAAACTTCCTTGCTAAGAACTTTTATTTATTGTCTTATTTTCTTCTGTTCAGTCTGCAGTCTTACAATTCTTCTCAAAAGTATTACTTGCATTCAACCCTACCGCTCACCTCATGTTGCTTAGTTCTAAATTCTCTCCTCAAATAATTTCAAATCTTACACTAAGGATCTTGTGTTAATGTTTAAACATCCCGGTACAATCTCAATTACTGATTTACATACACCTATATTTCACAACTCTGCATTTCTGTGATATCCACTTAATTTAAGAATTTTGGACTCCTACGTGTCTACCTCTCGAGCCTTAAATTTATTTTTAAATCATATTTAAGCCCAATGACTCCTTGTCTGCTAAATGCTCTTGTAGTTCTTTTGAATCTTCATGCACGCAGTGAGTATGCCTTGCACATACGCATTACTGAGGTCTCAGAAGCTGGATGGCCAGGCTTAGCGGCTCACACTGTGAGTGAGTGTGGAAGGCTGAGGCAGCTGGACCGCTTGAGCCCCGGGCTTTAACATCAGTTTTGACAATGTAGTCAGATCCTCTCTCTACAAAAACATAGGGAAAAAAATGTAGCTAGGTGTGCTGCTGCATGCCTGTAGTTGCACAAACTCGGGAGGCTGAAACAGCAGAATTGCTTGAGCCCAGGAATTTGAGGCTATAGTAAGCCGTCATCTCACAAATTTGAGGCTACAGTAAGCCGTCATCTCACATAGTGCACTCTCACCTAGTAAGAGCAAGACTCCAACCCAGCAAAGTCACCGAACAAGCAATTTTTAGAATGGGACACCAGGGGACTTAGGAAATGGAAGAATTAATTAGATCAAGAAGCCTACCATCAAAGAATACTGCTAGGAACTTTTAGAAAAATTAAGGGGAATTTTCTAGCCAACACAGGATTAAAAGGAACGTTGGCCTCACTCTAATCACTTCTTTGATCTGCAATGAGAAGCTCAAGTATTTCTTCAACATAAATCTGAAATGTACCTAGTGAGATAGAAACTATAATAAAAGCTATCAATCAGTAATTATGCTCACGTATGTGTCACTTCTCTTTTGTTCAATGAACTTAAAGCTAAGCATTCAGGTAAAACGGCTCATTTTTAGTCATACAAAAACTACGGTCTTTCTGTCAGGCAGCATTTACCTTGGCTTCCCATCCAACTATTGCTTCTTGCCACAGCAGAAGGAGCAGATTTTTTCGGAGGAGGACCTCCACTTCTTGAAGATGGACCTCTTTTAACTGGAATGAGTCCCCTAGAATAACTCATCTTGAG
Source organism: Homo sapiens (assembly GCF_000001405.40). Taxonomy (NCBI): domain Eukaryota; kingdom Metazoa; phylum Chordata; class Mammalia; order Primates; family Hominidae; genus Homo; species Homo sapiens. The sequence continues at coordinate 22,175,156 of NC_000024.10, forward strand.
ATCAGGAGTGTATCCACCATCATCTGTATTTCAAACAAAATCTTTTTAGTTAACTGACGTCACTGTTTCTTAAATGGCTAAGTTTTAGTTGTTTACAAATATTTTCTACATTTTATAACAAATTCACATTTTGTCTAAACTAATAAAATTAGCATTCCTACAAGGTATTAGTACACTTCAAGCATTAAAAGTTCATTTAGAAAATCTAGAAAGAAACTCAAGTATCATAATATATCGGTATGAAGGAGAGATGTGGGAAAATGGGGAGTGAACGGGGGCAGAAATCTATCACTAAAATATCCAAATATAATATACATAAAAATATTAAAAGAAAAATGATAAATGACTGTTTATATCATTCTGTAATGAGGAAAAATTTTCAAAGCACATCATAAAGATAAACTAATTTCCATTCAAAGAAACTCAAATATTTCCAATACCAAGAAATCACATATCAGGAAAATACATTGTCTCTAAAATTTGTTAACACAATATAGAATTCTTAAAATTCCCTTATGAGACACTAATTTTCAGATGAGACTATGCTGAATTTTAACAGTCTTTAAGAATTGCATATTCGGTAATATAAACATATTTTTATACATCTACAAAAACGTAGATATATGCCAATTGCCAGGTGGTGTTACAGGTTAGAATTTATGTATACATTCTCGTCCGTGGCAGAGTATAATTGAAGCTCACCCTCAAGATCAGTGGAGGCAAAACAGCCGTGAAGCTACGCATCTTAAAATGGAGCAAACACTGCAATTTCAACTTGAAAACAATCTCCAATTAATTACATGTCTGGTTATTAAAACTCCAAGCTAATTGTTAGAGTTTTGAAGGTTGGTTAATAGATAATACAAGTTAACCAACAGGTTTATTTATTTATTTATTCAGATGCACTCTTGCCCTATCACGCAGGCTGGAGTGCCATGGCATAACCTTGGCTCACTGCAGCTTTTGCCTCCCAGGTTCCTGTGATTCTCCTGCCTCAGCCTCCTGAGTAGCTGGGATTACAGGTGCACGCCACCAGGCCCAGGCAAATTTTTTTGTATCTTTAGGAGAGACAGGGTTTCACCATGTTGGCCAGGCTGGTCTGGAACTCCTGACCTCGTGGTCCACCTCCCCTGTACTCCCCAGGTGCTGAGGTGACAGGCGTGAGCCACCTCGCACAGCCCATCCAATAGTTTTTTCTTTTTCCTTTTTTTTAAATATATGGTTTGTTTTTCTTTTATATGTAAAGATGGACCCCTCATTTCTATTAAGTAAATCACTCATAAATATCATTTTCAGTGACTCAGCCTCCAGCAAAGAAAGATTCATACATATCTGTGAAGCAGTGGTTTTTAGATCTTTCCAGAGTCACAGACTCTTTTCAGAAATTAAAGTTCTACATTTCTTAAATTGAAAATGCTTTACGGCAGGCCAATGTACAAACTCTCTGTATCAAAATTACAAAGCAATACATTTGCATAGATGTTTCCACATGTAGACACAAGAAAACAAATACTGCAAAATCAATCTTCAGTATTCAGTTACTTCTTCCTGTTGGAAAATTTTAAATATTACATCGTACTTTGATAATACAACTGACACGAAGTTCTGGGCCCTAAAGTAGAAAACTCTAAAGTATAATGAATATAAATGAGTTCTGCAGAAAACCGGTTGAGTACAGGCAATCAGCATTCACAAACACAACTCAGTTTCAAATGTGTGTTACTTCAGTGCAAACTTATTATAATTGTTAAACAAATTTTAGATATTAGTTCAATCATTCTTATAATACACCTTTATAGTACTTAGAAATAAGTTTGCTTATTATCAATAAGCTAATTTTCTCTTCATACAGGAAAGAAAAAAATTAAGAAATTTCAATATCGTCAAACTTATTTTCTTTCAGTCCTATGGTTCCATCTTTATATTTTAAAACATTACCCAGGTGCCCTTCATGTGAGGGAAGCCACCCTCTTGTTCCTCCACTGCTTCCTCTTGCAGATCTCAGACTTCCTGAAGGGCTTCTGTTTCTCGAAGAAGCTGGTGGTCTCCGCCTACCACCACTTTGAAAAGATGGTTTCTTGGCTTGTTCTACTTTTATTGCTTTTCCATGCAAAGACTAGAAGTATTAAGGGTACTATCAATAACACTGGCACATTTAACGTAAGCACATTTTACAAACATTTTTACATCAACTGTAGTTCAATTTGAGGTATTTTCTCCCAAAAGGAAACTTTTTTTTTCTTCTAAAATGAACACATCTTTCGCAATGCCAAATTTGAGATAGTTACTGAGCACATGCCTTCCATTAAGGGATCAAACACAAATTCTATTATTCAAATTCCTTGAAAACTTCTCCATCATTAAAAAAAAAAAAAACTCAAACATAAAAAAAAAGTTTGACCCATCACACATTCTGTGGAAGAATGTGGCACATCTGTTTTTTACAATATATAATCCACTTCATCTTTGTAGTCACATCACTGATTTGAAAGTTGCAGTGTCCCAATGAAACTCGTGTCATTTAAAAAAAAAATGAGCTTACTTTTTCAGAGTGATTAGGCACATTACTCATTATGAGTTGTTTCTTGTTGGATTTGCTAACACTTCCATAAAATGTCCCCATATGATTTACAATTCTATATTGACTCTAAAAATGTTTCTGTAAATGTGATCCTTGTTTGATCTCATTAAGTTTTCTTGCCTTACTCATTTCTTACATTGCCTTAGACGTGCCCCTAAAAAACGAATCTTAATATAGTACTTCAGGTAATTTCTCAGAAATGCTTAACTATCCTAATTAATTTCATAATAACATTTTTCACTGTAATCTTTTCTACAGGCCACAGCAATTTTTGAAAACAGTTCAGCTAATAACGCGATTTAAAAATTACATGGCTTTTGTTATTTGGAGGAAGGACTTAAATCCCTGAACAAGACCGCTTGCAGCCACATCGCCCGTTGTTCCTACCTTGAAACTTCTTTTGTTATTTCTGGGCTCAAAATATTTTCCCCAGATTTGCCCACGGCTGCTTCCTTCCCAGTGTTCTGAAGTCAGCCAAAATTCCTTAACTGTTAATTCCCCCTGAAAACTCAAAGAACCTCCTTTATTGGCCATCTTAACATTAATGTGCATACAACATTCATAGTTATTTTAACACAATAAAATACGTGAGATGAAGTAATTTAGAAATAACGTTGGCTGGGCGCGGTGGCTCACACCGGTAATCCCAATACTTTGGGAGGCCAAGGCGGGTGGATCATGAGGTGAAGAGATAGAGCTCACCCTGGCTAACAGGGTGAAACCCCATCCCTACTCAAAGTACAAAATTAGCTGGGCGTGGTGGCGCGCCTCTGTAGCCCCTGGTACTGGGAGGCTGAGGCAGGAGAATCGCTTGAACCCGGGAGGCGGAGGTTGCAGTAAGCCAAGATGGCCCCACTGCAATCCAGCCTAGGGCACACAGCGAGTCTCCATCTTAAAAAACAAACAAACGAACAAAAACTTTACACAAATTATCTGCCCTTTTGCTTGAAAACTAGAGGGAAAAAAGAAATTATCATAGATTCCTATACAGAAGTCAAAATTATCTCCATACCTACCACAAAGCCATGAACCAAAAGCAACTCTCGGTTTCTACCACAGCTTGAAATACTAATTTATAAGGGTGAATAAAAATGTACTTTCTGCTATGTGACAGGAAGTGTGCTAGATGTAACAGAAAGAAAAGCAACTAGCAAGACTTAAATATGCACTATATACAATTTCACGATCAATAGATTAATACATAGTACAGCGAGTAGAAAATACCTACAATACGCAATGAGGAAGAAAATTATGAAATCTAAGTGGTTTTTGAAGCATAAATTTTATTTATGAGCCATACACAGGGAAGGATAATTCTCAAGAAGTCTAAAAAAGCACTTTGGGAATAGCGTGAAGACTAACAGGACCTAAAAACAGATTGGGATAACGTTATTTATTTATTTTATTTATTTTTTGTTTTTTTGAGACGGATTCTTGCTCTGTTGCCAGGCTGGAGTGCATCGGCGTGATCTCGGCTCACTGCAACCTCTGCCTCCTTGGGTTTAACCGATTCCCCTGCCTCAGCCTACTGACTAGCTGGAACTACAGGCACACACAACCAGATGCAGCTAATTTTTTTTTTTGTATTTTAGTAGCGACAGGGTTTCACCATGTTGGCCATTATGGTTTCTTTCTCCTGACCTTGTGATCTGCCCGCCTTGGCCACCCAAAGCGCTGGGATTACACGCATGAGCCACCATGCCCGGCATGATTGGGATAATGTTATAAAGCAAAAAACACTAAAGAGCACAGAATGGAATGCTCTTGACTACAATGTAAAGGAATTCAATAATTAATATCATTACACAGAAGTTTAAAGCTTAAGTAAACACACAATCTCTAGATTTAAGACTCAACAGGACAAGAGACCATTGGTTCAATCAAAACAAGTCCTCAAACACACTGGGGAAATGAGTAATTAGCTATTCATGTTACATAAATCACTCTGGTGACAGGAAAGAAATGTCCTTAGGAGAAAAAGCAAGCATGGAGCCAAGAATGCCAGTTACTTCTTCTGTTATCTGACTTCAATGTTCTCATATTATTTTCTATTTTCAACTACTTAACCTTTCCGTAAATGTAAAGGTCTTATTTAAATACACTTTCGCAAGAATATATTTTCATAAAATATATTCTTCAAGAAGGAAAGAGTCTTTCCTTCTTGTGCATCTGTCTAGATGTCTATCCAGTTTGTCTACGCTCTAAAAGTATTTCCATGAATTGGATGTACTTCAATTAATAGCATTTAATAAATATTGACTTATTACTTTCATTTACATGAGGGTTCCTTATAAGTTTTAAAGCTCTTCAAAACCTTTTAAAATCTATGTGCACTCATATCGAAATACAAACATAGAAAAAGGTTACCAAATATTAATTTATATAATGTTAATTCCAATACCCTTCCAACTACACTTGCACGTATATGGCACAAAAAAGAGGATGGCTTCATATGTCATTCTACTATCTTCAAAAGTTTAGCAATATTAAAAAGACCTAGAAATATTGTTAATTGAAGAACAGAGTTAGAATATTAGTAATAAGGGACTCTTACCGTTCCATTCATATCTTTCGCAGCATTCTTAGCATCTGCAGGGTTCTCAAAAGTAATAAATGCAAAGCCTCTGGATTTGCTGGTTCGATCCTTTATCAAAAGAACTAAAATATATGAAAACATTTTACATTCATATAATGGACTCATCAAGGTACTCACCATCTAAAGGTTACATCAAGCTAAAAAATAATTGCATTTCACATCACTATTATGGTTCTCGATACTCAATCACCCCTACAGTCAGTCTAGTTTATTCCAGTTTGTTTCGGAACTCCACAGCACATTTACTTTCCCTCATTTTCCTTTCTAAGTAGTAGGTTATCCTTTCCATAGAACCTTAACCTACTACTATGAGAATTTTCCAAATATCAAACAGATACTACAAAATAAGAGTTTAAAATGCATAAGGCATTTTAATGTAGGTATACAATGAACTTTGAAAAAATATATTTTTTCAAAACATATATATATAACATACATATTTTAAACATACCTATTGAAATATACATGTGAAAATACACACACACACACACACACACACACACACACACACACGGTTTTAAGAGTTACCTTCTGATATGGGACCATGTTTCCCAAATACTGCTTTAAGCATCTTCTCATTGGTTTCTCTATTGAGGCCACCAATGAAAAGCTTGCCAGGATGATCTGCTTCTACCATTGTGCTGTAAATGGTAAAAAATTATCTATATTTAGATATAAATAAGCTAAAAAGATAAAATTTTATTACATACTGTGCTGAAAACCCAAGTAAAATTCCCTTCCTGAGGCTGACATCTTTTTAGTATTTCTTACTTTATATATGTAAAATTTGTAACACTCAGAGCAAAGGGGCACTAACTTCATGGACAAATGCTGCATTTTAGTATGTACCTGACAAAAATCTCATTTCTAAAAATTAGATAAGAAAAGCTATTGTAATTTTCCTCAGTTGCAATATGAAGAATGTCCCCATTTAAATAATTTTATTTGAAAAGAATCTATTTATGAGGTACGGTGTGATGTTTTGCATATTTTCTTTCTTGAGATGTCTGTCTCCTGTCGCCAAAGTGAACTGCTCACTGCAGGCTCTTCCACCCAGCCTCAACTGATCTTCCTACATCTCAGCTTCCCAAGTAGCTAGTACTACAGGCGCTTTCTACCACAGCTGGGCAATTTTTTGTATTTTTAAAAATAGACAAGGGTTTCCCCATAGTGCCCAAGCTAGTCTCCAAATCTTCGGCTCAAGTGTTCTGCCGGCTTGGGACTACCAAAGTGATGGGATTTCAAGGGTGACTCACCACACTCAGCATGATATTTGGATAAGAGATTAAATCAAGCTACTTAAAATGTTCTAGGAGGAGAATATTTTAAATATTTTACCATCTTTTAGTGATTTGAAATATACAATAGGTCAAAGATCCCCAAACCCTAGCCTTCAACCCGTACCTATCTGTGGCCTGAATGTGATGCCGGAGGATGACCTGCAATACCTGTCTGTGGAGAATGTAACGCCTGAGGATGACCTGAGGTGGTACAGTTTTATCCGGAAACCATCCTCCCTACTCCCTCGCTGGCCCTCCCTGTCCCCGTGACAGCCTCACTGCCCCACCTGGCCTCTGTCACATTGCTCCTACCGGAAGACCCGCCCCACCACGTGCCCCTCGGAGGCCTGCCGCCAGCCCCCACTCCCAAACCTGTCCACCTCGCCGCCTTCTTCCCCTGCGCAACCTTTGTCTGAGGAAAAACTGACTTCCACTAAACCAGTCCCTGATGCGAAAATAGCAATGAAAGAGTCCAGTACGTTACCCAGGCTGGTCTCAAACTCCTGACTTCAAGCCATCCTCCGACCTCCACTTCCCAAAATGCTAGGACTACAGGAGTAAGGCAGTGTGCCAGGTTAACAGAATAACTTAAGCGCATCTATTTTGTTCCAGTTTTCGGCTATCTAACTCCATTTGTCTCGATTACACCCACTTATTCGGTTTAAACTATTTACGGTGCCAAAGACACATGAAACGTTTCAAATACTGTCATACAACGAAGGAGACAATCACAGGCTTTACAGAGGCAAACTGAAACTCAGATTATTTGTGGCCCCATATTTCTACATACACTAAAGTAACACAATTTATGTCAAAATTTGATAATTCTTCCAAGCAAATCAGACACGCGACACGTGCTAACTAAAAGTGTGACTTTTTAATCGCAGTGTTTAAGTGTATTGCCTGTATTCTGAATTATCACCACATTCACAGAGAAAACCCGCTTTAATAAAAAGTGCACATGAAAACCAATGGCGGCTTAGCACCATCTCCCACAACTAGTCGGACACATTAGGCAGTTAAAGGTAGAATCCTCAGGAAAAATCAATGAGTTTAACGAAAGTGAGTCTCTTAATAGCACTGAGGAGTTCTTTCCCCACTGACTCCTCCCGTAATTCAACACCCACACATAGAAAACCCATCCCCTTTTATAGACAAAATCCCAAACCTTCGCTTTCTATTCTTGCCGAGAGACCCAGCTGTCCAGAGAAACAGAAAATACCTGCGCTTTTTAGTAGGACAAAGAGCCTGAGGTTCGCCTGGCCCTCAGGCCGTACGTAACCGGCTTCGGAACACCACAGGGCCAACTGCGGGAGGGACAGCTGGAGCTACCCTGAGAGGGAAGGACGCCGGAAGCCGTGCCCGGAAATCCCGCCTACCTCCAGCGGCCAATCATTGCGAAGGCGGTGGGCGTCAGCCAGTTACTGCAAAGGCTGTGGGCGTGTCCTGAGGCCGCTCCGCCCCAGCAGGCCTGCGGCTCCATCATCTCGCGGTAACTCTTCCGAGACCACGCTTGTGCCGCGTGGCGGGCCGCGGTGGATTAAGGCACACGCGAACTGTGAGCCCTTTGCAATTGTGGGCATGGAAGACCTACACCCTAACTGGCATCCTGAGTGTGGCAAGACATTAACTAACCCACAGGGAACACATGAAACATCTCACTTCATTAGGCAGGCTAGGCTGATGGTACCGAATATTGCAGATCCAGAGGGGAGAGAGAGGGACCAGCGCTGCTGCAGGGGCGAGGGCAGCAGCGGTGGCTTGGGGGGATTGGGGCAGGGCGGGTGCGTGGGACTAAAGTCGACTGGTACGTTGCTGAGGTGGAATTCATCTGCACCAGAAGCTGAAACCCTGCAAGGATTCTGTCAGGTCTAGGCAAATACATACTCCGAGTTCCATGGTTCCTCCCTGAGGATGCTGTACTCACAGGGGCATTCCAAAGGACTTCTCATCCTGTGCCCTGGGCACACGGGAGGCCTACCGCCATGGTCGCCAATGCAGTGATCCGTGTGCACTGCTTTGCTGGTGCAGAGGCTCTCACAAGTGCAGTGGTGGCCGTGTGCCTGCTAGCGGGGCTCTGGAAGCCAGGGCCTTGGCATCCGACTCCAGGGCTGCCGTGCGCAGCTAACCCTGCTGGGTAGCTGAGCCCCAGTGTGAGTGTGACAGGCTAAGGGCCCTGTGGGGCCCCCCAGGAACCCTGTTCCACATAGGTGTAGGATGTGGTTCTCAGCAGGGCAAGGCCCGCAGGCCTCTCCTGGAGTTGCCCCCAGAGTTGACGGGTGCCGGGGGGGTGGGGTGGGAGGCACAGGCTTTGCTCTGTTGGAGCCTCAAGGAGGGCACCATGTTAAGGCTGGAGGCTGTGCAGGAGAGGATGGTCTGTGCACAGAGCAGGAAGACAACCCTGCGGGGAGAGGCATGCTAGTGGGGGATGACATCATTGCAGAGATGGAGGTGGTGGCCAAGGAGGAAGGCCAATGTGGAGCCACAGCAGGAGGACCTGCAGGCACAGCCTGGCCCTGGCCCCAGTACGCCCCGGCCAGCAACAGACTCGCTGGACGTCCTTCACTTGGAGCTCGGCTACGTGAATGTCCCAGGCCACAGGGCATCCCCGGCTTCTGGGCCAGAGCCATATCCTTGCAGCTGCCAATTCGGGATGGTTGGCAGCAGGGGATGGGCGCGGAGCTCCCGGGAGCGGAGGTGGGGGGAAACAAGGTGGTAGGCACTGGCGGTCAGCCAGGATTCAGGGCATGGGGGACAACAAGGGGAACTGAGAACAGGCTCATGCAGATAGGAGGGCAGCTTAATTGCATGTGCCCTGAGGGCATGTGGTAGGGACAGGAAGCCAAGCACAGCACTCACCAGGGAGAATAGCAGCGCCAAGGACCCATCATAACAGCAGAAAGTTGAAGGATACGATTCACCGGGAAAGTCCCTGGAGGAAGGGGAGTCTGCATGCCCATGCCAGCCACGGAACTTCCCTGCTCCCCTTGCCTGTGTCCAGCAAGCTTACCCCAGAAACACAAGGTGCTCAAGACTCGGTGTCACTGTGCACGGGGCTGCTGTCCTATGCAAGGCAGGCACTATCTCCCCAGACACAATTTCTTCCCTCTGCCAGCGCTGCACCCAAAGATGTTTAGGCCCTGAGTATATATAAGCTCCCTTGAAACCACTCGAGCTCCACGGGGAGAGCCAGGCACAGCCCCGTAGCTACTTCTACCCACAGCGGTTGCCTGGGGTGGACACGTGCACCCCTCAGGGAGACCAGGAGAAGGAGAGACCGCACACCCAGACAGCAGCAGAGCCTGTCCAGCACCCAGCACAGGAGGGCCTCCTGCAGCTCAGAAACGCCGAGCAAGTAGTCGCCTCACACAACAACACCCCGCCCCCAACCCCCTGCCCACTTCTTCAGTGCCAGTCCCTGGTCAGAGCAGGTTGTCTGGGCCTGCCTCCACCCACCACCAAGACCACCACAGCTCTGATGGTGCCCTCCACGCCAGACAGAGACAGAGGACCTGGAAGGGAAGGTGCCCTGCCCCACACTCTCCGTGCTCTTGCAAAGTTGCAGGGTGTTTCCTTGCACGCCCACCCAATCATCTGGCGGCTCCTTGACCAGAGGCAGATTGTGCGGCACACCGAGATGTTGGCCGGGATCACAAATGATGATGAAGTCCTGCTAAGCTACGTACGTGATGGATTTGCAGGTCAGGCTAAGGAGCCTGAGTCTTCGGGAGGGGTCTGGTGTCTGGGTCAGGTTGAGGTACCCCTGGGACCCGGGGGTGTCTCAATGAGAGAGTTGGGAAGGAGAAACACATGCTTCACCCCAGCTAACAGGTCACCTCACCCCAGCTACATGAAATGCTCCTTTGAGTACGTCCTCTTTCTCCTTCTTGGCCAGGTAAGGGGAGGAAAGCAACTCTTCCGGGTACCGGCAGCAGGATGAAGTTTTCCTTTTATCACAGTCTCTACTTCCACAATGAAGTGATCATTCAGGAGTACTGCCTTGGCATCCTCGGTAAGGAGCGCCTCCCAGCATGGTAGGGGAGCTGGTGTGTGGGAGGGTAGGTCTGGCATGAACCTTCCTGACTCCTCTCTCTGCAGGATACGGGATGTCTCATTCCACTGCAGTCTAGTGGTTGTGGGATCATGAAGGTCAAGCCTCCAGCTGCAGGCCGTACAGCTCCTACCTGACCTTCTTCAGCTGGTTGGCTGACCATGACTGCCCAGGTTCTGGCAGGATTGCTGAGGTGAGCGCCAGGTAGGGCATCATGGGAAAGGATCTTGCTGGTCATTCCTTGGCCTCTGGGGAACTGGCTTTGAGCCATGACCTGAACTAACCTGTACCCACTTCTGCAGGCCCCCAGATCATCAGCCAGAACCTGTAGCTCAATCCCCTGCAGTACTTCTCCAGGGAGGGAGGCCATTAGAGAGTGAACAGAGAGGAGGCCAGGTGAACAGTCTAGGGCTGGGGACTGAGAGACCTTTGATTCCTGGAGTTGTGCCCCACATGGAGAATCCAAGCCTCAGGGAGGTGACTGCAGTGAGCGATCCCACGCCATCCATGGGCTGGCGGAGAAATGGCCATCAAAGAACTTTAACACCCACATTTTGGGATTGGGGCACCTTCAGCCGCCTAAGAGGAATAAGTGTCTAAGGTCAGTGGGTGAGAAGCAAGGCTCAAGTGGTAGCTGTCTCATCATCCCTCACCGGCTGAGGCCTGAGGCCGGCTACCACTTGGGGCTCAGTTTGGGCTCAACCAGGGCCCTCTCACCCTCCACGCAGATATCCTCCCAAGGCCCCTCTCTACGTCCTCCCTGATGGGCTGTCCCAGGCCCATCATTTTTTGTTACAATGATCCCAGGCTTCCCTGAGATGCTTTCTGCCCTCCGCCATCATCACTCACACTGCGCTGCCCCACCCTGCCCCACCAGACAAGAGAGGCCACTACTCAGGGAATCTGGAAAACCACACTGGGCTCACAGAGGAGGAAATGTGAAGAGATGGCAAAATGAATGAGCCCTTCATTGTGTGTCCAGGGAGGAAACCTGGCTGAGAATTAAGGCCCACCTGAGTAGTGGTGTGGACACCGAGTGTTACTTATCATGATGAAGATCTGCTTTGTCACATCCCCTAATATTAATGTGGAAGTTATTTTCTTGGAATAGTGAAACAATGAGGACAAAGAAATAGTGTTTGTTCAGATTTGTATAGAAATACTGCAGACGCATCCATTTTCCATTACAATTCTTATGTGAGACTTGAAGTGTTTATTGAGTTTTAAGATACATTTTGATTGTTCTGCCCCTGGGAAATTTTATGATCATGTTTGTATGATCATAGATTCTATGTAGAGACATAGAATCCGGAAAAGTTTTGAGTGACTTTCAGCTTCTTTTACAGTACTTACTTGTAAATTTTGAATTTTTTCCCTTATAGTTCTCTTCAGTTTATTATTTTAATTTTATATGTAAGGTGATAAATTTGTTTTGTTATTTGCCTTTTGTGGAAACTTCGTTTTAAAGTACTTTTTTTCTGTTAGATATGTGAGTTTATGAGTACAAAATTTTTATTTTCATTTTTTAGTTTTTTTGGGGTGTCTGTGTGTGTTTTGAGGAGCATTGCTCTGCCACCCAGCCTGGAGTGAAGTGGTAGGATCTTGGCTCAACCTCAACCTCTGCCTCCTGGCTTCAAGCCATTACCCTGCCTCAGCCTTCTGAGGAGCTGGGATTACCGGTGCATGCCACCATGCCCAGCTAATTTTTGTATTTTTCATCAAGACTGGGTTTCACCATATTTGCCAGGCTGGTCTCCAACTCCTGACCTCAAGTGATTCACCCACTTCTGCCTGCCAAACTGCTGGGTTTACATCGTGAGCCACCATGCCCGGCCTCATTTATTTGTTTACGTATTTGAAGCCTTGTTCTATTCTCTTCATGTACACATATTTTAGAGTGATTGAAAGAATGTATTTTATTTATTTAGTCAATAGTAGAATTTTAAAAGTAATGTTTTTATTCAGTAAATACAGTATTGTGAATAGGTTAAACCTTGTATAGTATTGTCATTCTCTCTTTCATAAATTCTTCAAGAACTCTAATACCATTTCCGGCCCCCGCCCCCTGAAGAGCACATGCAGATAACCCCAAAGATATGCTCCCACACAGTTTATGCAGTTTATTCACTTTAAAGCAATGCACTAAAAATGTCTAGATGGGTCCAAAAAATTGTGGAAGTGAGTGGGTATGAAAATATAATTTGAAGGCCAGGTGGGGTGGCTCACGCCTGTAATCCCCACACTTTGGGAGGCCAAGCCTGGTGGATTACCAGATGTCAGAAGTTCAAGACCAACCTGGTCAACATGGTGAAACCCCATCTCTACTAAATATTCAAAAATTAGCTGGGTGTGGTGGCATGTTCCTGTAATCCTAGCTATTTGGGAGGCTGAGGCAGGAGAATCGGTTGAACCGGAGAGGCGGAGGTTGCAGTGAGCCAAGATCATGCCACTGCACTACAGCCTGGGTCACAAGAGCAAAGATTTGTCTCCACCACCCCACACCCCCCAAAGAAAGCCTCAAATTTACATAAACATAATTATCTTAAAAGCCAGCATAATTTTAATTTCACTGTAGTCATCAGTTTCAGACATTGTTTATTTTGGAGAAGTGATTACAGAAATTAGAAAAATCGAGGCCTGATGAGAATATTTAAATTAACCACACTCCAGAAGCTCAAAGCTGAAAAACTAAGGTATTTCTGATATAACAGCCCAAATTCTGCATTTCCTCTCTATTGGACAGTGTAATATTGCACATATGAAAAAAAATGCAGTGTTAAATAAAAAGTAGTGGAATTAAGAGGAGTCATTGCTTAGTGAATTAAAACAACACACAAATTGAGAAGAAAAGACAGTGATAGAAAATATATTGTCTATTGATTTAATTCACAATAATTTTCACTTTTGTCTATTAGCATTAAATAGTACCATTAACATAATATCATTTTGATATTGTCTTCTAACATGTAAGTGGTTTTTATTTTGTATATTTGGAAACCTGATCAAAGATTCTTTAGACATTTCATTTTTTCCCAAATTTCCTAGCTAATATCTAGCTAAATGCTAGTTGCCCGAATGCCTCTCACTAAGTCGTTTGTCTTTTCTCATTAATTTTAATACGAACTTGGTGTGTATTTTGTTGGCATCTTTACTAAATCTACAGGTGTTGAAGTTGTGCAGATTTTAGTCATGGATCCTCTTGAGTTTTCTCAAGGCTAAAACACCCTTTCTATGCTTACCATTAAGAAATTCCCAACTTCAGGCCAGATCTTTGTTCTACCTTCACACTTGGCATATCCAACTGCATGCCTTACATCTCCACATACCAAACCAGACCTTCATTTCATCCCCAAAACATGTTTCCTCCTACAGTATTCCACTATTTCAGAAATTCACAGCACCAAATACTCTGTATTTCAAGCTAGAAATGTAGAGGATGATCCTTGAGGCAGCCGCTTCTCAATGAGTCTCCATCATTCATATCCAACTCTTCACAGGTTGTATGTCCCCTCTGAGAATTACATAGTCTTAGTAAATAAAGACTGGCTCATAAGTTACCTTCAATCATCCACTGTTTTTTCTTCAATTCACGCCAGTTTCTCTAGAGAACAGCTGGAGCTCTGCAATGTCAATGTTGGAGTAAGAATCATTCTCTGTCAGTATTACTATGTTATTTATCACAAGAGAAATGTTCCTTTAAAATGCCCACACAAACCTATAGTAACACAGTTAAATGATGTCTTTGTTTTACGGAAAAGTACAAGCCAAATAAAATAAATTGTTATTATATGATCTTTATAACTACAAACACAGGTACTAGATATTTTAGACCCCACTTCATACATCTGAAATTTGAGTCTCAAAATCATCATCTTTTCTTAAAGTCTAATTTCAAATTACAAAACTACCTCTTTCCACAATATCATGCTATCTCCCTTTAAGATCCAGCTGGGGAATCATTAAGAATAAGAAATGTAATTTTCTTCAACATCTCCTAGCTGAGCCAAAATCTAAATTTTCTGTGGAGATCTTGTTATGTGCAATTTCGCCAAAACTTTTACAGCTTTAACCACAGTTATGCTTCAGTGGCCTACCTGTTCATGCAATACCTGCACACCTGCTTTAACATAGAAAAATTTGGAAGTTAATATGAGCATTAACTCTTATCATTATAGACAATGACATCTGAAGATGCTTTCCAATCTTCCTCGAATATATGAAATTCAAAATGTCAGTACAATATCCAAATTGTCAACGTAATCTTAGTAGCAGTGGATCATTTACAGAAGATAATTTTGCCTCAGTGGTCAAATATTTTTGTTAAATACTGCTATCTTATAGTCATGTATAGCATAACTGACACAGGTGTATAGCTAGAAATAGGATCCTAAAGAAAATGTTCAGAAATAGGTTTCATATATTTTGCTGAATTTCAAACTAACAGGTTAATTAGTACTCTGAAGTGTTGGATAGTTGGAGTAGTATTTACCAAGAATGAAAAAGAAGATAGGGGCATACAAATTGAGAATCCTGAAGTTAGGAAAAGATAAAGTATTTGTTCCTGACTCCTGGCTTGATGTTCTTCACGTGTGGCTTATTTTTGGGGTCTTTTTTTTGGTTCTGTTTTTGGTTTTGTTGTTTTTGTTGTTGTTGTTTTACTGTATCTTATTTGTCAGACCAGAGTTTCACAAGCATCCTCAAATAATTACGTGGGTCATAAAATATATACCCAGATACTTCTAGCTATTTTCCTTCAAAATCCCGGTCCAATCATCTGAAATGAGACCTGTAGAACCAGTAATTCTCACAAGTATGCTAAGTGGTTATTACTAAAACAACAGTTCTGAAATACTTAGAAAACCATCCAGGAGCTAGGTAATCAACATTTAATAATTGGTTCTTACTGTAAGAGTAAAGGATTTTATTGAAATGACTATTTAAATGCAAGTTCTATTAAAAAGATAGAATTGAGCACTTCAGTGCTTTTTTTTTTTTTTTTTTTTGAGACGGAGTCTCGCTGGACTGCGGACTGCAGTGGCGCAATCTCGGCTCACTGCAAGCTCCGCTTCCCGGGTTCACGCCATTCTTCTGCCTCAGCCTCCCGAGTAGCTGGGACTACAGGCGCCCGCCACCGCGCCCGGCTAATTTTTTGTATTTTTAGTAGAGACGGGGTTTCACCATGTTAGCCAGGATGGTCTCGATCTCCTGACCTCATGATCCACCCGCCTCGGCCTCCCAAAGTGCTGGGATTACAGGCGTGAGCCACCGCGCCCGGCCCAGTGCTTTCTAATTAGTATCTTTAAAGTATGTTTTGCTAATATCTTACTTAGTAGTAATATCTTACTTACTAGTATATAAGTAATATAGTATAATAAGTAATATCTTACTTATTAGTATCTGAGAACAGATACTAATTTTCTAATTAGTATCTTTAAAGTATGTTTACATGTGAGGTGTTAAATTTGTTTTCTTATTTGCCCCTTCCAGAACTTTCATTTTCAAGGATTTTTTTTTTCTGTTAGATATGGGAGTTAGCCTGTGAGCACTTTTTCTAATACAGATTTTTTTTATTCATTAGTTTTTGGGGCGTATGTGTGTGTTTGTTTGTTTCCAGATGGAGTCTCACTCCGTCATCCAGGCTGGAGTGAAGTGGCAAAATCTTGGCTCACTGAAACCTCTCCCTCCAGCTTCACACGATTCCCCTGCCTTAGCCTTCCGAGGAGCTGGGATTACAGGCATATGCCACTATGTCCTGCTAATGTTTGTATTTTTAGTCGAGACTAGTTTCACCATATTTGCCAGGCTGGATTCGTACTCCTGTGATCCGCCTGCACCAGCCTCCCAAAATGCTGGGCTTCCAGGTGTGAGCCACCATGCCCAGGCTCATTTGTTTATGTATTTTAATCATTGTTCTATTTTCTTCATGTACACGTATTTTAGAATAGAATGGTCCAAGTGGGGCTTAGTCATCTTCGGGATTCTGCCCAAGCTCAGACTGTCAGCACTGACCATGCCATACCCTACCTAGCTCCCAAGGTACCTCTAGGACCTAGGTTGATCTTCCTGAAGCAGCCACTACATTTTCGACCCCTAGTCTTTCCTCTATGCTCGGAGGAAAGTCTGGAACAGGAGAAATTTATACAACTATATGATTGTTGGCTACCTAATTGATTCCTTATGAAGGTTGGGTAATGAAGAAGACACTGGGATGAAAGAGAAGCATGTTTGGAAAGAAAATAGTTTCCTCTCTTGAATAATAAAAAACGTACACATATTTAGAATAGAATGCTACTGTGGGTTTTGTAACAAAGAAACTAATAATACCAAGAGATGGTAACCATAATTTAAGAAACTTTTTCTAAAATATACATAACATAAAATATCTTTACCTTCAGATGATGTTTTTACTGTTAGGATATTCATCAGAAAAGAAAACATTGAAAAGATAAATTAAAATATTATGCAGACACAAACAGCTCTATATTGGTATGGTATAGTTTATGAACTAAGCAGTTCATAAGTGTGAGTATAGAATGTATAGACTTTAATTTGTTAAAATTAATATAAAGCACTTAAAAAGTGGCTTATAATAAGCATTTTTTTAAGAACTGTTCTTTACAATTCTGATATGCACAATTTATAGACAAACTCAGAAAAATAAGTTTGGGTTGCATTGTGTAGATATTTAAACCTATTTTCTTATGTTACATTTTTATTTTGCCGCAAAATTCATAGAATGTAATAGATGGGGGAGAATAACTTAATGGACACTATAGTCTGTCAGTTAATAAAATATTTTTTTCAGGAATATAAATGGTATTTATTTTACTAGAGCTCTGTTAATTAAGGATGTTATTTATTATACACAAACTGAGGACAGAGAAACCGCCTATGTGTGTATATTGTTTCTGTTAATTTTGGAAGTTTGGGTCAAATCACTACATTTATCTCATAAGCAAATAAAATAAGCTGTTCAAATATTATATTACAACCAAAAAGGGAAGATACAAGATTAAGATGACAAAACTTTACATTCCTAATTGACTTATTTTTCTTGCTTTCTTTTGATGTTATTTTACTTATTATTGCTTGTTTCTTATAGATTTCTTTAAAATTCAGTTATTGCTTTTCTCCTTTGTGCATTATTTTATGAAATAAGCAGACACCATGTAGAGTGAGCTTATTGCTAATATTTGAGAGGGGGATGAAATATGGATGACTATTTCATAATAAAAATACTTTTTTAAGGTTGATCAGACTACCACAACTCAAAAAAGTAAAAAATGAAAATTATATAGAACATATTTTGGCATTTTAAATTTTTTTCCTTTGTCAGATGAGTAGATTGCAAAAATTTTCTCCTATTCTGTAGGTTGCCTGTTCACTCTGATGGTAGTTTCTTTTGCTGTGCAGAAGCCCTTTAGTTTAATTAGATCCCATTTGTCAATTTTGGCTTTTGTTGCCATTGCTTTTGGTGTTTTAGACATGAAGTCCTTGCCCGTGCCTATGTCCTGAATGGTATTGCCTAGGTTTTCTTCTGTGGTTTTTATGGTTTTAGGTCTAACATTTAAGTCTTTAATCCATCTTGAATTAATTTTTGTATAAGGTGTAAGGAAGGGATCCAGTTTCAGCTTCCTACATATGGCTAGCCAGTTTTCCCAGCACCATTTATTAAATAGGGAATCCTTTCCCCATTTCTTGTTTTTGTCAGGTTGGTCAAAGATCAGATGGTTGTAGATTAGTGGTATTATTTCTGAGGGCTCTTTTCTGTTCCATTGGTCTATATCTCTGTTTTGGTAGCAGTACCATGCTGTTTTGGTTACTGTAGCCTTGTAGTATAGTATAGTTTGAAGTCAGGTGGCGTGATGTCTCCAGTTTTGCTCTTTTGATTTAGCATTGTCTTGGCAATGCGGGCTCTTTTTTGGTTCCATATGAACTTTAAAGTGTTTTTTTCCAATTCTGTGAAGAAAGTCATTGGTAGCTTGATGGGGATGGCATTGAATCTATAAATTACCTTGGACACTATTTCATGATATTGATTCTTCCTATCCTTGAGCATGGAATGTTCTTCCATTTGTTTGTGTCCTCTTTTATTTCATTGAGTAGTGGTTTGTAGTTCTCCTTGAAGAGGTCCTTCACTTCCCTTGTAAGTTGGATTCCTAGGTATTTTATTCTCTTTGAAGCAATTGTGAATGGGAGTTCATTCATGAATTAGCTCTCTGTTGGTCTTTTATTGGTTTATAAGAATGCTTGGGGTTTTTGCACATTGATTTTGTATCCTGAGACTTTGCTGAAGTTGCTTATCAGCTTAAGGAGATTTTGGGCTGCAGAATGTACAAAGAACTCAAACAAATTTACAAGAAAAAAACAATTCCATCAAAAAGTGGGTGAATGATATGTACAGACACTTCTCATAAGAAGACATTTATGCAGCCAAAAGACACATGAAAAAATGCTCATCATCACTGGCCATCAGAGGAATGCAAATCAAAACCACAACGAAATATCATCTCACACCAGTCAGAATGTCAATCATTAAAAAGTCAGGAAACAACAGCTGCTGGAGAGGATGTGGAGAAATAGGAACACTTTTACACTGTTGGTGGGACTGTAAACTAGTTCAACCATTGTGGAAGTCAGTGTGGCGATTCCTCAGGGATCTAGAACTAGAAACACCATTTGGCCCAGCCATCCCAGTACTCGGTATATACCCAAAGGAATATAATTCATGCTGCTATAAAGACACATGCACACATATGTTTATTGCGGCACCACTCACAATAGCAAAGACTTGGAACCAAGCCAAATGTCCAACAATGATAGACTGGATTAAGAAAATCTGTCACATATACACCATGAAATACTATGCAGCCATAAAAAATGAGTTCATGTCCTTTGTAGGGACATGGATGAAGCTGGAAACCATCATTCTCAGCAAACTATCTCAAGGACAAAAAAAATGCACATTCTCACTCATAGGTGGGAATTGAACAATGAGAACACATGGACACAGGAAGGGGAACATCACACACAGGGTCCTGTTGTGGGGTGGGGGGAAGGGGGAGGGATAGCATTAGGAGATATACCTAATGTAAATGATGAGTTAATGGGTGCAGCACACCAACATGGCACATGTATACATATGTAACAAACCTGCAGGTTGTGCACAAGTACCCTAGAACTTAAAATATAATAAATATATATATATATGTTTTCATATGTATATATACATATATATATGAAAAAACTGAACACACATTTCTGGAAAGAAGACATACAAGTGGCAAACAGGTATCTGAAAAGGTGCTCAATATCATTGATCATCAGATAAATGCAAATCAAAACTATAATGAGATATCCTCTCACTACAGTTAAAATTGCTTTTATTCAAAAGACAGGCAATAGCAAATGGTGGTGAGGGTGTGGCGAATATGGAACCCTCACACACTGTTGGAGGGAATGGAAGTTAGTACAATCACTATGGAAAACAGTTTGGAAGTCCCTCAAAAAAGTAAAAATAGAGCTACCATATGATCCAGCACTCCCGTTTCTAAATACATACCTAAAAGAAAGGAAATCGGTATATTGAAGAGATATCTGCACTCCCATGTTTATTGTAGCACCACTCACAATAGCCAAGATTTGGAAGGAAACTAAGTGTCTATCAACAGAATAATGGATGAAGAAAATGTGGTACATATATGCAAGAGGGTACTATTCAGCCATAGAAAAATGAGATCTTGTCATTTGCAACAATATGGATGGAACTGGAGGTCATTATGTTAAGTGAAATAAGCCATGCACAGAAAGACAAACATTGCATGTTCTCACTTACCTGTGGGAGCTAAAACTTAAAACAATTGAACTCATAGTGATAGAATGTAGATGGATGGTTGCAAGAGGCGGGGAAGGATAATCAGGAGTTGGAAGGTGGAGGGGCAGGGTACATGGTTAATCAGTATAAAAAATAGAATAAAGAAGATGTAGTTTTTGCTAGCACAACAGGGTGACTATATTAAAAAATAATTTAACTGTTCATTTAAAAATAGCTAAAAGTATAATTAAATTATATATTACATTTAAATAATTGAATTACATAAAAAATTTTCCTTTTCTTTTTTTTTTTTAATTCAAAATTTCTTGGGCCACTCTTCCTTTTATTTATGTTATGCTTCTCTTTGCCTACTTCCTTTGCGGCTCTCACAGTGGTGGTATATCCGTGTTTCTAAGTTTTATAGCTGGGTACGCCACTAGCCTCAACTGTTCCTTCAGCTCGTGGTGACAGAGGGTGGCGCGCAGGCAGTTTCTCAGAAAATCAGGAAAATTAGGCAAAAAATTCTTAATTTTAAGCAGAGAGGACATGTTTGTATCTCAGGTGAAAGAATTAATGTCTACATCATCTCCTGCGAATAGAGGAAATGTGTTAATTCAGACCATTTTTCTCAGGCTTTTTTTGGCAAATGTTAAGAAAGGTTATAATTGTTATTATGTGTGGATTTATGTTTATGGGTATAACTGATTTCTTGGCAGGAGTACAAAGACCACGAAGTTTTTGGATTTTTTCTATAAAAGGCGATGGGTTTTCAATGTGTGGGTGTTGAATTATGGGAGGAAACAGTAGGGAGAGGACTCTTTACTGCTTTACTTACTACGAAACTTACTTTCGTTAAACTCGCTGCTTTTTCTTGAGTATTCTTCCCTTTACTATCGGACGTGCCCGACATGTGGGCAAGTTGTGGGAGATGGAGCTAGGGCGCCATTTTTCTCATGTGCACTTTTTGTTAAAGCGGTTTTTCTCTGTGAATGTGGTCCTAATTCAAATATATAGGCAATATACTTAACCACTGTGATTAAAAACTTGTACTTTGGCCTGGCGCGGTGGCTCATGCTTGTAATCCCAGCACCTTGGGAGGCCGAGGTGGGCGGATCTTGAGGTCAGGAGATCGAGATCAGAGTGAAACCCCGTCTCTACTAAACATACAAAAAATTAGCCGGGCGTGGTGGTGGGTGCCTGTAGTCCCAGCTACTTGGGAGGCTGAGGCAGGAGAATGGCGTGAGGCGGGGCTTGCAGTGAGCCCAGATCGTGCCACTGCACTCCAGCCTGGGCGACCGAGCGAGACTCCGTCTCAAAAAAACACCTTGTAGTTTTACTTATCACATGTCAAATTTATGATTTGCTTGACAGGAATTATGAAATTTTGACCTAAATTGCATTACTTTAGTGTATGAGGAAGTCTGGGGCCATAAATAATCTCAGTTTAAATTTGTTTCCGTAAAACCTTTAATTGTCTCCTTCCTTGTATGACAGTATTTGAAACATGTTTCATGTATGTCTGGCACCGTAAATAATTTAAACCGAATAAGTGGGTGTAATCCAGATAAATGGTGATAGATAGCTTAAAACGGAGACAAAATAAATGCGTTTAAGTTATTCTATTAACTTGCCACACTGACTTACTCTTGTAATTCCTACCATTGGGAAGAGGAGATGTGAGGATGGCTTGAAGTCACGAGTTGGAGACCAGTCTGCGAATATAATGAGCCCTTTAATCTATTGCCATTTTGGCGCCAGGGACCGGTTTAGTGGAAGCTATTTTTTCACAGAAAAGAGGTGGGTAGGGGGAGAAGGTGGTGAGGTGGACACCTTGGGGAGGTGGGGGGCGGCCGTTCCAGGAGGAGTACAGTGTAGGAAGGGGTTTCAGGCCAGAGCAGTGTGACGGGGGGCAGTGGTGGGACAGCGGGGCTGCGAGGGGGACAGGGCAGGCCAGCGGGGAATAGGGAGGATGGATTCTGGATGAAACTGTTCCACCTCAGGTCACACTCAGGCATTACAATCTTCTAGGGAGAGCGCCACCTAGATCCTCGTATGCGCAGTTCACAGTAGGGCCCTTACTCCTGTGAGAACCCAATGTCTTCGCTGATCTGACAGGAGGCGGGGCTCAGGCAGTGCCAGAGGTTCACCACCTGTTCTGCAGCCAGGTTCCTAACAGGCCACAGACAGATACCGGTTGGAGACCAGGGTTTGGGGATCCCTGATCTATTGTATATTTCAAATCACTAAAATGTAAAACATTTGAAATGTTCTCCCCCAAGGAAGCATGTATTTTAGTTAGCTTGATTTAATCATTTATTAAAATATCAAGCTGGGCGTGGTGGTTCACCCTTGAAATCTCATCACCTTGGTAGCACCAGGCCAGAAGATAGCTTGAGCCCAGGAGTTTGAGACTAGGTTGGGTACCACGGGGAAACCCATGTCTATTAAAGAAAGACACAAAAAAGTGCCTACTAGCTCTGGTAGTGAGTGCCTGTAGCTTACCCATTAGATGAGACGTGGGAGGATCACTTGAGGTTCGGTAGAGGAGGCTGCAGTGAGCGGTGCACTTTGGCAACAGAAAAATTACATATCAAGAAAAAAATCCACAAAACACACTGTACAGTATATATACATAGTTTTCAAATAAAACTATTTAAATGGAGTATCCTGCGTATTGCAGCTTAAGAAAATTAGAGTAGCTTTTCTCCTCTCATTTTTACAAACAAGTTTTTGTCAGGTACATATTAAAATGCAGCACTTGTCCATGAAGTCAGTGCCCCTTTCACTGTGCATGTTACAAATTTTACATATTTGAAGTAAGAAAATCTAAAAAGATGTCAGCCTCTGCAAGGAAATTTCACTTGAGTTTTCAACACAATATGTAATAAAATTTTATCTTTTTGGCTTATTTATTATCTAAATATAGATTTTTTGTTACCATTTACAGCAAAATGGTAGAAGCAGATAGGCCTGGCAAGCCTTTCATTGGTGGCCTCCGTTTAGACACCAGTTAAAGACACTTAAAGCAGTATTTGGGAATTATGGTCTCATATTGGAAGGCAACTGTTATATATATATGTGTGTGTGTATATATATGTATCTACATATACATGTTGGTTATATATATTTTTTAAAGTAAATATATACTTAATGTATTTACTGGATATATAAAATATTTATTTGTTTTTAAACTGTTATTTTTGGATTTCTATTTGATATTGGGAAAATTCTCATAGCAGCAGGTGAAGGGTCTGTGGTAAATGTCACCTACTACTGAAAAATGAAAATGAGCAAAAGTAAATGTGTTGTGGACGCATGGAACAAATTGGAATAAAATAGGCTGACTATAGAGGTGACTTAGTATTAAAAGAATCATAGTAATGATGTGAAATGCATTTTTTGGGTTTGTTAGTACTACAGTGAGTCCATTAGATAAATGTAAAATATTTTCATATATTTTTGTTCTTCTGATAAATGATTGGGAAACCAGCAAGTTCAGATGCTTTGCATTTATTTTGAGAAAGCTGCAGATGCTAAAAATGTTGTCAAAGATATGAATGGAAATGTTAACAGTTCCTTATTAATAATATCCTAACTGTTCTTCACTTAACAGCATTTCAAGGTCTTTTTAGTATTACTAAACTTTTGAAGATAGCATAATGTCATATGATCTGAAATGCTTTAGCTATCCTCTTCTTTTTGCCATATTAAGTACAAGTGTAGTTGGAAGGATATTGGAATAAACCTTACATAAATTAATATATGGTAATCATATTTGTATGTTAGTATTTCAATACAAGTGTAAATAGATTTTCAAAGCTTTCAAGCAGCTTTAAAACTTAGGAGAAACCCTCACAAAAATGAGAGAAATAAGTCAGTATCTATCAAATGCTATTAATGGAATTACTTCCAATTCATGGAAATACTTCTATAGCATAGACAAACTATGGGTAGACAGCTAGATAGACTTACAAGATGGGAATCTTCTATAGAGAGACATCTAGACAGACTCACAAGAAGGAAAGATTTTTTCACATTTTCTGAAAACACATTCTTGAGAAAGTATATTTCAACAAGATCTTTACATTGAGGAAGTGTTACGTACTTGAAAGTAGAAAATAATATGAGAATATTGAAGTTGAGTAACAGAATGACTGGCATTTTTGCCCCATCCTTGCTCTTTTCCTCCTTAAAACATTTTTATCCTGTCACCATAGTGATTTATGTAACATGAGTACCTAATTATTCATTTTTCCAGTGTGTTTGAGCACTTGTGTTGATCCAACTAATGATCTCTGTCTTACTGAATCTTAAATTCTAGGGATCCTGTGTTTATTACAGCTTTAAACTTTTGTGTCGTTCTATTACCTGCTTAATTCCTTCATATTACCATCAAAATCATTGCATTCTGGATACTTTGGAATTTTTTTATATAACATTATCCAAATCTCTTTTTAGTTCCCAATACTCTTTATGCTATCACCAATATGCTTTTTTGGACTTCTCGAGAGTTATTCTTCCCGGCGTACATCTCACAAATAGCAATTCATGCTCCAAAAACAGCTTAGATTTTACATTTTCATCTTCACTGTATATTGTGGGTATTTTGGCCTCACTGTACCATGTATTAATCTGTTGATTGTTAAATTGTCTTTAGTGCATATTTAAGTTTTCCTAGTTGCTTTTGTTTCTGTTACATCTAGCACATTTCCTGGTATATAGCAGAGGTGCCTTTTTATTCAGGTTATGCTTTCATATTTTAAGTTTTTGGAGAAACTGAAAGTTGCGTTTGGCTCATGGTTTTGTAGGTGTGGAAATAATTTTGACTTATGTATAATAATCTATGATAATTTCTTTTTCCCCCATAGTTTTCAAGCACAAGAACAGGTGATTTCTGTGGATGTTACTTCTAAATTACTTCATCCAACATATCTTACTGTGTAAGAATAAATATAAATGTAATATGCACACAAAAGTTAAGAAGGGAAATAAAGGAAGTACTTAGAGGTTTCAGGGGCAATGAACAGGTTAAGAAAGTTTGGCTGACCTCTGAATAGTAGGAAGGAAGCAGTCATGCACAAACCTGGGAAACATGTTTTGGGCCCAGAAATGTGAGTGCAAGAGATCTTGGAAAGGATTTAAGTTCTTCCCCCAAATAACAAAGCAATGTAAGTTTTAAATACAATTTTTGCTGACATTTCTTCTAAAATCACCTTTGCCTATAGAAAAGATTAAAGTGAAGAAAGTTATTATGAAATTAATTAGGACATTTAAGCATTTCTGAGAAATAACATGAAGTACTATATTAAGAGTCATTTATTAGGGACACTTCTAAGGCAAGATAAGAAATGAGTAAGGCAATCACACCTGTAATCCCAGCACTTTGGGAGGCTGAAGCAGGTGGATCACAAGGTCAGGAGATCAGTTTAATAACCGGATGTGCAAGTCATTGGATATGCTTTCTCAAGTCGAAATTGCAGTGTTTGCTCCATTTTAAGGTACATAGCTTCATAGTATTTTTTTCTCAAATTATCTTGAGGGTGAAGATTAATACTACTCTGCCATGTATGAGAATATGCATTTTCTTACCTGTAACACCACCAAGGCATTAGAATATATCTACATTTTTTGTAGATATAAGAAAATATTTTTTATTATTTAATATGCAATTCTTAAAGGTTATTAAAATTGAGCATAGACTAAGCTAAAAATTAATACTTCATAATGGATTTTTAGGAATTGTATATTATGATACAAATTTTACAGATAATGTATTTTTCTGAGGTGTCATTTTTTGATTTTGTAAATAAATGAGTTTCTTTGAATGGAATTTGGTGTACCCT
Organism: Homo sapiens; assembly: GCF_000001405.40. Taxonomy (NCBI): domain Eukaryota; kingdom Metazoa; phylum Chordata; class Mammalia; order Primates; family Hominidae; genus Homo; species Homo sapiens. The sequence goes on from NC_000024.10 coordinate 22,201,321, forward strand.
TATGATATGTTTTGAAACACTTTTTTTATAGTAGAATTATATGAACAGTAATTTATCATTTTTCTCCAAATATATTTTTTCTTTATGTAGATTGTATTTATATATTTAACTGATAGATTTTTGCTTTCTCTTCACTCTGCATTTATCCCAAATCTCTCTGTCACACCAATATAAAATGATTCTTTGTTATTTTTTAGATTTTCTTCTGTCACCAGGCTGGAGTGCAGCGACGTGATCTCAGCTCGCTGCAACTTCCGCCTCCTGGGTCCAAGCCATTCTCCTGCCTCAACCTCCCATGTATCTGGGACTACAGTTGCACGCCATGAGGCTCAGTTAATTTTTTTATTTTTAGTAGAGATGGGGTTTCACCATGTTGCCCAGGATGGTCTTGATCTCTTGACCTCATCATCTGCCCACCTCAGCCTCCCAAAGTGCTGGGATTCACACTGTGAACAAACATTAGTTTTAATCCTGTGTTTTCTAGAGAATTCCATTTAATTTTTCTTAAAATTCCTGGCAGTATTCTTTGATGGTAGGCTTCGTAATCTAATGAATTCTTCCATTACCTAGGTCACTTGGTAGTGGTCCTCCAGTGGGTCAATCTAAAAATTGTTTGTTCAGTTTCTTTTTGGGTTGAAGTCTTGCTCTCACCAGGCCAGAGTGCATCGATGAGATGACAGCTCACTACGGCCTCAAATTCCTGGGCTCAAGTAATTGTCCTCTTTTAGCCTCCTGCGTTGCTGTGACTACAGGCATACACCACCACACATAGCTAAATCTGTTTCCCTTTTTTCTATATTTTTGTAGAGACACGATCTCATTGCATTGTCATAGAGGACATTAAAGCCCTGGGCTCAAGCAGTCCAGCTGCCTCAGCCTTCCACATTGGCTCACAATGTGAGCCACTGCGCCTGGCCATCCAGGTTCTGAGACCTTAGTAATACTTACGTGCAAGGCATTCTTACTGGTTATGTGAGGATACACAAGAACAAAAGGAGCATTTTGCAGATAAGCAATCACTGGGCTTAAATAATAATGAATAATAAAATTAAGGCTTGATAGGTAAACTTGAAGGAGTCCAGCATTTTTAAGTTAAGAGCATACCACAAAAGTGCAGAGTTGTGAAATATATGGGGGATGTAAATTAAGATATGGTGTAAATTAATGTATGGAGAGTGTAAATATATGGAGGGGGTGTACAATTGTTAAGATGGTACAGGGATGTTAAAACCTTAACACAAGATACTTAGTGTAGGACTTCAGTTATTTCAGGAGAGAATTTAGTTCTAAGCAGCATTAGGTGAACAGTAGGATTGAATAGAAGTAATATTTTTGAGAAAGAGAAGTGTGAGATTTCAGAGTGAACAGAAGAAAACAAGACCATAAAGTAACAGATCTTAGTAAAGAAATTTAAACAGAACAAGTTAAAATCCTTACCTAGCCCTCCATCATAATATGGAGGAAATTGAAAACTGCCGTTTTCAATTTTACATTTCTCATGTAGAGTATCAGTGAAGTTAAGTATTTATTGATTTCAGAATACACAAGCCAGCACATTTCCATTAGAAGACTAGCCAGCAAACACATCATAGGTGAAAGACTGACTTCTATGAATTAGCATGTGAAGAGTATGTCAAAGGAGGAAGTTTTCTATTTTTGAAAGAGTTACAATATTGTAATTATCCCTTTAAGACTATTGCTAATTGCAGTAAAAATAAATATTGGACATCATTAGAAGAGCTGCACTAGTACATTTTAATTTGTCAACATTTAAGATACAGCCAATCACTTAGAGATAAAGGAGCACTTTTATGTAGAATTTTGGCATGCAGTAGTTCAAAGGTAGCAATATTGGTGCTTGTGAGATGGATTGAACAACACGGGATAACCTTCTTCAGCTGAGAAAGGACAATATATGTAAACTTTATATTCAGTGGAGAGTTTGATGGTTTTACAGGTTTTGCCTGTTATCATTAGTAGTCATCAGTAATTCATATAAAAAGAAAAAATAGTAACTAACTGGTTATTAACAATTAAAGTGAACTTTTACCAAAGAATTAATGTCTGCCTTCAGCTTTGTTAGAAGAACTGGCCTTGTGGAGCCATGGGATTATCCAAAGCCATAAGAAATATTGAAGTTGTCATGAATGTCTAGTAATTTAGAGAAAGAAGAATGGAGTGATTCAAGAAATAATTTTTAAAAGTTGTTTCAGAGAAGAAAAAATTGTGTTTCAGATTTTGTGTTCTTTATATAATATTTAATTATTTTAACATTAAATGTCCCATGTCATGTGGATGAGAGAATTCTGGAGGTCCTCCACGCAGAGTCAGTCTCTTCCTGGAGAAATGACCATGTGTCATTAAGAGATGAGGGTTATGCAACTAAGGATAGGTTAAGAAAAAATGGAAAAATAGTTGACTTCTGTTGTGGTGATGAAATTCACATAACAAACTTTAACATTTAAAGGTAAATAGTTAATTGGCATTTAATATATTCTGTGTTGTGCAACAGCTACCTCCAACTAGTTCCAAAACATTTTCATCACTCCAAACTACAACTCCACTACCAGTTAAGCAGTTCCTTTCACTTTCTCCCTTCTGTCAGCCACTAGTAAACAACAATCTGTTTTCTGCCTCTGAACTTAGCTGTTCTGGGCATTTCATGTTAATGGGCCCAAACACCACAGGACATTTTATAACTGTCTCCTTTTGTTTGCATGATGCCATGAAGGTTCATTTACACAAGCTGCTAACTCATTATTTTGTTTGGGTTGTTTCCACTACCATATTTCCATATATACATATGTGTTTGGGTATACTTATTCAACTCTCGGTATATATGAGTGGAATTGCTTGGTCCTATGATAACTTTGTTTTCTTGAGGAACAACCACATTTCTCCATAGCAGCTGCATCATTGTCCATTGCAGCTAGCATTGTGTCAGGGTTCCAAATTATCTACATGCTCTCAAACACTTGATATTTCCTGCTATTTAAAATTTATTTCCATTCCAGTATGTGTGAAGTATGGTATTTCATTTTGGTTTGAAATGTATTTTCTGAATAACTGATTATGATTATTTGTTCCATGTGCTTTTTCAGCACTGCACTCCAGCCTGGGCAACAAAGCAAAATGGTCTCACAAAATAAAAAGAAAAAAATAAAGAAAAGAAAAATAGTAGTTATTGCATACAATCCTTGCTTGCAAATCAAAAATTAAAATGTCATTTCTACATCATTACATGAGTACCACTAAAACAAAATGTTGATTTTGGAGGGAGAGGTAGATCTTAACTTCCTCCATGAATTTTTTGAGGTATTAAGATGAAAAGGAACTTTTTTCAAAGTAATTTCATAATTGTTAGTGTTATTTGAAAACTATCTGTTTAGATGATATGGCTGTATTAAAATTTTCAGATTAAAATTATACATGTAATGCCTAATGCCTGATTTTATTGCTACACATGCTTAAAAGCAAATTAAATAGGAAATTAAACTGTGTTTTTTGTCAAAAATTTTCTTTGTAGCTTTGCATATAAATAGATACAAAAGTAGGCATAGGTTACATCTCCCTTGCAAGCTGCACACCTTTTCTAATTTGGCTGTGTTTCTCTTTAAAAACTTACAAGCTTTAAAAGTTTGAGAACTCTTCAGAAAGACTAAAAAACTGTCTGCCTCACCATAAATTGTTTATCATTCAGAGGAATCATGTGGGTCAAAAGAAATAATTAGATATGTTTTATATTAAAGTTTAAGACATCCATAACATTTTTCTTGAAGCATTCTGTGACTGAAGGGGGATAATGGTGATGAAACATTTTTTTCAACCTAAATAAAAACGGAACCAGCTACGTTTCCTAAGTATATAGTTTAATGAAATTAAGTCTTCCTAGTTTTAAATAGTGGAAAATAAGTGTTTTATGTGGGAGGTACTCATGTTAATTATTTCCTATAATATTTGACAATGGTTGTTGTAAGTAATGGCTTAGCAATAAGTTCTTGCAAATAGAAATTATCTAGAAGGCTTGGGATTTGATCAGGTTTTTTGTTTTTTGTTTTGGATGGAGTCTAGCTTTTGTTTCCCAAGCTGGGGTGCAGTGCCTGGATCTTGGCTCACTGTGACCACAACTTTCTGGGTTCAAGCTATTCTCCTGCCTCAGCATCATGAGTAAGTGGGTTTACAGCTGTGTGCTACCAAAGCTGGCTAAATTTTGCATTTTTAGTACAGACAGCTGGCCAGACAAGTCTTAAAATCCTGATTCACCCTCCTTGGCCTCCCAAAGTGCTAGGATTACAGGCATGAGCCAACAGGCTCCTACTATCAAATTTAAGTGAAGATATGAATAGAAATGCTTTAAATCTCATGGTTTTTTGGAAAGTGAAGCATATAAAACATGAAACAACATCATAAAGTTTCAGATAGGCAATTGCTTAACAGTTTAATATATCATCTAATGATAAAACTGGAAAGATTTGGACCCAAATAAGTAAACCAATTAATTTTCCTGAACATACAAGCTAAATAAATGAAATATATGAAGATCCAGAACTTTACAGTCCATAATTCTTAAAATTAACAGACTAATCTGTAAAGAGGACATATCTTTATGAGAAAATTTTGACAAGATCATAATTTTTATAGGGTAAGGTGGCAAATAATTTTAAAGTGAGAAGTTACTAACTTTGATTTTTCAAGTGAGTTATTTACGTTATGAAATTGTGTTAACATTCACCTATAATATAGGATTGTGAGGATTAAGTGAAAAGATACAACTCCCTGGGCTTGTGTATCTTCACAGCAGCAACAGGAGAAATACTGCCTATCCAGGTGTGATGGCTTAGGTCTGTAATCCCAGCATTTTGGGTGGCTGAGGTGGGCATATCGCTTCAACTCAGGAGTTTGAGGCCAGCCTGGGCAACATGGAGAAATCTTGTCTGTATAAAATAGACAAAAAATTGCTGGATGTGGTAGTGCATCAGTGTAGTCCCAGATCCTTGGGGGCTGAGGCGGGAGGATTGCTTGAGCCCATGAGTTCCAGGCTGCAGTGAGTCTGTTTACACCACTGCATTTTAGCCTGTGTGACAAAGCGAGACACTGATAAAAAAAATAAAAAAAGGAGAAGGTGTCTATGATACTCTGTCCCTAGGCTTTTTTAACCCGAATTATCTGCATGAAACATTCTGTCATAATGATTAAAAGGTATGGGAAACAGAAGAGTAACCAGCAATATATAATTTATCAATCTTGGAACAGGGATTCTGTTTCAGAAGTTAGAATAAATGCTGAAAACCCTTTATGTAACAAGAGCGAAAGCCTTATTGCATCATTTTTCATAGGAACATAATGCTTTTGAATGAATAATAGGTTAATTTTTTTTTACCATCTTTGTCCACAGGCATTACTATGAGAAAATACCTGGACTTGGTGGTTTATAACAAACCTTTCTTGTAATCCCAGAGGCTGAGAAGCCCAAGGTCAAGGCATCAGCAAATACAGTGTTCAGGTAAGGGGTCCCTTCCTGGGTTTTATTTTTATTTATTTATTTTTGAGATGGAATCTCTGTCAACAGGCTGGAGTGCGGTGGCACTATCTCGGCTCACTGCAACCTCTGCCTCCAGGGTTCAAGTGATTCTCCTGCATCAGCCTCATGAGTAGCTGGGGTGACAGGTGTGCACCACCATGCCTGGCTTTTTTTTTTATACTTTAAGTTTTAGGGTACATGTGCACAATGTGCAGGTTTGTTACATATGTATACATGTGCCATGTTGGTGTGCTGCACCCATTAACTCATATTTAGCATTAGGTATATCACCTAATGCTATCCCTCCCCCCTCCCCCCACCCCACAACAGTTTTTTGTATTTTAGTAGAGACAAGATTTCACCATTTTAGTCAGGATAGACTCGATCTCCTGACCTTCTGATTTGCCTGTCTCTGCCTCCCAAAGTGCCGGGACTACAGGCATGAGTCACCTCACCCAGCCACTTCCTGGATTTTAAACAACCCTCTTGCTGAGTCTATACATTATAGAAGTGAGTTGGGAACTCTATAGCCTTTTAGGAGGTTGCTAATGGCATTTATGAGGGTGCTGCCTTCCTGACCTGATTACTTCCCATCAAAGTCCCTTTTCCCCTTCCAGAGGGAAGCCAATTGACACTTCCACATGTTCAGCTTAAAGTATTTTTTAGATGGTGGAGTGAGGATAGCAGTGATGATTTAATTAATTCTTTGGTTTGCAGTTTTTAATGCCTCCAGTGTTGGCATCAGGTATTAAAGGCATGAAAATGATTTTTCAGATTGTTCATATGTAGTCATCCACTTTCAGCTTACAAGGTTTGGGGACAATTGGGCAGTTTTGGTTTTCAGTGATGCTAAATCATGAAAGGGGGACCCAGTGTTGAAATTTTAGTTTAGAAACTTGTAGCTATACATTGAATGAAATGAGAATTGAAGTTGTAGACTAATAAAATACGTAAGACAACTCACATGGGGGTGTGTTTTAGTTTTGCATTGAAACAAAATTCTCTCTGAAGTTACTTCTCTTGACTCTTGTTCACCAGATAAGTCTGGTCTGACTAGATTTGTCCTCATTTTTTACCTAAGTGCATTAAGAACTGTCATTGACCACAAAGGTATAATTATAAATTATATGTAAAAAATTAAATGCATATAAATAAATTTATATAAATATATTTATTTTATTTATATTTTATAAATTTATATTTATATTTAACTTTATATAAATGAATGATATAAATTATAATATAAATAAGTTATCTATTATTTTATATATAATATAAAATTTATTATATATATAATTTATTTTTTAAATTTGAGACAATGTCCAGCTCACTGTAGTCTCAAACTCATGGGCCCAAGTGATCCTCCCACCTCATCCTCCTGAGTAGCTGAGACCACAGGTGCAAACCATCATGCTTGGCTAATTTTGTATGTTGTTTGTTTGCTTGTTTGATTTTGGAGATGGGGTTTTACCACGTGCCTAGGCTAGCCTTGAACTTCTGGGCTCAAGTGATTCTCCCACCTCTGCCTCTGAATGTGCTGGGATTACAGGTGTCTTCCACCATGTCTGGCCACAGAGGCCTTTCCAGTTTACTAGGTGAGAACTTTATATAATTAGTTTCAGATTAGAATTTTTAAAGCTTTGAGACTAGGAACTAAGCCAGGAACTTGCCACCAGGCTTCCCTTTCAGAACCTATACACTTGGTTGAATACCTTTCCTCTCAAAGTCCCCAAGTATCGTGAGGTTCCAGAGCTTGCCCAGAAGTGACCTGTCTTTCTCACCTCTTAAGCTAGGAGCTCTAACCAATTACCAGGCTGATGTTCCAAGAGGGCTGTCTAAGTATTTTCTCCACAGTCAACTTTAGTTCTTAAAGTTGCCTGGTTATCTCTGATTTGGAGGGAGAGGTAGATCTTAACTTAACTTAACCCAAGTTTGAGACCAGCTTGGGTACCATGGGGAAACCCATGTCCATTAAAGAAACACACAAAAAAATTGCCTACTAGCTCTGATAGCGAGAGCCTGTAGCTACTCAAGTAGCTGAGAAGTCGGAGGATCACTTGAAGCTCTGCAGAGGAGGCTGCAGTGAGCAGTGCAAGTTGCCAACAGGAAATTTACAACTCAAGAAAAAAATACACAAAACATCACATTGTACAGTATATAGTTTTCAAATGAAATTATTTAAATGGGTATCCTGCGTATTGCAGTTTAAGAAAATTACAATAGCTTTTCTCCTCTCATTTTTACAAACAAGTTTTTGCCAGGTACGTATTAAAATGCAGCATTTGTCTATGAAGTCAGTGCCCCTTTCGCTCTGCATGTTACAAATTTTACATATTCAAAGTCAAGTAATACTAAAAAGATGTCAGCCTTTGTAAGGGAATTTCACTTGAGTTTTCAACACAGTATGTAATAAAATTTTATACTTTTGACTTATTTATTGTTATCTAAATATAGATTTTTCTTTTTCTTTTTTTTTTTAACATTTACAGCAAAATGGTGGAAGCAGATGGGCCTGGAAAGCTTTTCATTGGTGTCCTCCGTTTAGAAAGTAATGAAAAGACACTTAAAGCAGTATTTGGGAAATATGGTCCCATACTGGAAGACAACACACACACACATATATATATATACATACACACACACACACACACACACACACATATATATGTTGGATATATATATATACACACACATATATGTTGGATATATATATACACACAAATACACAGATATGTTGGCGATATATATATATATATATGTTGGTTATATATTTTTTCCAAAGTAAATATATACTTAATATATTTACTGAATACATAAATTAAAATATTTGTTTGTTTTTAAACTGTTATTTTCAAGTTTCTATTTGATGTTGGGAAAATTCTCATGGCAGCAGGTAAAGGGTCTGTCATAAAGGTCACCTACTAGTGAGAAAGGAAAATGAGCAAAAGTAAATGTGTTGTGGAGGTAGGGAGCAAACTGGAATAAGACAGGCTGACTATAGAGGTGACTTAGTATTAAGAATCATAGTAATGATGTGAAATGCAATTTTGTTTTTCATTTGTTAGTACTATGATGAGTCCACTATATAAATGCAAAATGTTTTCATATATTTTACTTCTTACCATAAATGATTGGGAAACCAGCAGTTTCAGAAGCTTTGCATTTATTCTGAGAATGCTGCAGATGAGTCCCTTATTAATAATATATTAACTCTTCTTCACTTAACAGCATTTCAAGGTCTTTCTCGTATTACTAAACTTTTGAAGATATCATAATGTCATATGATCTGAAATGCTTTAGCCATCCTCTTCTTTTTGCCATATAAGTGCAAGTGTAGTTGGAAGGATATTGGAATAAATGTTACATAAATTAATACTTGGTAACCCTATTTGTATGTTAGTATTTCAATACAAGTGTAAATAGATTTTCAAAGCTTTCAAGCAGCTTTAAAACTTAGAAGTAACTCTCACAAAAATGAGACAAATAAGTCAGTATTTATTAAATACTATTAATGGAATTACTTCCAATTCATGGAAATATTTCTATTGCATAGACAAACTATAGATAGACAGCTAGACAGACTTACAAGATGGAAATCTTCCATAGAGAGACATCTAGACAGACTCATAAGAAGGAAAGATTCTTTCACATTTTCTGAAAATACATTCTTGAGAAAGTGTATCTGAACAAGACCTTTACATTTAAGAAAGTGTTAAGTACTTGAAAGTAGAAAATAATATGAGAACATTGAAGTTGGGTAACAGAACTACTAACTGGTATTTTTGCTCCATCTTTGCTCTTTTTCTCCTAAAAACATTTTTCTTCTCTCACCAGAGTGATTTATGTAACATGAATACCAAATTATTCATTTTCCCAGTGTGTTTGAGGACTTATTTTGATCCAACCCATGGTTCTGTCTTATTGAATCTTAAATTCTGGGGATTGTGTGTTTATTACAGCTTTAAACTTGTGTGTCATTCCATTACCTACTGAATTCCTTTATATTACCGTCAAAATCATTGCATTCTGGATACTTTGGAGATTTTTGTTTCATAACATTGTCCCAATCTGTTTTTAGTTCCCATTACTCTTTATGCTATCACTAATATGTTTTTTGGACTTCTTGAGAGTTTTTCTTCCTGGCATACATCTCGCAAATAGTAATTTATGCTCCAAAAACAGCTTAGATTTTACATTTTCTTCTTCATTGTATATTGTGGGTATTTTGGTCTTACTGTACCAAGTACTGATCTGTTGATTGTTAAATTGTGTTTAGTGCATATTTTAAGTTTTCCTAGTTTCTTTTGTTTCTGTTACATCTAGCACACTTCCTGGTACATAGCAGGAGTACATTTTTATTCAGGTTATACTATCATATTTTAAGTTTAGTAGAAACTGAAAGTTGCTTTTGGCTCATGGTTTTGTAGGTATGGAAACAATTTTGACTTATGTATAGTAATCTATGATAATTTCTTTTTCCCCATAGTTTTCAAGCACAAGAACAGGTGATTACTGTAGATGTTATTTCTAAATTACTTCATCTAATATATCTTATTGTGTAAGAATAAATATAAATGTAATATGCACACAGAAGTTAAGAGGAGAAATAAAGGAAGTACTTAGAGGTTTCAGGGGGAATGAACAGTTTAAGAAAGTCTGACTGACTTCCAAATAGTGGGAAGGAAGCAGTCATGTGCAAATCTGGGGAACATATTTTGGGCCCAGAAATAACAAAAGAAGTCCCAAAGTTTCAATGACTGGCTATGTGACTGCAAGAGATCTTGGAAAGGATTTAAGATCTTCCCCCAAATAACAAAGCAATGTAAGTTTTAAATACAATTTTTGCTGACATTTTTTCTAAAACCCACCTTTGCCTATAGAAAAGATTAAACTGAAGAAAGTTATTATGAAATTAATTAGCACATTTAAGCATTTCTGAGAAATAACATGAAGTACTATATTAAGAGTCATTTATTAGGGACACTTCTAAGGCAAGATAAGAAGTGAGTAAGGCAAAAAACCTGAATGAGGGCAAACAAGGATCACATTTACAGAAAGAGAGCTAGAGTAAATATTGAATTGTAAATCATATTGGGACATTTTATGTAAGTGGTTAGCAGAACAAACAAGAAACTATTCAGAACAAATAATATGGCTAATGACTTTGAATAAAAAATCCTCTATTTTTAGATGACAGTCTTTCATATATCCTTGGGACACTGAAACAAATAAGTGATGTGAATACAAAGATGAAATAGATTACATATTGTAAAAAAGAGATGTGCTGCATTATCACATAGAATATGTGATAGGTTAATTTTTTTGAGGTGTTATTTTTAATACTGGAAAACTTTTCAAGGAATTTCAATAATAGAATTTGTATTTGATCCCTTAATGGAAGGCATGTGCTCAGTAAATATCTCAAACTTTGCATTGTGAAAGACATGGTCATTTCAGGAAAAAAAATATATTTGCTTTGGGAGAAAATATCTAGAACTGAAATATAGTGGATACAAAAATGTTTGTAAAATGTGTTTAGGTTAAATGTGACAATGTTATTGATAGGATACTTAATACTTTTAGTCTTTCTGTGGAAAAGCAATAAAAGTAGGACAAGTCAACAAACCGTCTTTTCAAAGTGATGTTAGGTGAAGACCACCACCTTCTTGGAGAAGCAGGAGCCTTCAGGAAGTCTGAGATCTGCAAAAGGAGGTAGTGGAGGAACAAAAGGGTTGCATCCCTCATATGAAGGACATTTGGGTAATGTTTTAAATTATAAAGATGGAACCATAGGACTAAAAGACAGTCAGTTTGAAGATATCAAAACTTCTCAATTTTGTTTATTTCATGTACAGAACATTAATTTACTGATAATGAGCAAATTTCTTTGTAAGTACTAAAGATGTATTAAAAGAATGATTGAAATAATGTGAAAATTTCATTTTAAAATCTTAATTACTTTGCATTGAAATGTCACATTTAAAACTAAATTGAATTCATTAATGTCGATTGCCTGTACTCAACAGGTTTTCTGCAGACTCATTTATATTCATTATGCTTTAGAGTTTCTTACTCTGGGGCCCAGAACTTCATATAAAATGTACTACCAAAATATGATAGAATCTGGAAAACCTTCCAATGGGAAATAAGTAAGTCATTATTTTAGGATTGATCTTGCAATATTTGTTATTTGTGTATACACATGGAAATATCAATACAAATGTATTCCTTTGCCATTTTGATATGGATAATTTGCACACTGGCGTGCCATAAAGCATTTTGCATTTAAGAAATCCATAACTTCAGTTTTTCAACAGTCTGTGACTCAGGAAAATTCTAAAAACCACTGCTTCACAAATATATATGTATCTTTGTTTGCTGGAGGAAAATCACTGAAAATGGTATTTATGAATGATTTACTCAATAGCAATGAGGGGTCAATTTTTATTTAAGAAAAAAAAAACCCATGTATTGCCCAATCGCGGTGGCTCACGCCTGTAATCCCAGCACTTTGGGAGGCCGAGGCGGGTGGATCTCGAGGTCAGGAGATCGAGACCATCGTGGCTAACATGCGGAAACCCCGTCTCTACTAAAAGTACAAAAAAAAAAAAATTAGCCAGGCGTGGTGGTGGGCGCCTGTAGTCCCAGCTACTCGGGAGGCTGAGGCAGGAGAATGGCGTGAATCTGGGAGGCGGAGCTTGCAGTGAAGGGAGATTACGCCACTGCACTCCAGCCTGGGGGACAGAGTGAGACTCTGTCTCAAAAAAACAAAACAAAACAAAACATGCATTTAAAAAATTGGTTAAATTGTATTTTCTATTAACCAACCTTCAAAAATCTAATGTTTAATTTGAGTTTTAATAACCCGATGTGTAATTCATTTGATATGTTTCCTAAGGTTGAAATTGCAGTGTTTGCTCCATTTTAAGGTACATGGCTTTACGGTATTTTATTTTTCTCAATTGATCCTGAGGGCAAAGATTAATGCTATTCTGCCATGTATTAGAATATGCATTTTCTTACCTGTGACACCACTAGGGCATTAGAATACATCTACATTTTTTATAGATATATGAAAATGTTTTCCATTATTTAATATGCAATTCTTAATTGCAATTTAAATTTAATTGCAATTTAAATTCTTAATTGCAATTAAAATTGACCATAGCCTACACTAAAAATTAATATTTGATAATGGATTTGTAAGAATTATATCTTATGATACAAATTTTACAGATACTATATTTTTCTGAGGTGTCATTTTTTGATTTTGTAAATATTTGTGTTTCTTTGAATGGCATTTGGTGTACCCTTATGATATGTTTTGAAAAAGCTTCCCTCATACGAGAATTACATGAACAGTAATTTATCATTTTTCTCCTAATATATTTTTTATTTATGTAGATTGTGTTTACATATTTAACTGATAGAATTTTGCTCTCTCTTCACTCTGCATTTATCCTACATCACTCTCCCATGCCAATATAAAATGATTCTTGTGTTATGTTTTAGATTTTCTTCTGTCTCTAGGCTGGAGTGCAGTGGCATGATCTCAGCTCACCGCAACCTCCACCTCCTGGGTTCAAGTGATTCTCCTGCCTCAACCTCCCATGTAGTTGAGACTACAGTTGCACACAAGGCCCAGTTAATTTTTGTATTTTTAGTAGAAATGGGGTTTCACCATGTTGCCAAAGATGACCTTGATCTCTTGACCTCATGATCCACCCACCTCAGCCTCCCAAAATTCTGGGATTCACACTGTGAGCAAACATTAGTTTTAATCCTGTGTTTGTTAGATAATTCCTCTTAATTTTTCTTAAAGTTCCTGGCAGTCTTCTTTGATGGTAGGATTCTTAACCTAATGAATTCTTCCATTTTCTGGTTCCCTTGGTAGTGATCCCGCAGTGTGCCAACCTAATAATTGTTTGTTCAGTTTTTTTGTTGGATTGAAATCTTGCTCTCACAAGGCCAAAGCACTTTGGTGAGATGACAGCTCACTATGGCCTCAAATTCCTGGGCTCAAGCAATTGTCCTGTTTCAGCCTCCTGCATTGCTGTGGCTACAGGCATGCTCCACCACACATAGCTAAATTTGCTTTCTTTTTTCTATATTTTTGTAGAGATAGGATCTCATTACATTGTCATAGCTGACATTAAAGCCCTGGGCTCAAGCTGTCCAGCTGCCTCAGCCTTCCACACTGGCTCACAGTGTGAGCTACTGCACCTGGCCATCCAGGTTCTGAGACCTCAATAATATTTATGTGAAAGGCATTCTTACTGGTTATGTGAGGACACTAAAAACTAAAAGAGCATTTTACAGATAAGTAATCACTGGGCTTAAATAATATCTATTAATAAAATTAAGGCTTGCAAGGTAGAATTGAAGGAGTCCAGCATTTTTAAGTTAAGTGCATAAAACAAAAGTGTAGAGTAGTTAAATGTATGGGGGGTGTGAGTTAAGATATGGTGTATATTAATATATGGGTGGTGTAAATATATGGGGTGTGTACAATCATTAAGATTGTATAGGGATGTTGAAACCTTAACACAGGATCCTTAGTGTAGGATTTGAAGAGAGAATTTAGTTATAAGCAGCATGAGGTGAATAGTAGGATTGAATAGAAGTAATATTTTTGAGAAGAAGAAGTTTAAGATTTCAGACTGAACAGAAGAAAGCAAGACAATAAAGTAACAGTTCTTAGCAAAGAAATTTAAGCAGAACAAATTAAAATTCTTACCTAGCCCTCCATCATAATATGGAGGAAATTGAAAACTGCCATTTTAAGTTTTACATTTCACTTCAGAGTATCAGTGAACTTAAGTATTTATTGATGTCAGAATACACAAGCCAGCACATTTCCATTAGAAGACTAGCCAGCGAACACATCAAAGTTGAAAGACTGACCTCTACAAATTAGCATGTGAAGACTATGTTAAAGGAGGAAGTTTTCTATTTTTGAAAGAGGTACAATATTGTAATGACCCCTTTAAGAGTATTGCTAATTGCAGTAAAAATAAATATTGGACATCATTAGAAGAGCTGCACTGGTACATTAAAATTTGTCAGTATTTAAGATAGAGCTAATTGCTTAGAGATAAAGCAGCACTTTTATGTAGAATTTTAGCCTTCAGCAGTTAAAAGTTAGCAATATTTGTGTGTGTGGGATGGATTGAATAACATGGGAAAATTTACCTTCTTCAGCTGAGAAAGGTAACATATAATATAAAATATAAACAAATGTAATAATATGTAAAATATAAACATATGTAAACTTTATATTCAGTGAAAAGTTTGATGGATTTACATGTTTTCCCTGCCTCATTAGTAGTCATCAGTAATTCATATGAAAAGAAAAATAATAACTAAATAGTTATTAACAATTAAAAATAAACTTTTACCTAAGAATTAATGTCTGCCTTCAGCTTCATTAGAGGTGGCCTTGTGGACCCATGGGATTATCCAAAGTCAGAAGAAATATTTAAGTTGTCATGAATGTCTAGTAATTTAAGGAAGGAAGAATGGAGTCATACAAGAAATAATTTTAAAAATTTGTTTTAGAGAAGAAAAAGTCATGTTTCAGATTTCGTGTTCTTTACATAATGTTTAATTATTTTATTGTTAAATTTCCCACATCAGGTTGATGAGAGAATTATGGAGGTCTTCTATGCAGAGAGCCAGTCTGTTCCCAGAGAAATGACCATGTGTCACCAAGAGATGATGGTTATACAACTAAGGATAGGTAAAGGAAAAATGGAAAAACAGTTGACTTTTGTTGTGGTGTTGAAATTCACATAACAAACTTATATATTTTAAGGTAAATAGTTAAGTGGCATTTAAGTTGTAAGTTAGTTATGTTTTATCAATAGAAGTTGATAATTTAAAATTTCCTGCTTTAACTTATGCAAGCAGAATTCATACACGTTCCCATCATCCTTAGCTAATTTTGCATGTTGTTTGTTTGTCTGATTGATTTTGGGGATGGGGTTTTACCATGTTGCCTAAGCTAGTCTTGAACTTCTGGGCTCAAGTGATTCTCTGCCTCTGAATATGCTGGGATTATAGGTGTGAGCCACCATGCCTGGCCACAGAGGCCTTTCCAGTTTACTTTTTGAGAACTTTATATAATTAGTTTCAGATTATGCTTTTTAAAGCCTTGAGACTAGGAACTAAGCCAGGAACTTGCCACCAGGCTTCCCTTTCAGAACCTATACATTTGGTTGAAATTCTTTCCTCTCAAAGTCCCCAAATATCATGAAGCTCCAGAGCTTGCCAGAAGTGACCTGTCTTTCTCACATCTTAGGCCAGGAACTCTAATCAATTACAAGGCTGGTTTTTCCAAGAGGGCCATGTAAGTATTTTCTCCACAGTCAACTATAGTTCTTAAAGCTGCCCGGTTATCTCTGATTTTATGCAAATCATTCTTAACTGTATTTGATATTTCAGACAATGCTTTGTAATAAAACCAGGTTCTAGTTAGGTTCTGTTGAAAGGAGAATACATTGTTACTGAACTTCAGAAATGACTCTATTGCCATATAAATGTTTATAAAATCTTAAATGTCCAGTGGACATAACACAGCTTAACTAGTAAATTAGTAAATCCAAGAAGGATACAAATGACAAAGTATTCTCTCTCTCTCTCTCTCTTTTTTTTTTTTTTTTAGACTAAATCTCGCCCTCTTGCCCAGGCTGGACTGCAGTGACATGATTTTGGCTCACTGCAACGTCTCCCTCCTGAGTTCAAGCAATTCTCCTGCGTGGGCCTCCCAAGTAGCTGGGATTACAGGTGTCTACCACCGTTCCTGGCTAATTTTTGTATTTCTAGTAGAGGTGGGGTTTCATAATGTTGGCCAGGCTGGTTTCAAACTCCTGACTCCAGATGATCCACCTGCCTCAGCCTCCCAAAATGCTGGGTTTAAAAGCATAAGCCACCATGCCTGGCTCACAAATCTTTTTTTATACTTAATAATAGCAACAATTCGTAATATGTAGCTGTTTGTATTAAACAATTTAAACTAATCTTATATACTAAATATTTGCATGAGTCATGTGAAATTGAATACATATTTCTAGGATTATTAGGAGTATGTAATTCACAATCATGCTTATTTATCTCTAAGCCAATTTGAATAGCACCCTTTTAAGTAATTAAAAATTAACTTTGTAATAATATCCAGAGGTAGAAATATGTCACACACACAGCATATTTGCATAAAAATATAGATAGAGACAAACATACTTTATAGCTCTCCTAAAATTTAGTCAAGAATGAGGCAATAGCGTAATACAAAATGAACTGATTTATATCTATATTATATTGTATCTAAATTGTTTTTCTGGCAAATGCAACAAGGTTGCCTATTCAATAGGTCTAAAACTTTTGTCTGTATTGGTGAAGAAGACTTTTAGGGTATTATTTTGCCCCAATATTTAATCTATGGAGCCAGAGGAATACATTTTAGGCATAGAATACATCTAGTTGCAGTCTGGATGTCTCCAAAGGCTTGGTAGACAAAATACTCAATCTCTTCTAATTATCCATTTTTTATTTCAACTTCAGGCAAATAATTTTTTGGAGGGTGGGGAAGATACTCATGTCCCTCAAGAGCCTCTGAGTTAATGGGCCTAAATTTCTGTTGACTATTGAGAGTTGGAAGGCTAAAATAGGAAGAGACAGGTTTATTTAGGGGTAGATAGAAGAATGGATGATGAGAGATCTGGAGGAGGATATGTCAAAGGATTCAAGGAAGGTAAAGAGAAGATCGAAAGTAGTGAGAGGAGAAACAATAAACATGAGTAATAAGAAGGAAGATATCAAAGAGCACCCGTGTAGGGAGATGTTAAGTTTCTCAAAGATCATTGAAATTCCAAATTATCCTTGAAAAAGGCATGCCAACAACAAGGATATAGAGTTAGCAAAGCCTAAAGTCTTCAAGAGTTCAAGAAGGTGGGTTTTAGTTGGCTATGAGACTTCCATGGGAGAGGCAAGGATCCAAATAAAGAACAGAGAAGTGTCAAAGAGCTTCAATGGAGATTAGAAATAGAGATCGCGAGACAGAAAGGGAGATAGAGACATGGATAAAGAGATAGAGATAGAGATAGAGATAGAGATAGAGATAGAGATAGAGATAGAGATAGAGATAGAGATATAGAGATAGAGAGATAGAGATAGAGATAGATAGATAGAGAAAGAGATAGAGATAGAGATAGAGATAGAGATAGAGATAGAGATAGAGATAGAGAGGTAAAGATAGAGATAAATTTCCAGACCGGCCAGAAATATGAGGAAATTCACGTTAAGGAAGAAAAGGTCTCCAACACAGGGAATCAAGAAATAACCTCCACTCAGGAAAGAGGCTAGAAAAAAGGGAACCCAGCTAATGGAGTCAGGGAAAACTCCACTCAGGTAGTAACTAGGAAAAAAGATGTTTAGCATAAGAGAATCAGGGAAAAAATCTTACTTGAGAATAGACACCCAAGAGGATAACTGAAGCCAAAAATGTCAGAGAAGGGAAGAAGAAGTATACACAACACAGAACATAAAGGAATAATCCCAAACATGAAGTGAAACTGACAAAAAAGAGTTCCAGACTTGGAAATCAGGAAACAATTTCCAGTCAGATTAGAAAGCAAGGCAAGAGAGACTTGCAACCCCAGGGAGTCAGGGAATAATCATAAGAAAAACGATAACCTGGGAAAAGAAAATGTCACCCTAGGAGACAAGGAATAATATCCCATAAAGTAAAAGGGCCAGAACGAGGAGATTTCCAACTAACGTATCAGGAAATAATCCTCAGAATACTGGAATAATCTGTAATAAGGGGAAAAATATTAAGAAAAACAAAACAAAACAAAAAAATGTCCATCTCCTGGAGTCAGACAGTAATCCCCTAGGAGGAATATACTTTTTGCACATTAGGAATAAATGTCACTCAGAAAAGAGAGAGCCCATAAGAAGGAACATCTACCTAAAAAAGTTAGAATAATCATTATTAATTTTTTAAAGAGAGAGAAGTAAGGATTTTAAAGGAAGTCAGGGTATAACCCCCATCAGGAAATAGTGTCAGAAAGAAGAAATTTGAGCCCAAATGTCAGAGAAAAATTTCAATCAGGAAAAAGAGTGAGGGATGACAAAGTTCTATCCCAGGGAGCCAGGAAATAATCTTCAATCATGAAAGAAGTATTTCATCACAGAGCTCTTATCTCAAATAAAAGAACAAAATAAAAAATAAAGTTCAATCTAAGGAGTCAGAGAATAATACCCATTTAGGACAAGGAACAAAGAAGAAGTGACTTTGAGCTCATAATCACATGAAAATTGTTCTCATTTAGGACAGAGAGAGATAATCAGGTAGTCAGAAAATTTTACCCATTAGCAAAGAGACCAGAAAGAAGAGATTTCTAGCCAGAGTCAGAAAAGAGTGCTAATAAGAAGTGACTTACAGCTCAGGTGCCAGGGAATAAATTCCATTTGATAAGAGAGCCAGGAGGAATGTCTTTCAAAGCAAGAAGTGAGAGAATAAATTTTACTCAAGGAAGAGGTCTGGAAAGACACGATGTCCAATCAGCAAAATAATTTTTCTTATGAAACAGAGCCAGGAAAAACAGGTTTTCACTCCAGAAGTCAGGAAATTTCTACACAGGAAATAGATCCAGGAATTATTTTTTTCTGGCTCAGCAAAGAAGGCCAGACATTTCCAAACCAGTAGTCCAGGGAAAAGTCTTCAGTAAAAAAAAACAAAACAATCAAGACCAATAATTTTCTACCCCAGGAGGCACGGAATACCTCCCATTGAAGTAATATAGCCAGAAAAAAAAGAGTACTATCCCAGAAATAAGGGAATAATTTCTATTCAGATAAGACATCCACTAAAAAGATACTTCTATCCCATCAAGTCTGGGATTAATCACTAATAAAACAACAACAGTGAAAAGATAGGACATTTAGCACAGACTCAGAGAATAATCCCTACTAGGTAAGGACAGAAAAGGCAGAAGAGACTTTCACTGCAGGAGTCAGGGAATAATTCCTACCAAGAGGTGATAGCAAAAAAAGATACTTTAAGCCCAGACAGTTAGGGAATAATCCCTATTGTGAAAACTAAGCAAAAGAAAAAACATTTTATCTTATGAAGTAAGAAAATAATTCCCTACTCAGGGATATCAGGAAGTCAAGATTGTGTGACTTAAGCCCAGTGAGCCAGAAAATAATTTCTACTAGCAGGAGAGTCGGGAAGAATAGATATCCAACCCACATGCAAGGAAATGGGTTTCTTATAAAGAAAGACAACAATGAAGAAGAGAGTTTCAGATCAGCGGTAAAGGACTAATGCTCACTGAAACAAACAAACAAACAAACAAAAAATAACAGTTAAATAGAGCTGACTTTCACACCAGGGTTGGAAGAAACATTTTGCACTGAAGAATATATTCCCCTCTCAGAAAAGAGTATCAAGATGAAGAGAATTACAGCCCAGGGGAGTTGTAACCAAGGTTGTAATCCCTACTCAAAACAAACAAACAAAGAAACTTGTGGAGCTGGGAAGGACATGAATCCCTGAGCCTTCTTCCCTGGCTTCCTTCAGTGATTAGGTAAAGCCTTTTTTTCTCTCCCTGGAAAGGGGTTTAAAGTCTTCAGGAGTGAGAAGAAAGGTTTCAGCACTTCTAGTTCCTTCTTCCCTAGCTTGCTTTTGTAATATATCTCTGAAATCTCTCCCCGGAAGGAGGCTAGAACAAATACTACCAAAAGCATAAATAAGAAGGGCAATCACTGTGCCTTCTTTCACTTCCTTCCTTGATTTCTGCAATTATTCTCTCAAAGTAGGCTGGATACAGACCTCTATGAGCCAAACAGAAAGAGACGGCACTCCCTAAGACATTTTCCCTGACTTGCTCCAGTAAAATTTCCTGCAGTCTCTATCTGGAAGGAGGCAGAGAGTCCGAATACTTCTAAGCCTAAATGAGAAGAAAAGCACTTCCCACATTTTCTTCCCTGGCTTACTCTAATAGCAAATTTCTGCCATCACTTGCTAGAGAAAATCAGGGAGTTAGATCTCTGAAATCCTGAATGGAAGAGACAGCACTACCCTTCTGTCACTAACATAGCATGCTTTCTTCACAGGCTGTTCTAGCAACAAATCCCACTGGCTATTCTCCCTGGACAGATTTTTGGTAAAATATAAATGTGACAGTGAACACCTCTCAGGCCTTCTTGTCTTCTTATCTGCCTTGCCACAGCAAGAAATCTGCCTTGCAGTTTCTTCCTGGAAGAAGCTTGTGCGACTTTGGCAATGCAGAATGAGAAAGCAGGCAGTCTGCACTACCTTCTCCCTGGCTTGCTCTGGTGAGAAATCAAGGTCTGTAGAACCTCCCTGGAAGTAGCTTCTGCATACATCATGCATCACAAATTTTACAGTCTGTACCTAAAGGACTTGTCCTAAATTATCTACTTCTGGAAGTGAATGGGACTCTGTATTCCTGAGTCTCCTATATCACAGAGAACAAGATTGTCAAAGTTGTAAATATTCAGTGGCTATCTGTCCAGATTCAGAGTGAGCATAATGAATGACTGCGCAGTGTCAGTCATGGACACTATTCTTGGCACAGGGCAGAACTAGTTGGACATAGACTCTGAATCTAAGCTTGTCCACAAATAATATACATCTAATCCCAAAACTTTACCTGCATGTCTTGGGGCTGGCTACTATCTTGCCTATGTCAAAGGAATAATATGATTTCACACACTCAACAATCCAGTGGGGCATAGGAAGAAAGACAGTGAGTTGGACAATCACAGAATTGAGAAGCAACTGGAATCTCTGGTTGCACTGATAAGGAAATGAAATTTCCTATGTAGGATGAGTTCAGGAAAACAAAGAAAGATGGTTGTCCACTGACTTGCAGAAACCAACTCATAGTCAGGAAAAACGGGGCTGGTGGTAGTGGGTACGGGAGAGCAGGGTGGTGAGGGAGTGCAGTGGAGGGGAAAATATGTTCTGAGGTAAAGAACAAAAGAAATAAACAGAATCAGAATCTGATAAAAGTATGTAATGTCCATGACAAGGAAATCAAAACAAGAAGCACTAAGGTATTAACAGAAGTCAAGAGAGCAATGCATTTAAAAACTGAGAAGTTTAACAAAGAGGTAGAAAATATTTCAAAGCATCAAACAGAAATCAAAGAAGTGAAAAATACAGGAACCTAAGTCAAAAATTAGATACAGGGGCCGAACAGTAAACTGGATCAAGCAGAACAAAGGATAAGAAAAATTAAGCAAAGTCCTTGAAAACAATCAAAATGGAGGATAAAAATGCAAGAGAAAGATAAGGAATCATGAAGACAGCCTAAGGAACTTATGGAAAATTATGAAGCAGGATGATAATGTATGGAGTACTATAAGGAGAAGACAAAGATAAAAGGAGAGAAAAATAATTGACATATATTTTTAAACAAATAAAAAATAAAAGGCTGGGTGTGGTGGGTCACGCCTATAATCCAGCACTTTGGGAGGCCGAGGTGGGTAGATCATCTGAGGCCAGGAGTTTGAGACCAGCCTGGCCAATATGCAAAACCCCATCTTTACTAAAAATACAAAAAATTAGCCACACTTGGTGGTGGGGGCCTGTAATCCCAGGTACTTGGGAGGCTGACAGAAGAAGGTGGAGGTGGCAGTGGGCTGAAATCGCTCCACTGCACTCCAGCCTGGGCAACAGATCAAGACTCCATCTCAATAAACAAATAAATAATAAAATAACAACAACAAAAGGATAAAGATGGCTGCTAGAGTCACTCAAGACTCACCTCCTCCATAAAGAAGGTCCAAAATAGCAAATAGATGACTATGCATTGAATTGAACATCTTTGGGAGAATGCTGGAATTCAGCAAGGAAGTGACTGTGACTCTCTGAGGCATAAAAACTCAGGATGGCAGCAGTATAGAGAGGGACCAAAGCAGCCAGCTGGAATTGGCTCAAAACCAAAAGGAATTCTCTGCTGGAGGAGAAAGAAAGACCACATTTGCAATCCTAGATGCAGAGAATCCCCTTGGCCTGTGAGGACATGTCCTAAGACTAATACAGAGACATGCCTGATCGCCACCCAACTACATTGTCCCAGGGAGGGAACTCACACAAGACCCCATGCCCACAGAGGCCCACATTGCTGGTGTGTGGCCCAATATTGAGGCTGATGTAGGTTCTAGACAGCTTTTGCCCAGGGCTCCAATATCCCCTGCATCTCCATATCCTGGGTCCTTGCTGACATGCCCTCTTGTCCACCCAAAGGCCTCAGTGTCACGATGTCAGCTGGGTGCAGCAGTGTGTCTGGGTCCATGGTAATGGAAATGATGCAGCATCCTATACCCCAGGGAATAGGCATTCTAGCATATTTGAGAGGCTGCTCCAAAACATAGGGAACAAAAATGTGTGACCCATAGAGCGTGGGAAATACCTGCCTAAGGTTGCTGCCACTGAGGCACCAACTCCTCCCAACCTCTCAGCAGCAAGACAACCAGACACTGCTGAGTGTCATGTCAGGACCCACAACCCAGAACCTAAGCTGTTACTGCCATTATAGGCACCCACATGTACCACATGGGGGACCAAAATCTGGCCCACCTGGTCCACAGCCACCACAGTGGGGCCCTCCCATGATGCCTGGGACCCCTAGGACTTACCTGCCCAATGCAGCTGCCACAGCTGCTGTTTTCTGATGCTACCAAGGAGCCTGATTTCAGGCCTGACCAGCACACCAAACCTCAGCAAAGTCTCATCACAGGCTCTTAAAACAACTACAACCTAAGCCATTAAGGCACTCTCATACATTTCAGATATTGAACATAGCTAAAGAAATAATATGAAGATCATGCTATGCTACTTACCCAGAACCAAAGTCAAAGTATTCTGCCCAATCGGCATTATAGATGCATGTACAGGGAATAGTTTTGTTCCAGTGCTTTCTTTTAAGCTTCAGACAATTTTCTCACAGGGATATGCAGATTAACAGCCAGCAGAAGACCTGCATCAACTCTCTTGCATCTCTGGGGTTTTCTTTTTGTGTAAGTCCTCTTTTTTTCCTGGCATTTTGCTCTACACATTCTAGCTTTCTTGATATAGTTGAACTCTGATTTTAGTCTTCTCAATATAGTAACACCCACTAAGTTATGGCCTGGTGAAAAGCAAGGTTCATCCTTACACTGTCTTTGTTCATCTTTTCTGAGAAATTACTGTTTGATGCTGCCTGTAATTGAATGTAGAACAGTCTTTGTTTCATATTTCTGTCTAGTTTTATAGTTATTTAACCTGGGAGGGTAAATATGGTCCCCGTTACCCCATTATGGTTAGTGGCATAACAGGGGCCACAGAAGGCTTTCAGAAGTCATTTTTGATGACACAATGCAAATTGTTTGCATAATGAACTTAGATAAAATACAGCCAAGAAAATAATGTTAGCAGAACCCAAGCCCTACAGAAATCTTTTTAGTGAGTTATTATGCTCAGACTTAAAAGCATTAAAAAACCAGATCAGAGGGTAATTTAATATGGGGTATTAAAATAAAATTCAAATATAGTTGAAACATTTGTAAAAGCTTCTCTATGTACTACTTTCTGTGTCAAAAAAACGCATACAGACACAAATTTCCAAAAGAACATAAAAAGTTGCTTATGTTTTTGAAAAAATCCACATATATTTTATTTTATTTTACTTTTTTTAAAGAGTCCAGTTCTCTGGCCCATGCTGGAGTGCAATGGCACGATCTTGGCTCTCTGCAATCTTCACCAGGAGGTGATTCTCTTGCCTTCCGAATAGCTAGTACTACAGGCATATGCTGTCAGACCTGGCAAAGTTTTTTTGTATTTTTAGTAAAGATGGGCTTTCGCCATGTTGGTCTCATTTGAGATACACCTGCCTCAGCCTCCTGAAGTGCTGGGATTACAGGTGTGAGCCATCTTGCCTGGAGAAAAAAATCCACATTTTAAAATAAAATAGAATACAAATTATTATGGACATTACCATTTTTATATTAGTCACTTGAAAAATGACACTTCTCTCAAATGAGTATTGTATGCAGGAATCAATTTAGCAAAATCAGAAAATGTGTTTTATATCTAGGGATTCAAGGCATATTAGACATTTTTGCCAGTTGCATTTACTATGGGGAAAACAGCTAGACAGAGAAATTCTGTGACTTAATCCAGCTAGTCTCTGACTACATAGGACAACCCTATAATCTAATAAAATTGCATTGACTTGTTACAGTAAGGTCAACCATGCCTGTGGGGCAACTAAAGTAATAAAACTTGGTACTGTAGGATTTATGGGAAAGGAGGTGAGTAGATATTTAAACAGAGTAGAATTTCTACAAGTTCAAGGTAAAGTACTCCTATGTATGAAAGGCCAAAACATCATGTTTAGACTGTGAGAGAACCCAGTGTCTTTATTCCTTGTAGATCACAAGTTGACATTTGTGTGGAATTTTGAGTGCACATGCTTGTTATTTGAAGCTATGCAGCTAGACTGGAAATCAGTTTTTCTTCTGTGGAAAGTGACATTAATCAGCTGGAAAAGACTGCTAAGTTTTATCTTCACTGATAACATTTCAAACAGCAAACACTCTGTTTGTAATTTTAGAACATAAAGTTTCTCAGTTAGTAAGAAAGCAGAAGTCATTCAGGTACAGTAATTTTTGTGAACCTTTACAGCTGTACCCAGACTTTGGCAGAAATATCGATTTCCATTAAGTCAGGAGATGGCTTTTCAGTGCTTCTCCCCTCAGCATGATGGATTGAGATGATGGATTTTAACCTTCTCAGCTTTGTTTTATTTTCTAACCTGTTAGAATTTACTTATCTCAGCATTATTGCTATTTTCAGTAACAAAGCTGAACTTGCTTGTTTACAGTATATACAATTTAAAGTAAAGAAAACTACCACATTAGCTTCTACATTTCAAAGTAAAACGAAGAAAAATTTGGTCATTTTTATTACCGTGAATGTCCATATACTTTTACTGCATTTGTATGCAATTTAATATAAGTAGCTTAAATTTAACATTGGTATTAATAGTATCAACTGTGAATGCTGTGTTTTCTTTTTTTATAATTATTTTATTATTATTATACTTTAAGTTTTAGGGTACATGTGCACAATGTCCAGGCTAGTTACGTATGTATACATGTGCCATGCTGGTGTGCTGCACCCATTAACTTGTCATTTAGCATTAGGTATATCTCCTAATGCTATCCCTCCCCCATCCCCGCACCCCCCACAACAGTCCCCAGAGTTTGATGTTCCCCTTCCTATGTCCATGTGTTCTCATCGTTCAATTCCCACCTATGAGTGAGAACATGCAGTGTTTGGTTTTTCGTCCTTGCGATAGTTTACTGAGAATGATGATTTCCAATTTCATCCAAGTCCCTACAAAGCACATGAACTCATCATTTTTATGGCTGCATAGTACTCCATGGTGTATATGTGCCACATTTTCTTAATCCAGTCTATCATTGTTGGACATTTGGGTTGGTTCCAAGTCTTTGCTATTGTGAATAGTGCCACAATAAACATAACGTGTGCATGTGTCTTTTTAGCAGGATGACTTATAGTCCTTTGGGTATATATCCAGTAATGGGACGGCTGGGTCAAATGGTATTTCTAGTTCTAGATCCCTGAGGAATTGCCACACTGACTTCCACAATGGTTGAACTAGTTTACAGTCCCACCAACAGTGTAAAAGTGTTCCTATTTCTCCACATCCTCTCCAGCACCTGTTGTTTCCTGACTTTTAATGACTTCCATTCTAACTGGTGTGAGATGGTATCTCATTGTGGTTTTGATTTGCATTTCTCTGATGGCCAGTGATGGTGAGCATTTTTTCGTGTGTTTTTTGGCTACATAAATGTCTTCTTTTGAGAAGTGTCTGTTCATGTCCTTTGCCCACTTTTTGATGGGGTTGTTTGTTTTTTTTGTGTAAATTGGTTTGAGTTCATTGTAGATTCTGGATATTACCCCTTTGTCAGATGAGTAGATTGCGAAAACTTTCTCCCATTTCGTAGGTTGCCTATTCACTCTGATGGTAGTTTCTTTTGCTGTGCAGAAGCTCTTTAGTTTAATTAGATTCCATTTGTCAATTTTGGCTTTTGTTGTCATTGCTTTTGGTGTTTTAGACATGAAGTCCTTGCCCATGCCTATGTCCTGAATGGTAATGCCTAGGTTTTCTTCTAGGGTTTTTATGGTTTTAGGTCTAACATATAAGTCTTTAATTCATCTTGAATTAATTTTTGTAAAAGGTATAAGGAAGGGATCCAGTTTCAGCTTTCTACATATGGCTAGCTAGTTTTCCCAGCACCATTTATTAAATAGGGAATCCTTTCCCCATTGCTTGTTTTTCTCAGGTTTGTCAAAGATCAGATAGTTGTAGATATGCGGCATTATTTCTGAGGGCTCTGTTCTGTTCCATTGATCTATATCTCTGTTTTGGTACCAGTATCATGCTGTTTTGGTTACTGTAGCCTTGTAGTATAGTTTGAAGTCAGGTAGCATGATGCCTCCAGCTTTGTTCTTTTGGCTTAGAATTGACTTGGCAATGTGGGCTCTTTCATGGTTCAATATGAACTTTAAAGTAGTTTTTTCCAATTCTGTGAAGAAAGTCTTTGGTAGCTTGATGGGAATGGCATTGAATCTATAAATTACCTTGGGCAGTATGGCCATTTTCATGATATTGATCCTTCCTGCCCATGAGCATGGAATGTTCTTTCATTTCCTTGTATCCTCTTTTATTTCGTTGAGCAGTGGTTTGTAGTTCTTCTTGAAGAGGTCCTTCACATCCCTTGTAAGTTGGATTTCTATGTATTTATTCTCTTTGAAGCAATTGTGAATGGGAGTTCACTCATGATTTGGCTCTCTGTTTGTCTGTTATTGGTGTATAAGAATGCTTGTGATTTTTGTACATTGATTTTGTATCCTGAGACTTTGCTGAAATTGCTTATCCACTTGAGGAGATTTTGGGCTGAGACAATGGGTTTTTCTAGATATACAATCATGTCATCTGCAAACAGGGACAATTTGACTTCCTCTTTTCCTAATTGAATACCCTTTATTTTCTTCTCCTGCCTAATTGCCTGGCCAGAACTTCCAACACTATGTTGAATACGAGTGGTGAGAAAGGGCATTCCTGTCTTGTGCCATTTTTCAAAGGGAATGCTTCCAGTTTTTGCCCTTTCAGTATGATATTGGCTGTGGGTTTGTCATAGATAGCTCTTATTATTTTGAGATATGTCCCATCAATACCTAATTTATTGAGAGTTTTTAGTATGAAGGGTTGTTGAATTCTGTCAAAGGCCTTTTCTGCATCTGTTGAGATAATCGTGTGGTTTCTGTCTTTGGTTCTGTTTATATGCTGGATTACATTTATTGATTTGCATATATTGAACCAGCCTTGCATCCCACGAATGAAGCCCACTTGATCATGGTGGATAAGCTTTTCGATGTGCTGCTGGATTCGGTTTGCCAGTATTTTATTGAGGATTTTTGCATCAATGTTCATCAAGGATATTGGTCTAAAATTCTTTTTTGGTTGTGTCTCTGCCCGGCTTTGGTATTAGGATGGTGCTGGCCTCATAAAGTGCGTTAGGGAGGATTCCCTATTTTTCTATTGATTGGAATAGTTTCAGAAGGAATGGTACCAGTTCCTCCTTGTACCTCTGGTAGAATTTGGCTGTGAATCCATCTGGTCCTGGACTCTTTTTGGTTGGTAAGCTATTGATTATTGCCACAATTTCAGAGCCTGTTATTGGTCTATACAGAGATTCAACTTCTTCTTGGTTTATCTTGGGAGGGTGTATGGGTCGAGGAATTTATCCATTTCTTCTAGATTTTCTAGTTCATTTGCGTAGAGGTGTTTGTAATATTCTCTGATGGTAGTTTGCATTTCTGTGGGATCAGTGGTGATATCCCCTTTATCATTTTCTATTGTGTCTGTTTGATTCTTCTCTTTTCTTCTTTATTAGTCTTGCTAGCAGTCTATCAATTTTATTGAACCTTTCAAAAAACCAGCTCCTGGATTCATTAATTTTTTGAAGGGTTTTTTGTGTCTCTGTTTCCTTCAGTTCTGCTCTGATTTTAGTTATTTCTTGCCTTCTGTTAGCTTTTGAATGTGTTTGCTCTTGCTTTTCTAGTTCTTTTAATTGTGATGTTACGGTGTCAACTTTGGATATTTCCTGCTTTCTCTTGTGGGCATTTAGTGCTATAAGTTTCCCTCTACACACTGCTTTGAATGTGTCCCAGAGATTCTGGTATGTTTTGTCTTTTTTCTCGTTGGTTTCGAAGAACACCTTTATTTCTGCCTTCATTTTGTTATGTACCCAGTAGTCATTCAGGAGGCAATGTACATAGTATTACTTTGCTTAGCATTTTCTTAAAAATACTTGATTTAAGTACTTTCTTTTCTTAGGACAATTAATTTATTAAAGTTCTTTTTAATTTAGATAATATACATAACACATATATAGCCACACAGACAACCAGAAGAAGACCCAGTAGTTGTAAGATTTCCATTTGCTAATTTCCAGATTGGATTATTGGCCTCAGGGTCAGGCCCTTTAAGAGAAGAACTAGGTAAACAAATTTTAGGGCCTAACAAACAAGCATATCTGGAAGACAAAGAAAGATTTTTGAGAGGTACTTATTCACCTTTAATTGTAGTGGTTCCATAAGGAAAATAGTTATTTTTTTCAAGATGGGACTTGTGGCAAGTTTTCTGTCTTCCTGGGGAGTCCTAGGCCACCAGTAGTTATTCTGGGATCTTTTATGCATGCAGCAAGAGTGGCAAGGCAGAGTGAAGAAAAGTAGTTTTGACTGAGAAAAACCCCTTTTCAGGAAAACACAATTTGGGAAGAAAAAAACCTAAAGGCCTTTTGAGTATTGTTATAGCTAAGATGTCCATTTTAATAAAGCTGAGCACTCTTTTTTATTAAGGGTAAAGGTGGAGGTTAGAATTATGTAAATGTAATGCCAACTTAAATGAAAGAATTGGGTTATGTGCAGGAATTTCCTGTGATAATGAGAGGGATTTTTAGAGAAAAGTCCCAGAAGCTGTTCAATTTGTCACAAATTAGACATGGAGAAGGGGGCATGAATGTGAGGACTACCTTTAACCCTAACCACTTCCCAGAGAGGGAGAATGGCAGAGAAGTTTTAACTGGCTGGAGTAGTTTTTGAACAGGTAGAGAAGGATGAGGGCTGAGGTTGACAATAGAAGAAAGTCTGAACATGGGGAAATCTCTTGTCATTTGCCATTTCTCATAAAAAAGTTGTTAAGACCATGTTCCAGTAGAAAATTAAATGTTTTGGCTTTAAGGTCAACCATAAGCCAAGTTTGGCTAGGTCCCAAATACGGCAGTCCAGTGGGGAGGATGTAGGGATGTGAGATTGTTTGGCACTTATGTGGACTGGTAAGAAGAAGCTGGGGGTGTCCGTTGTGTTCTAGGCATCCCCAGACAAAAGACAGAGACCCAGATTCCTCTTTCCAAAAGGGGACCATTAAGCTGAGAAGGAACTGGGTGCCAAGATTTCCTCTAGCTCAGCCCTGTTAGTCTGATTGGACCTCCCAGGACCTGGACAGCAGGCAGACTTTCTCTGGTACTGAGAGAAAGCTGGGAGAAGGCAGATCTCACTAGTCATCTGAATTAGTATCTGATGTTGGATGTTCTGGCTATGGTTGGAAAAGGGCCTCCCAGGCTGTAGCCATTTGAGGAAGAGAGAGAGAGAGTGGGGGAGAGGGAGAGAGAGAAAGAAAGAGAGAAAGAGAGAGAGAGAGAGAAGATGGAGGAAGAAGGGGCAAGGGAGGGTTGGGGAGCAAAATACCCATTGTGCATGGTCAGAGGTGGATTCCTGAGACCTGAGTGTTTTGAGATCCCACCAGGGAGTAGCCTCTACCTGAGCCTCACAGCCTGTTCAAGTTAGTTGTCCTCTTCACACAAATCACTTGAAAAGTTAAGCAAGAGAAAAGATGGGACATGTAGTCAGAGAACTTTAGGATACAGGAGTTAACTCAGGATGAGCTGTCATTGCCTACTGCCTCCTGGGTTGCAAGACAGCCTATGCTCTCAACACCAGTCACAGGTTTTGGCACTAAGTGTAAGAATTGAAGGAAGACAAGACAAAAATGAAAGGTGGCTTCACAGTGAAGGGCAAGTTTATTTTAAAGAAAGCAAACCTGAGAGGGTTTTCTGGTCGAGTTAGTTCAAGAAACAATCTCTTTCACACAAATAGATTCTAAGAATTCAGTCCGGAAGAGTATATCAGAGGCTTGGACTGCTTCTGTGTCACTTTGTTGTGCTTATCTGGGAGGGAGAGTTGTGTGTCTATTCCCATACATCTTCCTGTAGCTGCAAGCATACCCCCTGAGAATGCTACCCTGTATCATCTCTCTCAAGTTCAAAGTTTCACAAATCTTCAGGGCAGGGGCAATATGCTGCCAGTCTCTTTGCTAAAAGATAACAAGAGTCACCTTTGCTGCAGTTCCAACAAGTTACTCCTCTCCATCTGAGACCACCCCAGTCCAGACCTATTGTTCATATCACTATCAGTATTTCTGTCAAAGCCGTTCAACAAGTCTCTAGGAAGTTCCAAACTTTCTCACATTTTCTCTCTTTTTCTGAGCCCTCCAAACTATCCCAATATCTGCCTATTACCCAGTTTCAAAGTCACTTCCACATTTTCAGGTATCTTTTCAGCAGCACCTCACTCTTTGTAAAAATTTACTGTATTAGTCTGTTTTCATGTGCCGATCAAGACCAAAGCTCATTGAAAAGTTTAATTAATACTTGAGTATATAATAAAAAAGACAAACTTATTCACTTACCATCTTTAATTACTGTCTCAGAGGGCATAACTGAGAAGTCATTGTGTAAACTTTCATGATTTTTCTTTGAATAAATATTGACACAGTCATGCAAATATGCATGAATATATAAATGTATATTTCTAAGCAAAAACTATATCATAGAATACATATTTTTGTTAAACCAAAGTTTTAAAGTTAATAATTTTACAAATATGTATATTCTTAAATTATTTTAAAAGTAAATCATTAGAATAAGTAATATAGATATTATATAATATAATAATTATTGAAATATTCCCTTTCCTTTCACTGCTGAATGGAGAATCAAAGCAAAAACCAAAACCTAGGCATGGTTCAGATGAAATTGTGTTAAATTTTAATTTGAGATATATTTTAAATTCTAGCATTCATCCATTTGTCATCTAAGTTGACAAATATGAGATGAGGATGGGAAGATACTCATCCAGTTGGTTTCTGATAACCTGTCATGATAACGTTATTTGATTCTGTAGTAAAGTTTGCCCATACAATAGGGATAGGTATAGTACCAACAGTGCAATCAATGAGTTGCTCATCATTAAAATATAATTGTAGTTTTAAATGAGACAGAAGCTAATTTTTCTCTTATATACAATTCTAAGCTGATGTGGTTGCTGTAATCTTCAACATTTTCAGAGACCTACATTCCCTCTATTTTGTTGTTCTGCTATCCTCAACAGACATCTTGTGGTGCAAGGAGGCTGTTCTGACTCCTGCAGGCATGACCACATTCTGGCCAGCCAGATGACTTACAAGGACAATGGTATGACCGCTCCCTCCTTTGAAATGCACACCCCAGAAGTTGCACAAACCTTTTCTAATATACTGCACCAGACAGAAATTTATCACATGGTCATATCTGACTTCAGGCAAAGCTAGAATATAATGTATTGCTCTGTGCAGCTATCCGATAAGCCAAAAATTCTGTTGTATGAAAAAATAAGAATAGACATGGGGGACAAGGGATATCATGGGTAGCCAAAAATTAGGAATAATTGTTAATTCTTATGAAGTGTATGATTTTATGAAGAAAATTGATGTCTAATATATTCAGGAATTAAAAAAAGAGTCAATGAACCTAAGACTCAGTGGTAATTAAATGATTTACCCCCCATGCCAGTTGAATGATGCTCAGGCTGTGGTATTTCAAGTTTTTTGGAGTTTTCTCTTGCTGTATGCTTGGGTTTTGTTCCTGACAAGGGAACTTGGGCTCTCTAGTCTTTTCAGAATCTTTGTGTTTTTTAAGGAAAATACTAGCATATCTACCTGACTTCTTGTACTGCAGTGAGAAACTGTATAAAATTACATCAGATGTTCATGGAAACTAAATCAGCATATTTTTTCTAAGTGGATGGTGTCAAAATGAAATACTTTGGTTCTTTCTACTGGAGGTTATCCTTGTCACACTATTTCCTACTCATTTTATGACTGGCAAGTCATATTGCTTAACAGCCACTGCACTCATCTTTAATTTGAATTGTTATTTCTCTCAGTCCACCAGTTTGCTAAGTCAGCCTTGAAACACAAGAATAGTTTGGCATGTGCTTGATGTGATTGAGTGATTGTTGGGGACTATGAAGACATGGAAGTTGAAGTGTCATTTCTCAGGATTATTACCTTCTCAGGTGGGCAATATGCCCTGACATGAAAACCCAGATGCATTTTCATCATGGCTAATAATGGTGTACCTAGCTGGTGGGTAATTGCAGGCTTTCAACCTCCAGTTCATCTTCATGAGATTAATGTTGATTCATAATGATAAGTGTCAGGTCTATGACACATTTAAAGTTATGCTTAAATGTGAGTCTGTGACCACTGATAAATGACTACAGTTGTTTCATGACTTGCTAAACATAGTTGGTTTTTCACAAGCAATAAGTTTTTGAAGGAGAGGTATTCATAGTGGTTCTAGAAGATACACACATTAATTCTGTAGAATGTAGCTAAAACTTGTGTTCAGCTCAAGGGATGACATTAACAGAGTCTTGTGATCCTGCTTTGCATCTCGTAAGTGCTGAGCAATTGGTAGGGATGGATGGTATTTTCCATACGTCGGCATCTGCTGTATGCCTGGGCTTTGTTCCTGACAAGGGAACTAGGGCTCTCTAGACTTTTCAGAGATTCTGTGAGATTATATACTTTATTTTTTTTTTTTGTATAATCTAATCAGACTAGATTCTCCTATTTGCAAATAAGAACCCAGAATATATTCAAGACCCTTGGTTAAAAAGCTTAAAGAGGGCCGGGCACGGTGGCCCACGCCTGTAATCCCAGCACTTTGGGAGGCAGAGGTGGGCAGATCATGAGATCAGGAGATCAAGACCATCCTGGCTAACATGGTGAAAGCCCGTCTCTACTAAAAAATACAAAAAAAAAATTAGCTGAGCGTGGTGGCGGGCTCCTGTAATCACAGCTACTGAGGAGGCTGAGGCAGGAGAATGGCGTGAACCCGGGAGACAGAGCTTGCACTGAGCCCAGATCTCGCCACTGCTCTCCAGCCTGGGCCACAGAGCAAGTCTCCATCTCAAAAAAAAAAATAAATAAATAAATAAAATAAAGCTTAAAGAGAAAGGAAAATTCATTCACTCATTTAATAATTTATTTACTGTTACTTTTTTATTTATGTTCTGTGTCTCGAACAAATAACTCTTTAAAGTGTTTATTGAGCACTAATTGTACACAAACTATTAGTTTTATGGGAAGAAAAAAAATTAATAAATTAGATAAAAATCCCCCCTCAAGGAATGTTTGTAAAGCTGATTAAACATGCTAGAAAGTAGAAAGTGAATGGTGCTGTGAGGGAGATACAGAGGTATAGTAGTATTATGAAGGTTGAATGGAGAGAGAGATTGAGTAAAGTGGAAGAGAATCATTTCTTTCCAAGATGGCATAGGTGATGAGGAAGAAAGATTTTAAAAGATTTACACAGAAAGATGGTGGGATACATATATCTTGAGTAGAGAAGGCAAGAAGAAGAGAAACTATATGGAGAGTATGAGCAAAAAGTGAAAACACAATTTTTTTTTTTGGCCGGGTGTGGTTGCTCATGTCTGTAATCCTAGCACTTTGGGAGGCCGAGGCAAAGTGACAAGCCTGGCCAAAATGAGGAAAACCCATCTCTACTAAAAATAGAAAAATTAGCTGGGTGTGGTGGCACATGCCTGTAGTTCCAGCTACTAGAGAGGCTAAGGCAGGAGAATCACTTGAACCTGGGAGGTGGAGGTTGCAGTGAGCCGAGATTGCACCACTGCACTCTAGCCTGCGTGATGGGATCAAGACTCCATCTCAAAAAATATGTATATATTCACAACGAAATGGGCAATGCATTGACTCTTGGTGCAAAATAACATAGATGAGGTAAAGAACACGTTTAGGAATATATTCACATTTTCATGAACACAGCTAGTTTCCCTATTTAAATCCCTGGCAGACAGGAGCAAACAGCATGAAATAAAGAGAAGCTCTACGTTTTTAGAAATAGATATCTAACCAATACCCATAAAATTGTCTTTATAGAGCCAACTGCATATTTAATCAATCTAATTAAATACAACCTCAGCTAAATTCTTCCCTAAGACATACACACACCTGCTAAGCAAAAAGAATAAGACTTCTTGTCTCTAGGAAACTACAGAATTTAATTAGCTTCAAAAATACTTTATATTTGAAATTAAAAATAATTTTAAATCCAGAGTAGCTTCTCATTAGAACATAGAATATGGTGATGCCTTGGACTATTTTATTAAAAATGGCTATATTTCGTCCTTATCTCCACGTTTGTGTTCAAGTATATAGCTGATTAGTAATGTAAAGTAGTTTATTAAGAAATATATTTGCATATTACTGTGAAATCATAGTGTATGAAATGGACTAGATAAAGCCTATAGCGCCCAGGAAAATATTGCATACTGCAAAGAAAATATAAACTTCAGTTCTTTTATCTATAGTTTTATTGTTAATTTGTATATATAGATAGATGGTAGATAGATATCAACACACACATGAATTTTTACAAATTATTGAGGTTACAAATTTAAAATCCATAATTTGTATCTCAAAATAATAAAGATTAAAATGTTAGCAATGTTCATCAATTCGTCAAAATTTTGCATCCTTGTCTTGGATTCTTGCTTATATTCATCAATTTTAATCTAGATCAAAACACATAAATGAAAATAACATATTAAATAAACTTGTTTATGCACTGCACTTCTTTTCTAATGGTATCACATGAGATAATGGCGTGCATGATGCCATATAATTTATGATACTGTTCTAGTGTTTCAATGCCCAAGTTAAAGTTAGTGAAATTTTATAACAGAAATACCAAAAATGAAGAATGATGATGAATTGAGCACTGATTTTAAAAAGACTAAAAATCTTTCCGCAGGGCGCGGTGGCTCACGCCTGTAATCCCAGCACTTTGGGAGGCCGAGACGGGCGGATCACGAGGTCAGGAGATCAAGACTATCCTGGCTAACACGGTGAAATTCCATCTCTATTAAACATACAAAAATTAGCCGAGAGTGGTGGCGGGAGCCTGTAGTCCCAGCTACTTCCGAGGCTGAGGCAGGAGAATGGCGTGAACCTGGGATGCGGAGGTTGCAGTGAGCCAAGATTGCGCCACTGCACTCCAGCCTGGGAGACAGAGCGAGACTCCGTCTCAAAAAAAAAAAAAAAGACGAAAACGGTTTCAACTTTTTATAAGCAAATTAGATATATGTTTTAAGAACTTTTTATGAAGGCTTACATGTATATGCATTATACACAGAGGTATAAATAAATCATAACTTCTTTATTTTGTATTCAAGTTATGTGACATTCCTCCTGAGCATCTGGAACCTCAAGATAGGGAAAAACTGTATTCAATAAATCAAGTTAATACATACAATGACTGTATTCACAAAAAATTAAAAATAAAAAACAAATCAAGTAGTCTTAGCTCAATGCGATAATAAAAATAGTCACTTAAGCACAATGCTCAAATGCTCAGTTTACTCATTTCACTTCTCTCTCCCTTTTCTTATCCAAGATGGTATCTCAGGTATGAGATGGGCTTTACAAACAATACAGGCAAATGAGGATATGTTGATTAAGAGTGTATTGAATCTATAAATAAATTTAGCAAAATTTTAAATCTTAAAAATATTGCTTTTAATCTGGAATATGTTATATTTCTCCTATTATTAAATATTTTCTAATTTATCTAAATAACATGTAATTTTGGTAAAACATCTTGTAATTACATTTAAATCTATATATTACATAATTTGTATAATAATATAAATTCCATATTTTTAGAATTTTATTTTTCAAATTTTCTTTACTGATATAGAGAAATGACATGGGAGATGGCCTCCACTATTCCCATTTTACTATAAGTCTTTTGGGTAAAGGACTAACTCCTCAATCCTTATTGTATCCACAACACTGAATAGGATATGTATGCCAAATACAACTTTGTTGAACCAAAGAAAGAAAATTTTGTAGGACCATATATACATACACGTCCAGAAAACTCATTTCTGTATTTTGTGTTTGCTCCTTCTTGTGACTTCAAACAATAAGTCCTTAGCAACAGTGTCTTTTCATCCTAAAATGGATATGATATGGCCCAAATGCATAATGTTAAATTATTTGATTATAAATTGGGAATATCCGCCCTCCATACTAAAGACAAGCATTATATCCAATACTAACCATGTGCAGAAAGTGTAATAAGATTACATTTAGAGATTGTTCAAAAGCCAAAACCACAAATAAGGCAACAATTCTCAAAGTTTAATTTTCTCAACAAGGTCATTTTAAAAATTATTATAATACTTTAAGTTCTGGGGTACATGTGCAATACATGCAGGTTACTTACACAGGTATACACATGCAATGGTGGCTTGCTGCACCCATCAACCCATCATCTACATTAGGTATTTATCCTAATGCTCTCCCTCCCTATCCCCCACCACTGACAGGCTGGCTCCCTGGTGTAATGTTCCCCTTGCTGTGTCCATGTGTTCTCATTGTTCAACTCACACTTATGAGTGAGAACATTGGGTGTTTGGTATTCTGTTATTGTGTTAGTTTGCTGAGAATGATGGCTTCCAGCTTCATCCATGTCTCTGCAAAGCATATAAACTCATCATTTTTATGGCTGCATAGTATTCCATGGTGTATATATGCTGTATTTTCTTTATGCAGTCTAACATTGATGGGCATTTGGGTTGGTTGCAAGTCTTTGCTATTGTGAACAGTACCAAGATAAACATACATGTGCATGTGTCTTAATAGTAGAATGATTTATAACCCTTTGGGTATATACCCAGTAATGGGATTGCTGGGTCAAATGGTATTTCTAGTTATAGATCCTTGAAGAATCACCACACTATCTTCCACAATGGTTGAACTAATTTACAGTGCTACCAACAGTGGAAAAGCATTGTTTTTCTCCACATCTCTCCAGCATCTGTTGTTTCTTGACTTTTTAGTGATCGCCATTCTAACTGGCATGAGATGGTATCTCACTGTAGTTTCCATTAGCATTACTCTAATGATCAGTGATGATGAGCTTTTCTTCCCATGTCTGTTGGCTGCAAAAGTGTCTTCTTTTGAGTGGTATCTGTTCATATACTTCTCCCACTTTTTGATGAGCTTGTTTTTTTTTCTTCTAAATTTGTTTAAATTTTTTGTAGATCCTGGGTATTAGTTCTTTGTGAGATGGATAGATTGCAAAAATTTTCTCCCATTCTGCATGTTGCCTGTTCAACCTGATGATAGTTTCTTTTGCTCTGCAGAAGTTTTTTTATTTAATTAGGTCTCGTTTGTCAAATTTGGCTTTTGTTGCCATTGCTTTTGGTGTTTTAGTAATAAAGTCTTTTCCAATGCCTATGTCCTGAATAGTATTGCCTAGGTTTTCTTCTAGGCTTTTTATGGTTTTAGGTCTTATATTTAAGTCTTTAATCCATCTTGAGTTAATTTTTGTATAACGTGTTAGGAAGGGGTCCAGTTACTATTTTCTGCATACGACTAGCCAGTTTTCCCATCAAAATTTATTAAATAGGGAATGATCTCCACATTGCTTTGCTTGTAAGGTTTGTTGAAGATCAGATGTTTGTAGAAGTGTGGTGTTATTTCTGAGCCCACTGATCTGTTGCATTGGTATATAGATATACCAATGCATATATGTATAGCCTATATATATATTATATATATATCCTATATATAATATATATATCCTATATATAATATATATATCCTATATATATTATATATATCCTATATATATTTTATATAACCTATATATATTATATATATCCTATATATATTTTATATATATATCCTGCATATATTTTATATATATCCTATATATATTTTATATATATATCCTATATATATTTTATATATATATCCTATATATATTATATATATATATCCTATATATATTTTATATATATATCCTATATATATTTTATATATATATCCTATATATATTTTATATATATATCCTATATATATTTTATATATATCCTATATATATTTTATATATATATCTGTTTTGGTACAATTACAATGCTGTATAGACACATATACCAATGCATATATATATCCTATATATACACGTCCTATATATATATCCTATATATACACGTCCTATATATATATCCTATATATACACGTCCTATATATATATCCTATGTATACACGTCCTATATATATAACCTATGTATACACGTCCTATATATATATATCCTATGTATACACGTCCTATATATATATCCTATGTATACACGTCCTATATATATATCCTATGTATATACGTCCTATATATATGTCCTATGTATACACGTCCTATATATATATCCTATGTATACACGTCCTATATATATATACTATGTATACACGTCCTATATATATATCCTGTATACACGTCCTATATATATATATATCCTGTATACACGTCCTATATATATATCCGATATATATATCCTCTATATATATATCCTATACATATATCCGCTATATATATATCCCATACATATATCCCCTATATATATATCCCCTATATATATCCCATATATATATCCCCTATATATATATCCTCTATATATATATATCTCCTATATATATATCCTCTATATATATATATCTCCTATATATATCCTATATATATATCTCCTATATATATCCTATATATATATCTCCTATATATATATATCCTATATATATCCCCTATATATATCCTATATATCTATCCTATATATATCCCCTATATATATATCCCCTATATATATCCTATATATATCCACTATATATATCCCATATATATACATCCCCTATATATATCCCATATATATACATCCCCTATATATATCCCATATATATACATCCCCTATATATATCCCATATATATATCCCATATATATCCCATATATATACCCATATATATCCCATATATATATCCCATATATATCCCACATATATATATCCCATATATATATATCCTATATATATCCCATATATATATCCCATATATATATATCCCATATATATATCCCATATATATATATCCCATATATATATCCCATATATATATATCCCATATATATATATCCTATATATATATCCCATATATATATATCCTATATATATATCCCATATATATATATCCTATATATATATCCCATATATATATATCCTATATATATATCCTATATATATATATCCTATATATATATCCTATATATATATCCTATATATATATCCTCTATATATATATCCTATATATATATCCTCTATATATATATCCTATATATCTCCTATATATATATCCTATATATATCTCCTATATATATATCCTATATATATATCCTATATATATCTCCTATATATATCCTATATATATCTCCTGTATATATATCCTATATATATCTCCTGTATATATATCCTATATATATCTCCTGTATATATATCCTATATATATCTCCTGTATATATATCCTATATATATCTCCTGTATATATATCCTATATATATCTCCTGTATATATATCCTATATATATCTCCTGTATATATATCCTATATATATATCCTGTATATATATCCTATATATATATCCTGTATATATATCCTATATATATATCCTGTATATCTCCTATATATATCTCCTATAAATATCTCCTGTATATCTCCTATATATATCCCATATATATATCTCCTGTATATCATATATATATCTCCTATATATATCTCGTATATATACATCCTATATATATATCCTATATATACATCCTATATATATATCCTATATATACATCCTATATATATCTCCTATATATATCCTATATATATATCTCCTATATATATATCCTATATATATATCTCCTATATATATATCCTATATATATATCTCCTATATATATCCTATATATATATCCTGTATATATATCCTATATATATCCTGTATATATATCCTGTATATATATCCTGTATATATCCTGTATATATATCCTATATACATATCCTGTATATATCCTATATACATATCCTGTATATATCCTATATATATCCTATATATATCCTATATATATATCCTATATATATCCTATATATATATCCTATATATATCCTTTATATATATCCTATATATATATCATATATACATATCCTATATATATACCTATATATATATATCATATATATATATGATATATATATATCTGTTTTGGTACAATTACCATGCTCTTTTTGTTACTGTAGCCTTACAGTTTAGTTTGAATTGATGTAGCATGATGCCTCCAGCTTTGTTCTTTTGGCTTAAGATTGTGATGGCTATGTGGGCTGTTTTTTGGTTCCCTAGGGAAGTTAAAGTAGTTTTTCTAATTCTGTGAAGAAAGTCAATGGTAGCTTGAATAGGGATAGCACTGAATCTATAAATTACTTTGGGCAGTATGGCCATTTTGACAATATTGATTTTTCCTATCCATGAGTATGGAATGTTTTTTCAATTGGGTATGTCCTCTCTTATTTCCTTGAGTGGTGATTTGTAGTCCTTCTTGAAGAGGTCCTTCACATTCCTTTTATGTTTTATTAGTAGGTATTTTATTCTTCTGGTAGTGATTGTGAATTGGAGTTCACTCACCATTTAGATTTCTATTATTGGGGTATAGGAATGCTTGTGATTTTTGCACATTGATTTTGTACTCTGATACTTTGCTGAAGTTGCTTCTCAGCTTAAGGAGATTGCAGGCTGAGATGATGGGTTTTTCTAAATATACAATCATGTTGTCTGCAAACAGAGACAATTTGACTTCCTGTCTTCCTATTAGAATATGCTTTATTTATTTCCCTTGCCTGACTGCCCTGGCCAGAACTTGCAATACTCTGTTGAATAGGAGTGGTGAGAGGGGTCATCCTTGCCTTGTGCTGGTTGTCAAAGGAAATGTTTCCTGTTTTTGCCTGTTCAGTATGATATTGACTGTGGGTTTTTGATAAATAGCTCTTATTATTTGAGATACGTTCCATCCAGACCTAGCTTACTGAGAATTTTTAGCATGAAGAGGTGTTGATTCTATTGACATAATTATGTGAGTTTTGTCTTGCTCCTGTTTATTTGATGAATTCTGTTTGTTCATTTGCCTATGTTGAACCATCCTTGCATCCCAGGGATGAAGCCAACTTGATTGTGGTGGATAAGCTTTTTGAGGTGCTGCTGAATTCATTTTGCCAGTATTTTATTGAGGATTTTTGCACTGATATTCATCAGAGATATTGGCCTGAAATTTTCTTTTTTTGCTGTGTCTCTGCCAAGCTATGGTATCAGGGTGATGCTGGTCTCATAAAATAAATTAGGGAGGAGTCCCTCTTTTCCTATTGTTTGGTTTTTTTTTTTTTTGCAACAGAGTTTCACTCTGTTTCCCAGTCTGGACTGCAATGGCTTTGGCTCACTACAACAACTGCCTCCTGGGTTCAAGTGATTCTCCTCCCTCAGCCTCAAGAGTAACTGGAAATCTGGTTGCATGCCACCACATCCAGCTAACTTTTTTTTTTTTTTTTTTTTTTTTTTGAGACGGAGTCTCGCTCTGTCGCCCAGGCCAGACTGCGGACTGCAGTGGCGCAATCTCGGCTCACTGCAAGTTCCGCTTCCCGGGTTCACGCCATTCTCCTGCCTCAGCCTCCCGAGTAGCTGGGACTACAGGTGCCCGCCACCGCGCCCGGCTAATTTTTTGTATTTTTGGTAGAGGGTGGGGTTTCACCATGTTGGCCAGGAGAGTGCTAGAACTCCTGACCTCAGGTGATCCACCCACCTCGGCCTCAGAACGTTCTGGGATTACAGGCATGAGCCACCATGCCAGATCAGTACTCTTTATTCAACTGAAAGAAAGAAATGTATTCTTATACTGTACTCCTGTGAGAAAGTCCATCAAAGAAGGAATCTAATAGCATCCAAATTTCCAATTGATTTTACATTTTCACATAATCTAAGAAATAGAAAGTGCAAATAAATTTGTCATGGGCATTAAAGTCAACCAGCTTCCATGCTACTTGGGAGGCTGAGGCAGGAGAATGTCATGAACCCAGGAAGTGCAGCTTGCAGTGAGCTGAAATCATG
The DNA here is from genome assembly GCF_000001405.40 of Homo sapiens. NCBI lineage: Eukaryota > Metazoa > Chordata > Mammalia > Primates > Hominidae > Homo > Homo sapiens. The sequence continues at coordinate 22,244,320 of NC_000024.10, forward strand.
CCAATGCCCTCCAGTCTGGGCGACAGAGCGAGACTGTCTCAAAAAAAAAAAGTGAACCAGTTTCTGTGTGCTAATTCAAATCCAAGATTTGGCCTCGCTGGCCTCGCTACTTGCAATGAAGTATCTTCCAGCCATCAAATGTCAGGCTACATGAGGTTAAAGGAGAGAAGCAGAAGAGCAAATGGGGAAAGCAAGATTCCTTCTGTTTACGGCTTACATTGTCACATTTCACAGCATCCATGCACTGTTTTCATTAAACATCAGTGTCTTTGGTCTAATATTCAGCCCAGTCCTGCCATCTGGATGGTTCAATATACTTCTGCCAATTAAAAACTCAGTGTTTTTAGTTATAAAAAGGTTTCTGTATCTAAAGATGATTTCCTATATTTTTGTTCGATGAAAAAGTGAGTCATTGTTACTCTTATTTCTACTATTCTGTATTTCTACATCAAATTAGTACACAATAGTTAACTTGCTTTCTAAGATATCTTTTGACATTTCATTACTTAAAATATTTTTCTGAGAGAAGAGTTTATGTGTTTCTTAATGACATATTACTTGACTTAAGATTTGGAATAATATCACCATTTATGAATTTGTGCGTTGTATTTTCTTTGAAAATTTCTAAGCTGCAAAAATTTTAATCTGCCAACACTTCATTTGATTAACAAATATGAGAGATATATGGCAGGCATTTCTGAAGTCAACCATATTGATTAATCCTTTCCCGAATTTAGATATTTAATAAAATAATATCCAAATAACATAAATTAAACTTTAGATGTATATCTTACATGAGTGTCTGACAAAGCCCATATTAATTACCAAAATTGCAATCTAAAAATTGTAAGTGCCTCTTATTACATTTCATAATATGATACTATATAAGCCAAATGATTACTTATATTTTAATAAGAGCATTGCCAGTGTAGAGAGATAGTGAAATACTGCTTTAAAGCTCAACATCAGTATTTTCTTAACGTTACACATAGGACACAGAGAGGAGCTACTATCTCTGCTGACAGCTTCAGAGGCCTGCAGAGACCTCCAAATGACTTTGCCATAGAGAGGAGCTGCCCCCTCCAGGGCCTCCTCTCTGCTAAGAGCTAAACACTTGACTGGACAACCTGCCTACAGAGAGGAGCAAACCATTACTCTGAGCTGTACTAACACTAAATAAAATTTTTCTTCTTGTTCACCATTCACTTGTCTGCGTACCTCATTCTACCTCATTCTTCCTGACACAAGACAATATCTTGGACAAAGGCATCATAGCCACAGATGTTTCTGGCTAGAAAAAAACCGACACCCTAGAGATTGGTAACAATTAAACAGAATTTCTAGTTCTCAACAACAAGAACAAAAAATGAACTTAAGGTAACAGATAATACATTCATTAGTTTACAAAAATAAAAACTAATAGTAGCATCCATTGTTGATGACATTGTAGGTACTAGAAGAAACATGATTGCTCCAAGGTTTTTGGAAAGTAATTTGGTATTTAAATAGTTATAATTTTATTTAATATTACATAAATTCGGTATTTAAGTAATTTCAGTACAAAGTACTTACAACACTTGGCCCAGTTTTCACATTTTGTACCACTTATTAAATATTTATTAATACTAAATCTTTGGAATGATAGAATTTTCCTCAAAATTGGAAAGATTAAATGGTACATCCATTGAAACTCTGGTATAAATATAATGTTGATTGTAATGTAGCTATTAATGCAAATAAGATTGATATATGTGTTGCTTCAGAAAAAATCTAAAACACATATTTTAGCAAAGGTGAATTATAGAATATGCATGTATACTGTGTGTACATGGATGTCTGTATAGCAGTTTCACTTTTATAAATGTCAACATAATCTTTGCAAATATTTTATATGCAAAATTAATCTTCATGAAAATTACTGGGAAAATGCTATTAGTGCTTATGTATGAAATTGGAAGAAGAAAATTATTAACTTATTTTTCACACATCTACTTATATTAATATGTTACAATTATTAGTTTTTTGTAAGAGCACTGAAAAACCAACAAGTACATCTAGTTTCTAATTTTACAGTAAAATGTAATTTGGTTAGTATGTTTACAACAATATTATGAGTATTAATGTATGCTTTTTCTTATAAAATATTGAGTTTCATAAGATTACATGACATATATAATGACACATATCAGAAAGTGCTAGTGCCAAGACTCAAAAACAATTGTTGTGGTTCCAAGTTCAAGTACTTCGAGTGTATCTCATTATTTCTTGGATGTGTGTATGTAAATATGTGTCTGAATGTTGAATTTTTCCGACGAACACATTTGGGTAACAAATTGGATATACATTAGTTCAGTTCATGTTTTTGATGTGCAGACCAAGGAATTGAGTAAAAGTCTTATATATCTCAGAGAATCACAATGGTGACAGAAATCATCAGTTTCACAACTTCTTTTTTTTTTTTAAGAAAACCTGGGACCAAGTAGAGATGATTTTTAAGCCTACTGTAGTAAAACAAAACAAAACAAAAACAAAAAACAAACAAACAAAAACACAAGAGCTTTGCATTCAGGCAGTCCCAGCATCAGTTTCTAACTGAGTCTTTTATTAACAGTGGTATTCATTGCTAAGTATCTGTAAGCCACTATCAACCAATCAAGACAAAACACCAAAGGTTTATCCTAAATTTCTTCCTTTCTTAAAACTTTACATCAAATCTAAATTAAGTTCTGCTAAATTTAGTTTAATATTTCCAATCAGACTATGCTGTGCTTTCCATATCCACTGTAAATCCAAGCCACTATTATATTTTGCTTCATCTACTGCAATAGCTTCCCTAAAGTTTAACACCTACTCAGTTTTGCCTTCTCAAACTTATTCTTTATAATACTCCCTTTTCAAAAGAATATACACTACATTAAGTCACTCTTCTTAAGGGATGTGTGTGGAGGATATGTCTCAGAAAGTAACTACTTGCTTTACTAGCATCCACAAGGCCCTCATGATGTGGCTCCTGTCCAATGCTCCACCCTCATATCTCAGGCCCACCCCCTTATTCCAGAGTCAATAATATTTCATTCAAGTTGCCCATGTTTTCAAGCTCTGTCTTGGTTCAGAGCTTTTCCCCTTTGCTTTTGCCCATGCCATTTTCTGTTAGTCTTTTTCAGAGCTGACACTTTCTTCTTCTTCAGGTCTTAGATTACCCTGTATTTTCTCACAGTTCTGGGTGTCAGAAGACTGAAATGGGTTCAGTAAACTATAATGAAGGTTTAGGCAAGGCGGAATTTCTTCTACAGTCTCTACCAGTTGCCTTTATTGTTTTTAGCATATAGTCTGTTGCCTTTATTGTTTTTAGCATCTAGAAGCCATACTGCCTACCACATTCTTGAACACTGACTTTATTTTCTTCTCCAAGTCTTGCTAAAAACACCCACTTTTTAAATTTCTCAGATGTTGAATTACCTCTGCTAATACAGCCTTTTTATCTTTTCTGTTAAGTCCTTGAACCATTTTAAAGAACAGTTTTAAGGTCCTGGTGTGTTAATTCCAGTATCTGGGTGATGGAGGAGTCTGACTTCTTATTTATCTCTCCTATGTCAATATGCTCCTGTTTCTTTATACGCCTAATAACATTTATCTGTGAACTGCAGTTGCATGTTTAGAGAATGGATTTGTTTTCTTTCTCTGAAGAAGGATAGCATTTGTTCTATTAGAAATTGTTGGCTACTCATACTGATGTTGTACAACCTTTGTCTTATACTTTATTAGGATGAGACTGTTCGGATTTTATCCTTATTCTCATGTGAATTCTTTATTCCTGGCATATAGATTTTCTTCCTAAAGTGTATTCTTTCTGCAATTTCAATAGGAAGCCAAAGATTTTTGTCTACTCTCTCTAACTTAGTGGGACTCAAACTCAACTACCCTGAGTTGAACTACCAGTAGTTTGAGTTTCCTAACTGCGGTATTTCTCCTCACACAAGGGCATTAGCTGCAGGGGTCTGCCCGTGGACCCTGACCCAAATGATGGATGAATAAAATGTAAACTGACACACAGATATTCTGTTTTGCCAGTCCTGCTGTGTCCAACTGCCTGCACACTAAAAGAGGTTTCTCACTGTGGCCGGCCCTAAGCAGCAGGCACTCCAAGCATTTATTTAGTAAGCAATTACAAACAGAAGCTTTGTGGAAATACGCTTGAGGATAATGAACATGGTTAAGACAGTAGTTCTATGAATAATTAAAGCTCAGGTACCCTGGTCTAAAGTGAATACCATTCGGGAAAATATTCTTGGTCGACCTCCTGAGAGGGCCTTCTGGCTAAAAAGTTAGTTAATGGAGGTAAGATAAACAGACTTAACTAGGGAAGCCCCTATTGTCTCTTATATTTACCCTATGACCTAATGTTCTAAGGGAAGAACTGGCTGCCTTCAGCCTGTTCAATTACAAGCTACGTAACCTTTTAGCCTTCCAAAAGTTTTGTGACTATTCCCTAGATCTTTCCCTAATATTTCCCTTTAATATTTCTGCCACCATCCTGAGTGAATCCCAACATTTTCCCATTTTTTTTCTTTCTTTATTAGGGTTTTTGATTGCAGAATGCAGATATGGGCAGCCACAGGATTTTCAGATGAGGCGGTCTCTGCTCTTATTCCGGAAGACTTTTCATCCTAGGATTAGCAAATAACATAAGACAAACATGAGCATATTTAGCAACATTATTTTCTAGTCAAAGGGTGACCCCCCAGTCATGCTCTAACTAGGAGACCCCCCCCAGTGAGGGTCTAATTAGGAGAGATGAACTTATACACCCTTCCATGTGACTGTATATTGGGTGTGCAGATCTATGGTGTGAATGGATTCTAAAAATTTAGTCTTAAGTTGCTTCACGTCTGCTGTTAAATTGTTATGAAAGATTCCCCAGAGGTATTGTTTCACCTCATCCCAGCTATGCATTGATTGATTTCATGGTAGAGAAGTGACACAGGTATGCTTATGTTCCCAGTCACAGTTTTACTGTTGAGAGAATGCTAGTGCATCTTGTTGCTCTCTCACATATTGTTCCCTTGCTGTAATAGAAGTTCATTAGATACCTTTTTGGCCAGATTATCTACAAAAGCAGCTGTTTGTACTGGTTCAGCAATAGATGCAACAGCAATGCTAGCAGTTGCCAGATCAACTATGGCTGAGAATATAAAGGCCATAATGTAACTATAAATCTTTTGTGTCTGACCTGGGACAGGACACGTTCTAAGGCAGTAAGGGCAAAGGAACCTTGCCAATCATGTGTCAAATTGACTAGTCCAAATGCCTCAGATTGTCTCCTTAATACTTTGACACTAGAAGTTTTTAAATTAGATATATTGTGACTAGTGATACATGAGGCAAACCAACCCTGTCCCTTTACCCAGTTCACAAACGTGGAGTTTCCAGGTGTAATGGAAATGTTAGTTCCCATAAGGAAAACATATGGATGAGTAGTGCAAACCAGGCACAGATCAGTGTGAATATGAATAAAGGCTATAGTGTAGTTGCAACTGGAATTATTATATCTCCCATGGCAGGTGTTAAGGGAGGTGCTAAGATGTCCCAGGCACTATAAGGTGCCTTGGGTTGGCGTTGACTTTTCTTGGGGTCTAGGGATATCCCAGCCCCCCATCAGCCCAAATTATAGGGGAAGGAGACATGGCTATGAAACTGTGATTAATGCTATGATAGACAAAGACATTTGTAAGGCTGCCCTGCAATCGGCCATGAGGACTCCAGTCTAAGATGTTTTAATTGCTCAACCAGAGGCTATGGGCTTGTTTCCCATGACAGACTTCCCAACTAAAGTGAAATCCATTACTTCCTCAATTCTGTTGTTTAGCACAAGAAGGGATATTTAGGAAAGTAGCATGGATTTTATTGTCTGGTTTGAGGCTACCTGCCGCTAAAAATGTTAAGACTTTTTCTTTGCCATGATGTAGCCATACTTGTCTTTGGGCAGGTTCACAGTAAGGTTAGAACCTTTATAACTTATAGGCAGTAGCAAGACAGTGGAGTGAAATATAGTGTTATCTGGCACCTTAGTCCAATATGTGCCATTATTGAGGGACCCCACTGGGGGTATTCTATCCCTCCTTGCCAAGCAGTCACATTATTTTAGGCTGGGAAAGGAGTGTCTGCTCAGGTGACATGGTGAAAAAAATGTGGGCCTAAGATATGGGCCCAATAGAGTGTAGAAGGTACAGATTGCAGACAAAGCAAGAGTATAAAAAGTATCAATACCCTATGTGAGTCACAATGTACAATAGAAAGCACAGCAAGAAACACATTATCTGGAGTAAATTGTGTCTGCGTCCAGAGCAGGATTTGTTCAGCCTCCTGAGTTGTCCTCTTCAGCGTACTCCAGCTAATGTCCAGGGCTGTGTTGTATGCCAAAGCCATGTCCTCTGGAACTGTGGGTCTTGCAGGGTTAACTCTTTCAATTCTGGTACTGGGTTGGATCCTAGCTACACCATGGGATGGTTTGATGCCTCATGATGGAATCCAAAGAGGACCTGAGGGGGAGCAAACACAAGCATACCCTCACACCCACGTTAATAATTCTCTAGGACCACACCATTTGTTACTGTTTACATCTTTCTGTAAAACTGCAGGTTTTATGCCTTGAGAGGTTTTAGCAAAGTGCTTTTCTACAGCTGATTGAAATTTGACATCTAAATTTTAAACATTAATTGTAAATAAGTCTTGTGCTAGTAGTGTTGCAGCATCCTTATCTATATTCTCCTTCTTCTGTTCTTTGTGCATATTTTTAAGGGTGAAGTGTGTGCGTTCTACTATTGCCTGTCCTTGGGTGTTTTGTGGGATGCCTGTGGAATGTTGGATATTCCACTTGCAACAAAATTGTTGAAATTGTGAACTGGTATAAGCTGGACCATTATCAGTCTTAATTTTTGTGGGTCACCCCATGAATGCAAAACTTAAAAAAAGATGTTTAATGACATATTGAGTAGGCTCTCCATACTGAGGCTCTCCATTAAATGAGCGTTGGTATCAATGGATACATGCACATCTCTTAGTTTCCCAAATTCAGGGAATGCCTGTAACATCTGTTTGCCACAAATGATTAGGTTCCAATCCTCTAGGGTTCAAACCTCTAAAAGGAGGGGACATGCCTGTGAACTGGCAATCTGGGAATTATAGGATAATCTGTTTAGCCAGTCTCTGGGCTAGTTGAAATTGTTTAGATAAGTTTCTCCAATTTTGATGGTAAAATTGATGCAGTTGGGTGGCTTGGTCTAGCAGTGATGTCATAACCTGAAGTTCTGCTTGCTCATTGCCATAAGCCAATGGACCAGGCAGTGAGCTGTGGGTTTGAATGTGGGTAATAACAATAGGATGTGTGCATTGGTCTAGCAATTGCTGAAGTCAGAAGAAAAGAGTAAACAGGCCTGGCTCCAGAGTGGACTTAATCAGTGCTGTTTAAAACTTTTGTAATAAATTAAGAGAGTTTGCAGAATCGCTAATTATATTTATGGACTGAGTGGAAAAAAGTTTCTAAGGCCAAAATCAGAGCCCCAATTGCAGCTCTGTGCTAGTAAACCCAGATTGAGTGATTGAATTCTGGGGTCTCCAGGCTGCTGCTTTTCCATGTTTAGCAGACCCATCTGTAAACAGTGTTAAAGGATTATGCATGGGGGACTAAATTATTTTTATAGGCAATATTATAAGAGTGTGAGATAAGAAAACAAGGAGTTTATCAGTAGAGAGGACAATCTCTATTTGCCCTGTGTAATCAGAGAAAGCTGTTTGCAGCTCTATTGACAAAGCTAATGCTGCATCGAATTGCTTTTTATTTAAAGGGATCCTGATGACATCAGAGTCATAACCTAGTAATTGATTGCAATGTTTGCGACCTAAATAGATGATTTTAGTAATTAACTGAGTATAGGGAGACAGTGTTTTAGCCTCAGTATGTGAGCAAAAAACCATTGTAGGAATCATAGCCCAGGGGTCATTTGTCCTAGTAACTCTGTAGGGGAGTGTTTGTTGGGAAAGATAAAAACTGAATTGAATACCATAGATCAATGCGATCTAGCTGCCTCTGAGAGATGGCTTGCTTGATTTCCTTGATTTCTCTTTTTGCTGCAGGGATTAAATATCTGGGAGAATCAAGAGCTGGATTGCCCTTTAAGATAGAATACAGGTTTTGTAGTTTATTAGTAGGAATTCCCAAAATGGGATGGAGCCGGGTAATATCACCCAGTAATTTCTGATAATCATTAAGGTGTATACGCTGCTAGTACTTAGTTTAAACTTCTGAGGTCTTACTGACTGGGAGGTTAACAGGTATCCAAGGTATTTCCAAGGAGAGGACACTGGACATCTGTACATTTACAAGTGCAATTACTAAACTTCTCAGCTGTGTGTTCTTTAGGACAGAAGTAAACAAATTTAAAAGTATTGGCTCCATTGGGGCTGCTAGTAGAGTATCATTCATAGGATGAATAATTTTTACAGTCAGGCAATTTTTTTCTAGTAGGGAGCAAGGCTTGATTTACATGATATTGATACATGGTAGGACTATTTAGCATTCCTTGAGGACACATTTTCCAATGAAATCAACAAGCTGGCTTTTCATTATTGATAGCTGTTATTGTAAATGCAAATATTTCTCTCTCCTGTTCTGCTGGAGGAATGGTATAAAGACAATATTTTAAGCCAATAACAATTATAGGCCAATCTCCAGGAATCACCGCAAGGCAAGGGAGGCTCTTTGAAGGGGCCCCATGGGCTGTAAATTAGCATTAATATCATGTAAGTCATGTAAAAGCCTCCATTTCCCAGACTTTTTGAGAATGAGGAAGATAGGCGAATTCCAGGGGCTGGTAGAATGTTCAAGATGCCCAGCCTTTAACTGCTCCCCAACTAACTCATGAGTTCTCTGTAATTTCTCTCCCTTCAGAGGCCACTGTTCTACCCAGAACAGATGTTGGAAGAGTCAAGTCAGAGGTAGTGGAGGAATGACAACAGTGGCCATTGTTAGAAAAGGGTGTGCAGAATGCACCCCCCTCACCATTGGGCTAACAGGCCCCCTTCCCAAAGATTAACAGGGATGGGCATGATCAGAGGTTGTATAACTGCCTTTCTTCCTTCTGAATCACAGTATGTTTGGGGGTGCATGCTCTGTTTGGCAGTGTGTGCATCCCTGGTGCTGACAATTTTCTGTTTTTGAGTCACCCAAGGCCAAGTTTCTGGCCAGTTCTGATCACTAATGATTGAAATGTCTGCCCCTGTGTCCAATAAGCCAGTAAAATTATTATTACCAATTTTTAAGGTAATCTTGGGTCTCTGAAGAGTGATTAATTGATTCCAATACACTCCTGTAGCTCCTGTGCTTCCAAAACTTCCCTTTCCCCTTTCCTACCCATGGGCCTTAGGGACCCAGTATGGTACAATCTTTAACTAAGCTATTTTTGATCCAAGGTGAAGAATATGCAGACTTTTACATTCCATCATAACCAATATCTCACCTTGGTAATCACTATCAATTACCCCAGGGAGCACATTCATTCCTTTACTGGTTAGGCTAGACCGCCCCAGGACTAATCCTACTGTTCCCAGAGGCAGCAGGCCAGGGATCCCAGTTGCAACCCTTTTAGGGCCTTCTCCCTCCTTTAGCACTAATTCATTGGGGCAGAGAAAGTACAGTCCTGTACTCCCAGTAGTGGCTGCTCTGAGAGAGAGGACTGTGGGCTTTTCAGCTGACTGAGGAAAGCCATTGGCATTGCCCCAGTTGGGAGCGGGGTCTGAGGCTGGCTCCTCATGAAGTTTCCCAAGTGATTTCCTATGAGTTTGCCATTCTTATAAAATTTAGACCTGCATTGATTTGCCCAATGTTTCCCTTTCGTACAGCTGGGACATATAGAAGAGGGTTCTTTCCCTGAGTTAGCTTGGTTTTCACTATAGGGGCATTGCCTCTTCACATGACCTTTCACTCCACGTAGAAAACAATTTTGGTTTCCCTCCCTTCTCACTTTAGGAGGTCTTAATGTCATGGCTAATATTCTGGCCTTGTTTGTTTCAGTTCCTACCAAGTGACACGCTTATATCATCTCCCCGATGTTGTTTGCCTTTCCCTTGATTGCCTGCATTGACTGCTGGCATTAGCGTTTTCAAAAGCCAATTGCAAAAATAAGATAGGAGTGACCTGGGTGCGACCAATTTGCCTCTTAATTGCCTGAGTTAACCAATCCATAAACTCAACGAATGGCTCATGAGGCCTTTGTCAAACATTTACATAAGACCCCTGCTAAACTCTGCTCTTGGCAATTTGGTCCCAAGCTCTGAGAGTGCACAAAGACACTTGAGCATAAGCCGGGGGATCAAAATTTAGTTGTTTTTGTACATCAGCATGAGGATCCCTCCCCCAGAGTTTATCAGCTGTTATATTTTGCCTGGCTGCCTGATTCTGGTTGGCTTGTGGTTTGCACTACTCGTCATATTCTGCCTTCCAGAGGAGGAATGGGCTATGCTCCAGAGTTGCTTTACCCAGCATTGACCAGTCCCATTGGGCCATACAGAAGTGGTCTGCTAAGGCCTCAATCATTCCTTTTGTAAATGTTCTAGCAGATCCATTTTCTTTAATGCTTTTTCTTAGTTCTTTGTAAGTGTGAAAGGAAATGGGTTCATGTACTTGATGACCCTCTCAGTCTTGCCTTACTGCACAGACTAAGAACTCTCCTTCTAATGCCACTTGTTTAAGACAAGTTCCCATAGCTGAAGCATATTTTGTATCATTTTTTCCAATTATAGTACGAGGGGGCTTAGGCAAACCTCCCATTTTATCTTTGTTATTTTGGCCCAGTGATAGTGGGACTGAGGGAAAAGGAGGCGATAAGGCAGGTGATGTTTCTCCCTCCTTCTTTTCATGTTCTTCTGTGTATAATGGGACTAAAGCCATCCTTAGTAAAGCCTGTCATGTTAAAGCTGATGCTGGGACCTGATGCCCCTGTGCATAATATTGTTTAAGATTCATTCCTACTCATTCCCACAGTTCAACATCTAGTGTTCCTTCTTCTGGGAACCATGGATTATATGAGACCACAGTTAATATTAATTTCTTTAATTGAACCTGTGAGATTGAAGCTCTGCTAGTCATAAGCAACTGTTTCAATACTTTTATATACTGTTTCTGCTGTGCTGATAACTTTTGTCCCATAATGAAAATGCAGCTTGAACCAGCTTTCCCCAGAACGTGTTGACCTCGAGTGCAGACCAAGGTCTTACTGATTACTTGCTGATTTGACAGTGTGGTTCCTTTCTTCCCCTTCTTTTTTGGGAGTGCAAGTCTTTGCTATTGTGAATAGTGCTGCGATAAACATACATGTGCATGTGTCTTTATCACAGAATGATTTATAATCCTTTGGTATATGCCCAGTAATGGGGTTGCTGGGTCAAATGGAATTTCCCATTCTAGACACTTGAGGAATCACTACACGGCCTTCCACAGTGGTTGAACTAATTTACACTCCCACTGACAGCATAAAAGCATTCCTATTTTTCTACAATCTCTCCAGGATCTGTTGTTTCCTGACATTTTAATGATTGCCATTCTAACTGGAGTGAGATGGTATCTCATTGTGGTTTTTATTTGCATTTCTCTCATGACGAGTGATGATGAGTATTTTTTCATATTTCTGTTGGCTGCACAAATGTCTTCTTTTGAGTAGTGTCTGTTCATATCCTTTGCCCATTTTTTGATGGGGTTGTTTGTTTTATTCTTGTAAATTTGTTTAAGTTCTTCATAGATTCTGGATATTAGCCCATTGTCAGATGGTTAGATTGCAAAAATTTTCTCCCATTCTGTAGGTTGGCTGTTTACTCTGATGGTAGTTTCTTTTGCTGCGCAGTAGCTCTTTAGTTTAATTAGATCCCATTTGTCAATTTTGTCTTTTGTTGCCGTTGCTTTTTGTGTTTCTACATGAAGTCTTTGCCCATGCCTATGTCATGAATACTACTGCCAAGGTTTTCTTCTAGGATTCTAATGGCCCTAGTGTGTCTGGAATGTATTCCTTCCAGTGGGTTCTTGGTCTCACTGACTTCAAGAATGAAGCTGTGGACCCTCGCAGTGAGTGTTTCTGCCTCTGGTTCTTCTACTAGATGAGTATTTGCCCTCTGGGTCTCCTTGATTAGCGTATGCATGATCTGGTCACCTCGCTGTATCTAGGGATACATAGTTAGCAACAGCCAGTGATTCCAAGGAACCCCCACAACTGTTTTAATGTGTAAGAATAGATTTCACTATTTCTTGCAAACTATCTGATAAATCATTTGAAAGTGTGTGTAGTAGGATAATGTAGGATAATGAAGTAGATAAACTGGGTATTCCAGTTCCTGTAGCAGTAGCCATTCCTAACCCTATACATAGGGTAATTAGTTGTATGGCTCTGTGCTGTTGGACTTGAGGTTTGAGTGGTGCCAATAGGGTCTGATTTCCTCAAGATGAGAAGTTAGGATAATAGACATTATACTGTTAAGTTTTAGCAAATTTTACTGTTGTTGAAAACCTTTTAAGTTTGGGATTTCAATTATTCTTTGCTATTAATAAGACCTCATTCAGTCCATATTAACTTAGAATTGGTATAGATGGCTCCTTCCTGATTCTGTTAAGTACTTTAACATTTGGCTGAGTGCAAACGGCCCACATGTTTCAGCAGACCAATTATTAGGCAATTTTCCTAACTCCGCTTCTACGGGAGTTTCCTTATCACTTACTGAATACCCATTGTGTCTTTTTCCCTTAATTGCCTGGGAGGAACCATCTCTTGTCCTGTCCTGAAGGGAGTTCCTCCTAGGTCTGATCAGACCTTTGTATGGTAATTAATTAAGATTTAGATCCCCTGTTAGGAAAACTGCTGGGTTAAGGATTTTTGATAGGAAGCCTATGGATTGTCAGTGGACTTAGTACTTTTGGGTTATGCCCTTGTTTACACTGATAACAAGATGGTATTGGAGTGTTATAGGGTAATGGAGAAGACCTTCAATTATCAATGATAGGTTTTAAATTTACCCTGGCTTTTAAAGGAATAGGGTCCACTGTTTTTTCTTTACTACTTCCCTTTGTCTCTTTCTTTGACTCCTTTGTCTCTCTCTTTCTCGCTGACTTTCTGTCTCTTTCTCTCTTTCCTTTTTGCTGGTCTTTCTTGCTTCTGCCAGCTGCTTATGCTGCTGTTTTCCCCTCTCCTTCCCCTTTTGATGGCTTCATCAGTGTAAGACTACCACCTCCTTGGGTTTTTGCACTGAATGAAATAACTCCATGATTTCCTTGTGATATTTAATGGGCATTCCTCCAGAGGTTAGAAACTCCCTTTCTTTCCATATTGCAGCATGGGCATGTAAGATTAGATAAGCATACTTACTGTCTGTATACACTTGTATGCTTCTTCCCTCCCAGTTCTAAGGTTTGGCTAAGCACCACTATTTCTGCTAACTGGCCACTTCTCCCTGGGAGAAGAGGCTTACTTTCAAATCCTGTTACATCACTAACTATGGCATAACCTACTCTTTGTATCCCATTCTCCACAAATGAACTTCCATCAGTATATAGGTTAAAGTCAGGAATAGCTAAGGGGACTTCTAAGAGATCCTCTCAGGCAGCATAAATCTGGACTGTAATTTGTTGGCAGTCATGCTCAATTGGTTCCCCATCCTCCGGGAGAAAAGTGGCGGGGTTGAAAGCAACACACGTATGTATCTGAAGCACTGGTCCCTCAAGGACTAGTGGCTGGTATCTAAGTAGGCAGTCGTCTGATAGCCATAAACTTCCTTTGGCACCTAGTATGCCATTTACATCATGAGTAGTCAGAACAGTGAGATCCTCTCCTTGTATTATTTTGATAGCCTCTCACACTAAGCTGTCCACCACCACAACTACCCATAAACAGTGAGGCCAGACTTTTGTTACTATAGCAATTTCCTTACTTAAGTATGCCACTGGTTGTGGGGTTGTCCCACTTGTCTGAGTAAGGACTCCAAGAGCTATTCCTCCTCTCTCTGTGATGTATAAAGATAAGTTTTTTCCCTGTGGGAAGGCTTAAAGCTGTAGCTTGTACTAGGGCCTGCTTTAAGTTTTTGAAGGCTGTTTCTGCCTCTGGTTCTTCTTCTACTAGATGAGTGTTTGCCCTCTGGGTCTCCTTGATTAGCGTATGCATGATCTGGTCACCTCGCTGTATCTGGGGATACATAGTTAGCAACAGCCAGTGATTCCAAGGAACCCCCACAACTGTTTTAATGTCTTAAGGTGAGGATAAGCCGGTATAGGCTGCATTCATTCCTTGCTGAGGGCCCTGGTCCCAATGGCTAAGATTAGGCCTAGATATTTGACCTGCTGTATGCAAAGCTGGTCCTTTGACCTAGACACATTATACCCTTGATTAGCTAGAAAGTTCAAGAGATTTAGAATAGCTGAACTGGTAGCCAAAAGTAATCACATACTGAAGGATCACAGTGCCTGGACTTGAGAAGTTGCCTAGATCTTGGGCCAGTGCCTGACCAAAAGATGAGGGCTATCCCTAAACCGTTGGGGCAAGACCGTCCACGTAAGTTGGGATGTGTGGTCTGTGGGATCCTCAAAGGCAAAGAGAAACTGGGAATGAGAGTGCAGGGCAATACAGAAGAAGGCATCCTTGAGGTCTAAAACAGCGAACAATTCTGCTTCCTCTGGCATTTGAGAGAGCAGGGTATACGGTTTTGGTACAACTGGATATACAGGAATTACTGCCTGATTTATGAGTCTAAGATCTTGCACTATTCTCCACTGATCATTCGGTTTTTGAATGCCTAGAATTGGGGTGTTGCAGGGACTGCTGCCTTTGCTTACTAAGCCTTTTGCTATTAAATGTTTAACAATATCCTGTAATCCTTTATGAGCTTCAAGCCTTAAGGGATATTGCCTTTGATAAGGAAAAGTTATGGGGACTTTTATTCTGATTTGGATTTGGTGGGCATTTTTTTGCCCTTCCAAATTGTCCTTCCAATGCCCAGACTTCAGGGTTGATTCCCTCCTCAAGTAGGGGACAACAAATGGGTACCTTGTTTCCTATATTTATGTAGATAATAGCTCCAGCTTTGGCTAATATACCCCTCCCTAATAAGGGTGTGGGACTTTCAGGCATAATGAGAAAGGTGTGGGAAAAGAGCAAATTCTCCCAATTACAACTGAGGTGGTGGGTGAAATACCTGGTTACATGTTGTCCCAGGATTCCTCAGATGGTAGTGGACCTTGAGGACAGCTGTCCAGGACAGGAGATTGACACTGAGAAAGCCACATCAGTGTCCAGGAGGGAGCCAATTTCCTGGCCATCAATGGTTAAATGTACCTGGGGCTCAGTGAGGATGATGACACGAGCTGGTGCTTGCCCTACATACCCTCAGTCTTGTTGCTGGATTGTCTGCTTGGGGGCTTGTGGCCCAAAGAACCTTTGTCATCTGGGGCAGTGTGCCTTCCAATGATTGCCTCAGCATAGTGGACATGGGCAAGGTGACAGCTTGTTTCTCATTGGACAATCTTTTTTAAAGTGTCCTTGCAAAGCACACAGATAAAAAGCCCTACTTGGTGATTGGCCTGCTCCATTTTCTGTCCCCTCTGAACCACCAAGGTTTGTTTGTCTGAGGGCCAAGACTAAAGCTGTGACCTTTTACTGATCTCACTTTTCCTTTTTGGCCTGTTCCTCTTGGTCCCTATTATAGAACACCAACATTTCCAGGTTTAATAATGCCTCCAGACTTTGTTGAAGGCCTGGGGCTCACTTTTGGGGCTTTCTCCTGATATCTGCTGCTGATTGGGTAATGAACTTATCTTTTAGTATCAATTGACCCTTGAGGGAGATGGGTGACAGGAGAGTATATTTTCTTAAGGCCTCCCATAGCTGCTTGAGGAAGGCAGGAGTATTTTCTTCCTTCCCCTGAGTTATGATGGACATCACTGAATAATTAATGGGATTTTTCCTCATTTTCCTTAGTCCTTCTAGAACACAGGCCAACAGCTGTTTATGACTCCAGTCCCCATGATCTGAGTCTAGATCCCAAGGGGAATCCATACTGGGGATGGCTTGCTGACCAGTAGGGAATTTGTCCCTTTCTTCAGTTGCCATTCTGTCATTTACTTGACCACCTTATTTTCATTAAAGGCCAGGGTTTGATCTAACAATAGCATGACATCTCTCCAAGTGAGATTGAAGGCTTGCCCTAGACCCTGTAGGACATCTTTATATGTATTAGGATCATCTGAAAACTTCCCCAGGTCTGCCTTGATCTGCTTTAAATCAGAGAGGGAGAAGGGGACATGTACCCAGTTTGGGCCAAATTCCCATCCCCTACAGCTTGAAGGGGACATAATTGATAGCCCAGGGGTTTGTGTGGTCCTTTGGGGATTTCTTTGCTTGTTTCCTTGTGGGCAGGGGAGATTAGAGGAGGCTTATCATTAATAGAAGGGGAGCTATAGGGAGGCTAGTATATGGGGGTAAACTGAGAGGTCCTCCTGCAGGATTTAAATTGCAAGCTTTGCATAGTTGTGGATTCTCCTTTAGTGAAAAGAAAGTTTGGACATAAGGTATTTCACTCCATTTGTCTTCCCTCTTACAGAAAAGGTCAAGCTGCCGGATAGTATGGTAATTTATACTTCCCTCAGGTGGCCATTTTTCCCCATCAGAAAGAATTTTGGGGCCAAGCTGTAGTGCAGAAACAATGAGCCACCTCTTTTTCAGGGCTTGTGGGTCAAATTGGTCCCAATGGCTTAGGATGCATTTCAAGGGTGAGCCTGTTGATTCCTGAGTGTTTCATATCTGAAAGACAAAACCACCCGTGGTTTTGGTTTGTTTGTTTCTCCCCCTGCCCAAGAACCCACAATGGTCCCTGGACACTGATGATCACAATAGTTGCTCTTACTGATGCAGTAGTGGAAACAACTCCTGCCCAAGAAACTGCAATGGTCCCTGGACCCTGCTGATCAGAATAGTTGTGCACACTGATGCAGCAGCAGAAACACTAGTTTTCCTCCTAGACCACAAGGAGGACTGAGCAATGTCAGATTTAGTGGCCCTTACTGATGCATTCTCAAAAATCTGCACCCTTGCCTGTCCTAGACCACAAAGAGGACTGAGAAAAATTGGATTTAGTGGCCCATACTGATGCATTATCAAAAACGTGTTAGAGTCCTAAGCATTCTCCTGTTAGTATTAGGACCTTCACATTCTCCTATGAAGATGTTATGCCCCAAAAATGAAGTGGAGAGCCATACCCTGAGGGAAGGAAAGGATCACCAGGGTTGGAAGAGTGACATCTTTTGTCCTCACTTGAATAGGAAGGATAACATTTCTGAGGTTCCTCATATCCTAGCTTCAGGAATAGTTTTTGTTAGGTCTGCTTGTCTGAGGAGGGATCCTTAAATTCCAGATAGTCCCCACTATCATGGGGCTTTCAGCAAAAATTATGTCTTTCGGATTGGTGAGTCCAGGTGCCTAACGAAGGGAATAGAGTCCTAGAGTTTATACTAGAAATCATTCTTATTGAAGAAACTAGAATAGCAAAATAAACAGGGAATGGTTTTTAGAAGCAAGACTAGCCTCAGAGAAGAGAGGGGCAAGGAAGTTTGTCTAACAGACATTAGGACCCAGGAGGCATGGGTCAGGATAGATAGGATAGATGGGCGAGTCTTTCTTGGGCAATGTAACTTTGAGAGTTCCACTCATGACTACAGGGTCAACCAACTTGTTGTTGGACCTCGGAGCTGAATGGCTTTCCCCTCTGTCGACTCTTGGCTCAGCCCAGAAGTACAGAAAAAGTGAAGCTGGTTCCAGGCAAACCAATGCTTCCAACTCCAAAGAGTCAGCAGTTGTTAGAGAGCGCTTTCTCAGAAACTCTGACACCTCTGTCTTTAGTCCAGTGGCCATGCTAGCCACTTTTAAGAGCCCAGTATTTAGCCCCAGAATTCTAAGGAAAAGTAGGATGGAATAGCAGGTGAAAAGGGTCCAATGGCACTCACCACTTAGTAATAGTCAATAATGCCTTCATGGTTGCCAAAATGGGTCTGGAATTTATTCCTTCTGGTGGGTTCTTGGTCATGCTGACTTGAAGAATGAAGCCACGGACCCTCACGGTGAGTGTTACAGCTCTTAAAGATGGTGTGTCCAGCGTTTTTTCCTTCAGATGTTCAGATGTGTCCAAAGTTTCTTCCTTCTGGTTGGTTTGTGGTCTCACTGACTTTGGGAGTGAAGCCACAGACCTTCGCAGTGAGTGTTACAGCTCTTAAAGGTAGTGGGTCTGGAGTCGTTTGTTCCTCCTGGTGGGTTCATGGTCTCACTGACTTCAGGAATGAAGCCACAGATGCTTGTGGGGAGTGTTACAGCTCAAAAAGGTAGTGAGGACTCAAAGAGTGAGCGGCAGCAAGATTTATTGTGAAGAGTGAAAGAACAAAGCTTACACAGCATGGAAGGGGACCCCAGCAGATTACCATTGTTGGCTGAGTGGCCAACCCTTATTTGACCCCCCCCCCCCCCATATCCTGCTGACTGGTCCATTTGACAGAGGGCTGATTGGTCCCTTTTACAGAGTGCTGATTGGTCCCTTTTAAAGAGTGCTGATTGGTGCATTTTACAGATTGCTGACTGGTGCATTTTACAGAGTGCTGACTGATGTGTTTACAATCCTTTAGCTAGACACAGAGTGCTGATTGGTGCATTTACAATCCTTTAGCTAGGCACAAAAGTTCTCCAAGTTCCCACCCTGCCCAGAAGCTCAGCTGGCTTCACCTCTCACTAGGTCTTACATTTAAGTCTTTGATCCATCTTGAATTGATTTTTGTAAATTGTGTAAGTAATGGGTCCGGTTTCAGTTTTCTGCACATGGCTAGCCTGTTTTCCCAACACCGTTTTCGTACTTCTTAAGAGTATATTTAGAAATTCTTTGTCATGATTAAAATTTATTTCTTTTAGAAGGAGAAGAAAGTTAGTAGCATTTTAGATATAATACACACTGAGCTGTTTTCTTTTTTCACAGCTTTTGTCTTTATTCAAAATTTCCATTAGTTTTAAAATTGATAAAACTATACAAATTGTAATAAAAAAAGTTTTCCTACAATTCCAAAGTAGTATTTGCTAAGTAAATTATCCCTTAAAATGTTGCATCAGCTAAACTTAATTTTGTCTAAACTAAAGGCTACAAAAACCTTGGAGGAAAATATTTAGTATCATGTTAATTAAGAGAATTAGTATCACATTTTCAGGTGTCAAACAATTATTACGTTTTTACAAACATGAAAGAAAAAGAAAACAACTATGACTCTTATTTTATCATTACAGTCTGTGATTTTTCTTCCTATTTTTCATTTATTTATATTCATCATGGGATTAGTTGCATGTCTCTACATTTCTCTGTATTCCTCTGAAAGTTTAATATATGGTTCTGTAATTATATATTCATTTTACCTTTGAAAAGGTGAAGAGCATATCATGTTATATTTCCTGTTAATATACCTACCTCAGAATACACATAACTTTTGAACTTATAAAACTTTTGTATTTGCTGAAAAACTAGGTAATGTTAAGCAGTATTTATTTACAAAGTACGTCTAATTTATAATGGGAATAGGATAAGAAAAGATGCTTTCCTTTGGGTTTGACAACATTATGGCCCTAATCGTTACTCATAGAAGACAGACTTTATCTTAGAAGTTGGTATTTGCTAACTAGGGTTCAAAGCATTGTGGTGGTGGCATGCTCCCAGATTACCACTCAAGATGCATTGCCAGCTGATCTACACAGCAGCTTTGATTGTGGTTGTACCCAGCCAGATTCCTGCTGTCCTGGCTGCAAGGTTAGTTTTCTTTTGTTTGTAGTCAGATGGGAAGTGATGCTTGCTTTTCTACTAACCTCTGAACTTTAGAGCTTAATTTTGCCCCAGGAAAGTGGAGAATTTCTTAAATCTGAAGTGTTTCACTTAGCTTTATGAAAGTGAGAAAAAATAAAATAATGAAATAAAATAATTGCTGGTTTCTTGTTCATATTACATCTATTAACTGCTGGATTGAAACTCTTTTTTAAATTTCTTGATGACATCTGAATCAAAGTAACCATGTAAACAAGGTACCCACACCCGGAAACTAAGAAAGAACTTGCATAGAAGAAAGTAAGACAGAGAGAGAAAATATGAAGGTTCTGAGATTACCATGAAATCAGTTCTAATTTCCTTTGCCTGATAGTCAAGTCCCTTCTGCAATTGATTGGAGTTTCATTCTTCTCTCAGGTCTCAGCTCATGCCACATTTTCTCGCTGATCTTCTGCGTCTTGTCTTTACATTACTTTATTTTCACTGGTATTAAGAAAATAATGTAGGGGAAAATAAAATATAGAGTAGATTTTGCAATGAAATATTTTAATTGCAGAATAGTATAGAGAACAATACTAGGATACTAGGATAAAGATTGTGTTTGTAAGCTTATTGAGAAATTTGAATGAATGTCAGTTTCAGAAGAGTTTAGAATTGAAAGTGTTATTAAAAGTATGCTTTCATATCTTGCTTGTGTTTGACATAAAAACACATAATTTTTTTATGTCAGAGAAGGTAGTTTTCATATATTATGCATCAACCTATGGATCTCCAAGTTCCAAATGTGCAGTACATGCTTAATAAACTGTTGAACAGAATGAGGAATGAGTAATATTAACTGTACTCTTTAGAAAATTGGCATACTAAAGTTCATACTAAAACATGAATGCATTCAAGTTTTTCAAGTAATTAATTTCAAATGATCCCATTCATCTTAGACAAAAAAACTTAATTAGTTCAGTAATAAAATTAATGGTGATAGCATATTATTTTACTAAATTTATGCTTTAGAATGTATTAATAGTTTCTGTCCAAGTTTATCCTTATGAAAACCATAGTAGTAAATGCATTCTTATGTGCAGTTTTTTTTATGAGGTTCCAAAGAGAGGATATATTAATAGCACACATTATAAACATTAGCCTACTGAATTATTAAAAATTAAATAAAGAAGCACTAAGACAAGTATTAAAATTGTATAAACAATTATTAGTTATCTTTCATTAGTTAGCAACAGCATCGATAAGTTAACCAGCAGCATTTTTACCAGGTCAGAGGGTGGTTGAGTACTCACTGGGATTTATTATGTGAAACAATGCCTAAATAAACCTCAAGAAAATGTACAGATTTTATGTACACAAAAGATAGTAGGTAACCTACTTAGAGATTCTTTGAAATTTCTACTTGTATGGGCCCTTTCACCCTATTAGAATATGGGGCAGGTCAAGTTCTCCTGGGATGTTGTGGGAATAGTCTTTTTTGCAGATTGGTTCATGTTTTTAGAATTTTTATTTTTCTCAGGCCACTACTATGGCTCAGTCATTATGTTTTCTCTGGAGTGGTTGGTCTGGGGCAGATGTTCCCAACCTTTCTGGCGGCAGGGACTGGTTTCATGGAAGACAATTTTTCCACAGATCATGAGTGGAGAGGTGATGCTTGCAGGATGATTCAAGGACATTACATTTATTTTGTCCTGTATTTCTATTATTAAAACGTTGTAACATGTAATTAAATAATTATATAACTCACCATAATGTAGAATCTATGGGAGGCCTGAACTTGTTTTCCATCCTGGGGTGATGGCAGACAGTGACAGATCACCAGGCATTAGATAATCATAAGGAGTGCACAACTTAAACCCCTTGCATGGGCAGTTCACCATGGCATACAAAAATCTAATGCCACTTCTGATCTGACAAGAGGTGGAGCTAAGGTGGTAATGCAAGCGATGAGGAGTGGCTGTAAATACAGATGAAGCTTTGCTGACCTGCCAGCCACTCACCTCTTGCTATACAGCCTTTCCTAACAGGCCATGCACTGGTACCCTGGTCTGGGGTAACCGAGTCAATGTTTAGAATCATCAAAGTCTTTAACGTGGTTAGCATATCTAGAACAAACAGTGTGTCCAGATAAAAAGGGGCTACCTATGGGGAGTGATTAGTCACTGCTGTAAAGTTAGTCTATTAAGGTTGATTTGATGTGTCTTACGGTTTTTATCAAGACAGTGCTTGCTGAATAAATATGCAATAAATGATAACCATATATTCAAAATTAGTGTTTCCCCCAGGTTCCACCTGGGTTTGTTTTCATGTGATCACTTCATTTCTTCATGGAGTAGTCATAAGAATACTCAGTTGAATGCTCAGTTGAACCTTGGGGGAAACATACATCACTGTTTATAAAGCAAAACGTAACTGAAGTAAATTGTTTGTTTTGTGTCTCTTGGCTCTGCTAAAGTCCCCAGAATAATTGCAGTTTAAAACGTTGTCATAGACAGTATATATTTGAATCTATGCATATTTATGAACTATGAAAATGACTGCCATATTAATAACAACAGTAATATAAAACAGTTTCTGGGCACTTGCTGGAAATCAAATGTCAAAGGTAGAATCAGAGACCAAGTCATTTAGAAAAGAAAATAAATTCATTTGCAGAAAACTATTAATTGGAGTACAGGTTTTAACAGAACTTGCTCTAAAATTTTAAAAAATATGACTAGATATTTAATTTATCAAATTTGTAACATTCATGATGGACAATTAATAACTTCTTTGAATTATTGTCAAATCAGATTATATTTTTCCATTTCTATATATCAACATTTCAAAGGCCAGGATAGTTTTCAGTAACTTACAGAAAAGCTCAGGGTTTTATTTAATTTTTGGATTAGAACTAGACAGAATGAGTCTGTTTTTGTTGTTGTTGTTGTTGTTGTTGTCATTGTGGTTTACCTTAGGGAAAATGAAGCATTTAAAATGTTTTTTCCTTGTGTGGAATATGATGTAAACCTTATTCCTTTAATGGAGCAGGGTAAAGTGATACAGTATTTCCTTATAGACATTGTGCTAGGCACTCGATTCACTTATCTCTAATACCAAGACCATGATGGTCACAGGGCACTATTTACTCAATGAATTTTACAGTTACACTAGAGGTGGAGTTTAACTTGTATTAGTAACACATTAGGCTTAGTAAATAATTTAGTGAGCCCCTTGAGAATGATCTAAGATATGTGCACCTAATTTTACCAAATGTATGATCAATATTATTTCCTGTTAGAGACTCATGATGAGGTTACAGAGAAATTAAAAACTAATTAAACATATAGAACCAAAATTTTCATTCCCTAGTTCAAACTCACAAGTAAATTTTGCTTTCTTTAAGATGCAGAAATAATTACTTGTTTTTGAAGAATCTCTGTCTCTCTCTCTCTGTCTCTCTCTCTCTGTTTTCCTCTCTCTGTTTATCTGCTTTTCTCTCTCTCTCTCCCTGTTTCTCTCTCTCTGTTCTGTCTCTCTTTGTTTATCTGCTTCTCTCTCTCTCTCTCTCTATCTCTCTCTCTCCCACTTCATGTTATATGATAGCAAAAGGATGAGGCAAGAATAGATGTTCTCTAAAGACAGATATTGCCTGTTTGAAAAGCTAAGGACTGATTTTTTTTAAACAAAGCCAAATATAGCATCAGTGATGAGGACATCTTATTTTTGTTATTACTGCTGTTTCATTCAAGAAACTCAAAACTAGGACAAGATTTATTCACACATATACAGGTAAGAACAGCTTAACCACAATAAAGGGATGTCTACATTGATTTGGGTGAAAATTGCAGGACCCCATTTACATGGGAATATGGTATTTTAAAATAAAAAAGCTGAAGTTATAAGCATTCCAATTCACATTGTGAATTGTCTTTTTATATAAAATGAGATAATGTAAGTAAGACCCTTCTGTTTTAATTGTTATTGCTATTGAGGTTATCATCCCTATTCTTGTTAATGTTACTTACTTTTAATTTTCTGTTTTAATTGTTATTGCTACTGAGGTTATCATCACTGCTCTTGTTAATATTGCTTTTAATTTTCCTGTATAGGCCTTAGTCTAACACTTTCTGTACCAAATGCTTGTTTGGCAAAACTATTTTTTTTAGGTAAAGAGTGTAAAAGTTAGTGTATCAATAATGCTGCCTAATTACCCATACCAAAACTTGTGGCATTTTACAGTAAGCATGTACTTTTTGCCCTTGTAATTGAAGATAAAGAGGGATTTTTTTACTCTTCTAAGCTTAGTTGGACTTGATTTTGTCTCGGTCTACTCTAATGTGTTCTCTTTAAGCCTGCAGTTAAGTTATTTTCTCCTTATAAAGAAAAGCAGGAAGGCAAGAGTGTAAGTTCAGTTGCCAAATACATTTCAAGACCTTCCTTGTTTCCCATGTCTGAGCATCCCATTGGCCCCTAACAGGAAACAAGCAAAAGGAAAGCACAATTCTGCCATGGAAAGTATGAATATGTGCTAAACAACAGGACTATTAATTTTAAATAATAAGCTGTTAGGTGTTTTTTATTCTGTGAACAATTAGATTGCAATTGACTTGTACATGTTACCTTTCTACTAGAAATCCATACCTAGAAAGTTTTAACCCTTGCTCCTGATTTAGAGATGTTCAGTTGTCAGATCTTTTCCTCACTTCCACTGGCTGTATTCCTCCCCTCTTCTAACCACCCTCCTACTTATTTTGGAATCAAAGTGAATTATGTCTTGCCTGGCAGTCTTTATTAATATTGGATCCTGCAGTTATAAAGATTGTTATGTATCTTTATAGTTCTTTTGGCATTATTACTATGGGAAAATGTATACCTTTTGCAAAATATCTAATTTGAAATAATTTTGTAACATAATCCATTTTATGAGAAGAAATTCCTTCTCTCAAACACACACACACTTATTCTCCATGACAAATTTATTATAATTCAAATAAACATGAAATATTAAATTTAATTTATATGGTTAGTAGAGATTGTTTTTTGTTAAATACAAGGTAAGTTGATATGTTAAGATTTTTTTCTCATTTTATCACAAAATTGCCAAACACATGTGCTAAAGCATTAATACACAGTATCATACATATGAGATTCCATATGACAAATTTTGACATTAATTCATCTTTTGATCCAAAAACTTCTTCCTACTTTACTAAAGATACACATTGGAACTTTATCCATTCTGCATCTTTTTAAGGCTCCTTTTAATAATGAACTTAAAAATTAAACTTTAATATTAATATCATTGCTGGCATAGTCTCATTTTTATAAATAGGGGTTCTGTTCTTTAAATGATGATGTATAATACACAGGCAACAGGATATCCTGGAGTTTTTATATTTTATTTTATATATATATATATATATATATATATATATATATATATATATATATATATATATATATATATTATATATATTTTTGAGACAGAGTCTCACTGTTACCCAGGCAGGAGTGCAGTGGCATGATCCCGGCTCACTGCAATCTCCAACTTTGGGTTCAAGTGATTCCTCTTTCTCAGCCTCCTGAGTATGTGGAAAAAAGGCATTCACTACCATGCCTGGCTAATTTTTTCATTTGTAGTAGAGTTGGGGTTTCGCCATATTACCTAGGCTGGTCTTGAACTCCTGACTTCAAGTGATCGATCCAACTCAGCCTCACAAAGTGCTGGGATTACAGATGTGAGCCATTGCACTTGGCGTTTTGCTAATTTTGTTTCTATCTTATGCATAATTGCTTGCAGTGAAAGAGACAGGAATTCATCAACACATCATAGACATATACAACTAAATTTCTGAGAGGAATATATTTCCAAGATCAAGTAAGTTACCTTGGAAAATTACTAACAAAGGCCTTACTCAAGAGGATTGCAGAAACTGAACTATGCTCAGCGGGATTAGTATCATAATGTGGTAAAGGCACTGAATAACTTTATATGATTAATGTTTTGTTGCGGTTGCCGGTCAGCTCTCATTGCTTAAACCACATACAGCACCCGTCTCAAACTTGAATGGCAGTGAGGCAGTCAGAATTTGGAGGAAGGCCCAGCAAGAACAATCAGGGCATAAGGAGAGCATCCTGGATTTGCCTATGGTGCCTTATGATCTTTCACAAGGTAACTGTGAAATGATCAGTGTAGACAGCATATCTTCTGTCATAAATTAGATATTTCAACCAAACTTATTACCTTAAATATATCTGTCCTTACTCTAAATTGTTAAATCCACTGCATTCAAGATTTAAAATTGAATCCAAAGACCCTTTAATGTTGCAAAGAAATACGAAGTTACCTTAAGTTAAAATTGTTTAGGGATATTGAAATAGCTACAGTCTGGCACAGTGGCTCACGCCTGTAATCCCAGCACTCTGGGAGGCTGAGGTGGGTGGATCACGAGGTCAGGAGATTGAGACCATTCTGGCTATGGTGAAACCCTATCTCTACTAAAAATACAAAAAATTAGCCAGGCATGGTGGCAGGCACCTGTATTCCCAGCTACTCAGGAAGCTGAGGAAGAGAATGGCGTGAACCTGGGAGACAGATCTTGCAGAGAGCTGAGATTGCACCATGGCACTCCAGCCTGGGTGACAGAGTGCAAGACCCCATAGCAAAAGAAAAAAAAAGCAGAAAGGAAGAAAAAGAAAGAAAGAAAGAAAGAAAGAAAGAAAGAAAGAAAGAAAGAAAGAAAGAAAGAAAGAAAGAAAGAAAGAGAAAGAAAGAGGAAGGAAGGAAGAAAGAAAGAAAGAGACAGAAAGAAAGAAAGAAAGAAAAAAGAAAGAAAGAAGGAAAGAAAGAAAGGGAAGAAAGAAAGAGAAAGAAAGAACAAACATGTCCCAAAATTCTTCTTAATGTCGACATAAATAATGACATCTCAGGAGTATACTTTAATGTGTGCTTCAATAATGATCTCTCCATTAGAAGCCTCTAGGAGAGAAGGAATCATTGAGTTTCAATCATACAAATATTTCCAGAGACAGACTTACATTTGCTTTGAAAAGTGTGCTCTTGTATGGTTTCATTGGAGGTAATAAATATCTGACAGTAGAGAACAAATTTTGTAATTCCTAAATACCTGACTAGTAGTATCATTTTTATATATAAGAGATTTATTTTCATTCATCATGGATTATTCATGCACCTACCTTAATTGTAATTACCAACCCAGCATAGTTAAAATCATACTGTATCTAAAAATATAAACACTGTCCTACTGAAGGTGCACATACAATCATTCTGAGATTGGGTTGCCACCTTTTCCTCTGAAACAACAAAGAGGCTCTGAATGTTATTCTGCCTTCAGCATATGCACTTGCTAGTTTCTGTTACCATTGTTAAAAATAGACTCTTGACAATCTTTTTTTTAAACTTTCAATCCTACAAAGCTTATTAGTTTTACTTTACACAACCATCCAGTACACACTGCTACTAAATAGATGATTTGTCACCAAATAATGGAATCTGTAATTTGTAGGAAGAACAGAAACTTAGGCTCCAGGAATCCCAAAGTAGAAATCCTCCTAGGAGGTATTGTAATTTGGAGCTCTGCCATAGTTTATTAGTGATGCAGAGATCCATAAAACTTTGTGGCAGGTACTGCATCTGTGACATCGCATCTAGCAATAACAAGGGATACTCAAGATACATACTAGTTTCACTTATTTCACATTTATACCCATGAATCTGTGACACAACTCTTCAAAATGCTGCGGATCAGCTACCCACAAGACAGGGAGAATAAGATATGACTGGATACTGTGTTCCAGACATTATGGATTTAATCCTCAAACACCTCCAGATGAATACAGTTGGAATACTGGCTACCCACTTCTCGGTAAAATAAAACGCATTGTAAACCTTAACTTTTTGGTTAAATTGTAAGTATAGTATTAGCCATTATTGCTTATGCTATCTTTTAACCTCATTTCAATGAAGAGAATAATGGATGATATACAGATCAACACGCTCCTGCCTTTTAAGTAAAATTATAAAGGATGATGTATTGCATGTTCTTGGAGAAGCAAATTAATTTTCACAACTTTTCTGGGTTTCTCATTGCCAACTAATCACTTCTTGTTAAGAAATAGAAGACAGTTCTGCTGAATTAAAAAATGATGTATGAATTGATCTCATTATTTGTCTTCTGTTTTAACTGAGACCTTAATTGAGGATATTCAAGATATGCATTGTCTGGTTTTGTTTTGTTTTGTTTTTGTTTTGTTTTGTTCTGTTTAAGTAGGCACTATGGAGCCAGAAAAAGGTGCCTTGCTGCTCAGTTAAAGTTAATGGAGGCTATACTGGTCTTACTGAAGATCCAGAGGGCACATGGGCCAGGAAGGCAGGACCATGGTCATGAGCAATTAAAGTGTTCCCATTGGGGTGCCTTAATAACAGCCGAGGCATTAGAGGGATTCCCTCTAGAGTCGTCAGCTTTGACTTTTTTTAAGTCTTTTTTTTTCCTTGTTGACATATAGAAAGACACAAAGCTAGGGAAGCAATAATTCTGCTCTGGTTACTGTAGGTGCTGGTGTAAAATCCCCAGTCTCGAAAGCCACTTGTAAACACAGGACCCATCTGACTAAAGAATGTTCCTTTTGGGAAATATGCTGTATTATCAAAAGGAGGAATTTCATGAACTGATAGTATAGTTTAAGCTCAGGTTACTGGTTCTTCCAAAGTTCAATTATAGATTGAAGTGATGATGATTTGTTTTATTCCAACTCATTGAAGGTCCAGTTATTCCCTTCTACCGCCCCCAAAAATGTATTCTAAAAAGTGAAACAAAGTGATGGTACTCTTTTGGAAGAGTCCATCCCCACATCTCTGCCCATCCCACAAGATTTATTTTGACAAAAAATAGTTCTAGTGGTACTTCACTGATGACAATCAATGTATTGAGCTGTAATTTTGTAAAGATTTATGAAGTTCTGATTAGATCCATCACTGCAGTTAGAAAAGCAGTCTCATCTACATTGTTGAAAAAGAAAGTTCTTGCTAGCAATGGGAAGTGGCTGGCAGGGTCCAACTGGAAAAGCATTCAGAAGACAAGAAGGTGAATTAGCGAAGTGGAAAGAGATGTTGAATGAAAATGTATGCAAATTTTTGATGACAAACTGTGTGTAAATCATAGGTTATGTATAATTCTAAAGACAGACGATTGATGGCCCTACATCAAGCTTAGTGCCAGAGTAAAACAAAAGGAGATGCGTGCCACTGGGTCTTTCCTAAAATACAAAGTTCCAAAAGAAATAAATAAATAAACATAGAAATAATAAACCGAGGGACTGACAGTGAATAAGAGACTGACGGTCAATAAGACTCTCTGGAACTCACTGAAGAAATAAAGGCATAAACAGAAAAAATGAACCATGTTTAAAAAGCTGCAGGAACATGACCAGGTCATGCCATACGGTGCAAGCTGGGTTTGACTGGTTCAGTTGAAGCCAGAACCTACAAATAATGTATGGATAACAGAGATCCACTTCCATTTACACTTTCTACATGGCACAAATTTTGGCTTTCTTATTTAGTGAAATAATACGTAACAGAGTTCATGCTGATGATAAGCTTTATGTTTAGCTTTTTGTGGCCTCTTCCTTCCTCCCTCCCTCCCTTCCTCCCTCCCTCCCTCCCTTCCTTCCTTCCTCCCTCCCTTCCTTCCTTCTTTCCCTCCTTCCCTCCTTCCCTCCTTCTTTCCTCATTTTAAATTAGAAGTCCAATTGAACCATGCCTTGTGCTTTTTTTGACCTAATGTACAGGCATTAAAATGTTACTGAATAGACCGTAATGTCAGTTGGCCAAGGAAAAGCAGTGAATAATTCAACCTGATTTAGTTGTCTTTGATTTGAAACTTAAGTCCATGAAATGGTATCATCTCCAGCACCCTGAGTACGAGTAGTACCACCACAGAAATAGGTGATAATCAGTTTATTTAACAACTCAATTTTGAAGCCTTCAATAACTTAGTTGATATAAAGACCATGAAGTTTCCCAATAAAATGAGCTAAGACTAAGATCAAGCAGAGGTAAGGCAGTGATAATTTTGAATTGGTAAAGATGATGTTATGTTATTCATTTTCTCTGAGAAAATGACATGGAGCAAGATTTGAGACCATCAAAAAACAAACAAAAAAAGGTACTTTATTGAATTTAAAAGAAGTTTGATGACTTCAAATTTATTTAAAGATATTTTAAAATCTATGCCTGATTTCACAAAATTAAATTGTTTTATAATAAAATAAACTTGTTTTGAGTTTTAAAGTCACACAACCATACCCACACATTATTTTTGTTAATTAATGGAAAAGAACACAAATTCTACCTATTGACGTAGTGGCAAAGTAATAAAAAGGAACTCAAATATTTCTACACACACACACATGCATTCTAAGTGACATAGAGGGTTACTTCTATGTAGATTGCATAAAAATATTTTAATCTTGTGTCTTGTTTTTCTCTTTAAAAATAAAGAATAAGCACAGGTAGAATAAGAACTAAACAAAATGAAATGAAATTTTTTTTTTTTTTTTTTTTTTTTTTTTTTTTTTTTTTTTTTTGAGACGGAGTCTCGCTCTGTCGCCCAGGCCGGACTGTGGACTGCAGTGGCGCAATCTCGGCTCACTGCAAGCTCCGCTTCCTGGGTTCACGCCATTCTCCTGCCTCAGCCTCCCGAGTAGCTGGGACTACAGGCGCCCGCCACCGCGCCCGGCTAATTTTTTGTATTTTTTTAGTAGAGACGGGGTTTCACCTTGTTAGCCAGGATGGTCTCGATCTCCTGACCTCATGATCCACCCGCCTCGGCCTCCCAAAGTGCTGGGATTACAGGCGTGAGCCACCGCGCCCGGCCATGAAATTTTTTTTAACAGAAGTAGAGAATAAGTCTGGATGATGACACTGGAAAATCTACGAGGGCTAAACTTAAATGAATATACATAAGATACTGAGAGATATGTCTTAAAGCAGTATTTGCAATGTAAGCACACTGTTTTCACTTACTTTATATGTGATACATTGGGCCAGAAGTGCGAAGAGGGCCACTGGTTGTCCCTGCAAGCCACTGCATTCGGGCGAGGGCTCTGTTTAACAGTGAACACTTTTATACAGCTATTTCTAAGTATTATAGCATGGAAAAAATCTATTGCAAATGGAAGTAACCCGGAAGTAAGCACACTATTATAACAGAAGTTACAGTCTAAGCAATGCTGAAGTAATGCACTATTCAATAATATCCTAAGAAAAAAATTGAAGGCAAGTGGGCTAAACACATTTGTTAATGACATATAAAAATAAATCTTTATGTCACAGTGTACACAAGAGTAAATGGATGATGACTTTAAAAATACATGTAAAAACCAAACTGCCAAATTGCTAGGAGAAAATATTAGAGAATAATTTATAGTATCAGAAAAATACCGTTGATAAGGTTTAAAAAGCTTTAATAAAAATAAAAATTTTAGAAGTTGTGGTGGCTTAGGCCTGTAATCCCAGGACTTTGAGAGGCCAATGTGGGCGGATCACGAGGTCAAGAGATTGAGACCATACAGGCCAACCTGGTGAAACCTGTCTCTACTAAAAACACAAAAGTTAGCCAGGCATGATGTTGGGTGCCTGTAGTCCCAGCTACTCAGGAGGCTGAGGCAGGAGAATCAAATCTCTTGAAGATGGGAAGTGGAGGTTGCAGTGAGCAGAGATCACGCCTCTGCACTCCAGCCTGGTGACAGAGCAAGAATCTGTCTCAAAAAAAATTTTTTAAAAATGTAATAATAGTAGTAAAAATAAAAATTTTTAAAGAACACATAATAAAATAAAAATCTTTTTGACATAAGACATCATGAAAAAATAAGTTAGTCATTTGACTGACTGAAGAGAGCTGTAGCACAAAGCGTTAGTATAAAATAAAATAACACATGTAAATCTGTCAGATAAAGGGCAAAATATAGAAAAAGAGTGAAGCATATGAGCAGGCACTTCACAGAGGAAAAAAAGCTGAATATTCAGCCGGGCGTGGTGGCTCATGCCTGTCATCCCAGATCTTTGGGAGGCCGAGGTGGGCGGATCACGAGGTCAGGAGATCAAGACCATGCTGGCTAACACGGTGAAACCTAGTCTCTACAAAAAAAAAAAAAAAAAAAAAAAAAAAAAAAAAAAAAAAAAAATGGGCTTGGCGGCAGGAGCCTGTAATCCCAACTACTCGGGAGGCTGAGGCAGGAGAATGGCATGAATCCAGGAGGCGGAGCTTGCAGTGAGCCGAGATCGTGCCACTGCTCTCCAGCCTGGGCTACAGAGCAAGACTCAGTCTCAAAAAAAAGAGCTGAATATTCAACAAACACATGAAAAGAAAATTAAAACCACTATAAAAGGCCATTTTCTATCCACGATACTGACTAAAATTGAAAAGTCAAATATGATCAAGTGTTGACAAGGCTATAGGGAAGCAGGAACCTTAGTACTTAATACACTGTTACGGTAACTTCAGAGAGTTCTTTAGTTATGCTTGGTAGATTTGAAGACAGGCACACCAAATTGCCAGGAACTTTTATTTTTTGATATACACTATAAAAACACTTCTATATGTTTATTAAAAAAACAGGACAAAATGTTTTGGGGTTAAGAAGAAATTGTGGAAAGATATCAACTCTCCTTCAATGGAGAGTATGTGTAAAAAATGGCTTTTCTTTCACATAATGAAATGTAATACAGTGGTTAAAACGAATGAAATAGAACTGTCAGTATAAACATTTGCAATTTCAAAACTATAATAACAAATTTGAAAACTAAATTGCAAAGGGATACATTTGGTATGAAATATTTATATACTCTTTAAATGCCTCCAAAGCAATAGCATATGCATATATATATATAAATATATAGATATATATATATGGATAAATATTTACTCTATAATACATGTATGTGGGAGAATTACACATAAAATTCAGGATAATGATTACCTGTGGAAAGAAAGAAGGAAGAAAGGATGGGAGGTGTTGTACAGCCTTCAACACTCTCATAATATTTATTTACTTTTCCAACTCCTAAGAGAGATTAACTGATATGGGAAAATGTTAACATTTAATTACTGGATTATATTCAATAAAGGCATACCTTACTTAGTATGCAACAGTCACTGTTGTACATGCTTTACAAATATTACTTGATTTAATTTTAATGGTAAAGTGTATGAGATAGTATTATTATAACACTTATTTCCTAGATCAAAAGACTAAGGCAAAGAAAGTTTCAATGGCTTGCACAAATTCACATAGAGCTAGATTTGAAGCTAGGTATGTCTATTGTCTATTGATATGGTGCCCTTTCTTGAATGGCTCATTTCTTCAACATCTGTAGTACATGTAAAAGATATTTACAATATATTTTTTCAGAGTTTGGGATTACCTGAAAATTATCATATTAATATCAAACACTTAAAAATCAAGGAAATGCTGCTTGCCACTATTAGGTGACAAAAGGAACATATATATGCAGAAAGCCAGCTGCTAGAAGTAAGTCCCAACATAACAATAATTATTGATAGAGCAGGAGCAGTGGCATCTCGGACAAACCACCACTTTTAAATTCCATCTCCTTTTCTGGCCATATATATTTCAAGGAAATCACTTCTCTTCTGACTACAAGTGGCTCAAAAGAGCAGGCAGTAAAACACAAATGAGACAACTCAGCACAGAGGGAGATGAAGGGAAAGTCCCTTGAGTAACTGCCAAACTTCCCCTCATACAATGGACCCCAGTAAAACAGTGGTCCTTATTAAGCACATTCCTTTCCCTTCAGGTGCTCTATGTTAGGGAAGCTAAAAGCAGACTGGGGGGACAAGCATGCAGCTGCAGAAAGATGTATGGGAAGACACAAAACTCTCCCTCCCAGACAAGCACAGCAAAGAAACACAGAAGCAGTCCAAGCCTCTGATAAACTCTCCCACCCTGAATCCTTAAGAACTCTTAGTCTCTAAGAAAGTGTGCCTCTGACCTAACTCAGCCAGAAGGTGCCCTCTCAGGTTTGTTTTCTCTAAAATAAATCTGTCATTACTGGTGAGCCACTTTTTGTGTTTCTTTCCTCTCTCTTTATTTCTTACAATCATAATAAATGTAAATGATCTAAACTCATTCATTAAATATAAGCTAAATAATACTTAACAAGAGAGAAGCCTAATGCATCAAACAAATGGGGACTGAAAATAAAAGGATAGAAAGAAATAAACTAGGTAAATACTAATCAATAGAAAGATGATATCTTTATATTAATTTTATAAAAAGTGAGCTTTAATACAAGAAAATACATATTTTTAAGGATAGAGAAGGCCGTTTCCTCATGGAAGTCTTTCTTCAACAAGAAGTTACTTAAAATGTGTGTGCACCTAATAAAATAAGCACACGTATATGCTCAAAAAGGATTACATTTCAGGGATATGTATTTTTTAATCCACCCATATGGTTATTTTATGTGTCAGTTTGGGCCACTATGTGCCCAGATGTGTGGTCAAGCATTATTCTGTTGTGTCTGAGAGGGTGTTTCTGGATGAGATTAACCTTTTCATTAATGAATAAGAAAGATATAAGATTTGAGTGGAACAAAAAGGATAAAATATAAGGGTATACTTCCTTCCTGACTGTATTTGAGCTAGGGCTTTGAATTTTTCTGCCTTTAGATTCAAACTAAAACCTTGGCTCTTCCCAGATCTCAAGGTTACCAGCCTTCAAACTGGAAACACACCATTGGCCACCCTGGGTCTCTGGCCTTTGGACTCAGACTATAACTATACTATCAATCCTCCTGGGTGTCCAAAATGCCAACTGTATTAGAACTTGCCAGCCTTCATAACTGCAGGAACCAACTATTTATAATCGATTTCTTTCTCCATATATTTGTGTGTATATATACATACACACACATAAATATATGTGCACATACACATATGCACATATAAACACCGTGTATATATGTGCAAATATACACATGCATGTGTGTATATATATATGTATATATGTGTGTGTGTGTGTGTATATATATATTTGTGGGTATAGGTGTGTATACACATACATATATGCATCGTATTTATTTCCAGTACTGTGGCAAATCCATAATATTACAACACCCAAAATGGGTGACTTCAATAAAAATTTCTTGGAGATTGATATGTCAGGTTTATAAAAAATATTAAAAACAAGTTTTGAAAAATTAAACATTCTAATAGATATATATCAATTTCTAATTACTATAATTAGAGAGAAACAATATTCTCAAACACAAATGAAACTTCATTATTACCATTTTACATTTGGTCACATGATAGTATGTAAGCAAATCTTAACAAATGTCAAATAATCAGTGTCATAAATGCCACAAGTTCTTTGACCTCAGGCAATTAGGTTGAAGTCGTCTACAAATGATTTGTTTCAGTCACCATTTATTGGAAAAATGAAAAAAACACAAGAAAGCAATTCTAATGAATCTTTTGGATCTATACATCAAACAAAAATAAAAATATTCAAATATACTCACATATGTATAGAAAGATGTCTGTGTAAGATCTTGTTGTTGTTGTTGTAGCAAAAGCCTTGGAATGACAGAACTGTTCATCATGAAATAAAGAACTTCTTTATTACAGTATATTGCCTCCAGAAAACGGTATGCAATAGCCTTAGTGCTATTAAAGAGAACATATTTGCTCTTTGTTGATAAAGTAGTATTAGGATAAATAAGGTAGGTACGGAACAGCACATAGAGTATACACTCATTTTAACTTAAAAATTATATGTTTTGATATATATTTCTGAGAAATTGAACAAACTTCTCTTAGGGATAACTTCAGAATGGAGAATTATACATCTGGGCTTACGTACTCTGTGGTGTTGTCTAATTTTTTTTTCTTTCATATCCTTTATGCATTTACAACTTAAAAATACTAGTTAAAATGTAGAATGAATCAGAGAATCCTAGCCTAAAAATATGTCTTCTGAAATGTTGTCAAATGGCTTTCAGATCCTTTCACAAGTGACTTTTTTCCTTTGGTTTTAGCAGTGGCATGTGCATTGGGATATTCTTCAATAGAATCCATCCTCATGAAAGTATACCACATGATGTCATCAGTAAATTAATGTAAAAAGGAGAATTGGATTTTCAAACCATAATTCTCTGGACTAAAGACACTGGGTGCCAGGAAAAGGAAAGGAGAAACCTGGAAAGAAGAAGGTGAGCCAAAGACGCTGATACTTCCTCAGTCACGATTTTGGTCTGACAACAAAATTTCAGGTTGAGATGTCACCGAATGATCTTAAAACTCTTGAAAGATTTCTTGCAGTCCTTATTTCTACAGATAAGAGTATCAAGATCTGCAATATTCTTCATTGTAAGACCTGGTCTGAAGGGAAAAAATGATCGAGATTCTGGGGAAAGTGAATAGAGAACTCTGATGAAAGCAATGGTTAACATAGGCCTCAAACTTAAAAGCGTCAAATTTACATAAACATACTTTTTTTTAAGCCAGCGTAATTTTAATTTTATTGTAGTCGTCACCTGCAGAGACTGTTTATGTTGGAGAAGTGATTACAGAAATCTGAAAAATCTGATGAGAATACTTAAATTTAGCACACTCCAGAAGCCCAGATCTGAAAAGCAAAGGTGGTTCTAATATAAAAGCACAAATTCTGCCTTTCTGCTCTACTGGGCAGTGAAATATTGCCCATATGAAAAACAAATGGAGCGTTAAATGAAAAGTGATGGGATTAAGAGGAGTCATTGCTTAGTGAGTTAAAATGACACACAAATAAATTGAGAAGAAAAGAAACACAGTGATAGAAAATATACTATTGATTTAATTCAGAATAATTTTTTTTGTCTATTACCATTAAATAGTACCATTACAATAATATGATTTTGTATATTGACTTCTAACATGTAAGTGGATTTATTTTGTATATTTGGAAACCTGATCAAGGTTCTTTAGACATTTTATTTTTTCCCAAATTTCCTAGCTAATAGCTAGCTAAATGCTAGTTGCCTGAATGCCTCTCACTAAGTTGTTTGTCTTTTCCTGTTACTTTTAATATGAATTTGTTGTGTATTTTGTTGGCATCTTTACTAAATCTACAGGTGTTGAAGTTGTTCAGATCTCAGTCATGGATCCTCTTGCGTTTTCTCAAGGCTAAAACACCCTTTCTATGCTGACCATTAAGAAATTCCCAACTTCAGGCCAGATCTTTGTTCTACCTTCAGACTTGGCATATCCAACTGCATGTCTTACATCTCCACATACCAAAACCAGCCCTTCATTTCATGCCCAAAACATGTTTCCTCCTACGATATTCCACTATTTCAGAAATTCACAGCACAAAATACCCTGTATTTCAAGCTAGAAATGTAGAGGATGATCCTTGAGGCAGCCTTTTCTCAATGACTCTTCATCATTTACATCCAACTTTTCACAGGTTGTGTGTCCTCTCCGAGAATTACATAGTCTTAGTAAATAAAGAGTGGCCCACAAGTAACCTTCAATCGTCCAGTTTTTTTTTTTTTTCAATTCACGCCAGTTTCTCTACAGAACAGCTGGAGCTCTGCAATGTCAATGTTGGCGTAAGTACCATTCTCTGCCAGTATCACTATTTTCTTTGTCAAGAGATAAATATTCCTGTAAAATGTTCACACAAAGCTATACTAAGTAACAAAGTTAAATGATGCTCTTGTTTTACAGAAAAGTACAAGGTAAACAGAATAATTTGTTATTATATGATCTTTATAACTACACACACAGGTAATAGATATTTTGGACCCCACTTCATACATCTGAAATTTGGGTCTCAAAATAATTATCTTATCTTAAAGTCTAATGTCAGATTACAGAACTGCCTCTTTCCACAATATTGTGCTATCTCCGTTTAAGAACCAGCTGGTGAATCATTAGGAACAAAAAATGTCCTTTTCTTGAACATCTCCAAGGTGAGCCAAAAATCTAAATTTTCTGTGGAGATGTTGTCATGGGCAATTTCACCAAGACTTTTACAAATTTAACCACAGTTATGCCTCAGTGGCCTACCTGTTTATTCAATACCTGCACACCTGCTTTAACACAGAAAAATTTGGAAGTTAATACAAGTATTAACTCTTATCATTATAGACGCTGACATCTGAAGACGCTTTCTAATATTCCATGAATATGTGAAATTCAAAATGTCAGTATAGTCTCCAAAATATCAATGTAATCTTAGTAGCAGTGGATCATTTACAGAAGACAATTTTGCCACAATGGTCAAATATTTTTGTTAAATACTGCTATTTTATAGCAATACATAGCATTAACTGACACACAGTGTATAGCTGGAAACAGGTTCATAAAAGAAAATGTTCAGAAATAGTTTTCTTACTTTTTGCTAAATTGCAAACTAATAGGTCAATTACTCCTATGCAGTGCTAGATAGTTGGAGTAGCATTTACCAAGAAAGAGAAAGAAGACAGGGGCATATGACTTGAGAAGGCAGGAGTGAGGAAAAGATAAGGTATTTATTCCTGACTCCTGACTTGATGTTCTTTGATTCTTTTTCTTTTGTTGTTGTTTTTGTTGTTTTACTTTATCTTACGTGTTAGACCAGAGTTTCACAAACATCCCCAAATAATTACAAGGGTCATAAAAATATATCCAGATACTTCTTTTTATTTTCCTTCAAAATCCTGGTTCAATCATTTGAAATGAGACCTGGAGAACCAGTAATTCTAACAAGTATGCTAATTGATTGTTACCAAAATGACTATTGTGAAATATTTAGAAAACCATTCAGGAACTAGGTAATCAACATTTAATAATTGGTTCTTGCTGTAAGGGTAAAGGATTTTATTGAAATAACTCTTTACATGCAAGTTTTATGAAAAAGATAGAATTCAGCACTTTAGTGCTTTCTAATTTGTATCTTTAAAGAATGTTTTGCTAAAATGGCAAAATTATTTTTTCATTAGAAGTTAGCATTATGGCCACGAATGACTTCTGAGTTAGCTTTTTGAAAATCTTCAGGTTGTAAATTCTAAAAATTACCTTGTGGTATTATAAAACTCCAGAAAATTACTAAGAAAAATATACATAAAAATACCAGTATCCAAAAAAATCAAAATAACTTACAAATAGATAAGAAAATATATAGACAATCTAGCCCAGTAGAAGAAAGCAGGACAGGTAAATAGATCCATTTTAGAAAATAGGAAAGTCAAATGAGCAACGGAAAATGGCTAGATGCTTGAGCTCATTAGTAATACAGGATATAAATCAAAACCACATTACGTTCCAACTTTTGCTCATTAGCTTGGTAACTATTAAATTAATAATACCGAGTGTAGTCAAGGGTGTAAGGAATAGTAATTTGCTTCCATCAATCACAGGACTATCTAATGATATTTAGTAAAATTAGGGTGACTGAAACTTTTATTGTTCCAACGGAAACTTTTTTTAGAATAAACAGTACTAACATACATAAAATTATTTAATATTTATTATATTATTTCCTTGCAGGCAATTTTTTATTATATCAGTGGATCTATGAAATAGTTATCTTCTAACTATTTTTGAAAATGAAATCCCTTCAAAAATTTAATGCCACAATTACATATTTTGAGGCAAAATAGGAAAATAACTTCTTTATATTTATTATTTAAATATTTAAAAGTAGGCAGAATAATTATTCCAGAACATATTTATATGAATTAATCTGTTTCTTAACATAATTATCTCTAGTTCTTTTCTGCAAAATCCATTTGTTTTAATATTATATTGATTTTTAAATAAAGTTTCTTGCAAGCTTTTCCAAAGTTGCTGCTTCTTGTCACCAATAAAGGTTATTAACAATGTTTAGCTTTTTAAGCGAAATTTAAAAAACCATTTATCATATTTTTCAATGTTTTTTATTTTGGCACAATAATATTCCCACAGCTTTACTTTGGTCCCAATGATTGACTAAAAATTCAAACCACTTTTTAATCTAATTTTCTGTTTGAAACATCTAAATGGCATTATTCAACTCTTTTGGAATGTCTTCTTTAGGCAATGGAGCTAACATACTAGCAATTATTGATGCATATTTCTTAAGTGCAGAAAAATTGAGTTAAAAATGTACACAATTGATTTTAAAAAATTGCAATCTGATTTAAATAAAAAGCCAAGCATCTCAGAATTACATGCTCAATTTTTCCAAATTCACATATTAAACCTGTGAAAATATCATCTTCAGGCATAGTTTTCTTAATGTAACTAAGTATTACCTTTTGGAATAGCAGCTGGTTTTTCCCCTAAGCCCTCCATGTTCTGGATTTCAGGATATCACTTTTAGCCTGTGTTCCCAACATGGACTACAAGGCTTTATGATTATACCATGTGTTTATTGGCACTTTTCAACCCATAATTTGATTGAAAGAGAAATCGGGTAGTTTTTAATTAAATATCTTCTTGCACTTTTAGGCCATTGCTGCTGAAACAGAGTTCTTAAAAAAAGTCATTAGCAAACAGCCAATAAATAAGCAGTTGTAGGTATATGAGAGATGACAAAACCACTGTGGCCAGACAAATTAAGTATTCTCTGTGAGCTAACTTCTATTTCCAGCACATAATTAATGTATACCTAGCCTATTATTTCCTTCACTTTCCCCAAACCCACCATATGATGATCTGGTAGTGTCATGTAAGTGAGCAACATAGAAAAAAACTATGTAAAATACTTCTTCCATCACCAGGCAAGACTGGAAAAAGCTGGCCATTTCTAGTCAATACTGACTCATTGAATATTGATTTATTATCAAGCACTCTGCTGCATGCTGTTCTTGAAAAAGAAGCATTATCTATGTTTTGTACAAACTGTGTTAGGAAAATAAAGTTGATCTTCATACTTATCCCCCAACTCATCGTTCTGTTAATATTTTATTTTCCTCACATACTGATAGAGCCCTGACAATAGGTATAATTATTAAACAAAATGAACATTTGACAAACACATGCTGGTCCTAATCAATGTAACTTATAATAATACTTCATTAAAAATGGAAAATCTGAGACATATGCTAAGCTGATTAGCATGGATGAGCAATAGTAATAAAGTGGTAGCCCTGGGAACTAATGAGAATATTTTATCCCCTCAAAGTTAAAACTGTATGCACACTGCAGTCCAGCCATTCTTCTAGTATGTTCATTATAAACTCTCACACATGTGTACCCAGAGGCATAGGGAAGGTTTTTCATTGTCGCATTTCAATAAACACATAATAGAACATAATGAAATTCAGTAGAATAAGAACTATGCTATCATAATGGCAGCTCTCAACAAGAATGTTAACAAAAAAAGTGAAATAATGCACAGCTTATAATATTCATAAAAACATTAGAAATGCACAAAACACCAGTATTGTTTAGAAATAAAGATTTTAATAAATTTATAAAATATATGAAGATAATACCAGGTTCATGATTACGGTGCCTCTAGAAATAGAGAAAAGCAAATGAACCAGATGGGGTGTATTCCAATTACAACCAGAGATAATGTAAATAGAACAAGGAATGTATTAATAGCTGTTATTTTTAAGTGGGGTTAAAATGGTGTTTATTATGTTATTTTGTATTTGTATTTTTTTAGTTTTGCTCAAAAACAAAATAATTTTATAATGAACAATATTCCGCATAAATTGGAATCACCTTGTGAAGTAACTGCTTTAAAATTTCCCGGTCCCCACTGCTGCTTTCAAGGAATTTTTAAAAATTAAAAATTGGATAATGTGGTATCTTTCAAAGAAAAACGTTTTACCTTTATAAGTATGAAATAAAATGTATTACCAGCACATCTCATTTTTGACTCGTTATCCACGTAAAATCATGCAGTGAAAGAAGACAGAAGGACATAGGCAGAATTTGACCTATGAATAGAGGTAATAATTGTATGTTTATTTAAAATATTTTATTAAGACATACGAGTGGCCAAGAAATATAAGAAAAGTGCTCAACATCACTGATTATGAGAGAAATGCAAATCAAAACCACAACAAGATACCATCTCATACCAGACAGAATGACTATTATTATTTAAAAACCAAAATAAAAAAACATAACGAAGGTGGTCAAGGCTGCAGAGGAAAATAAATACTTATCCACTGGTAGAGAGAATGTTCAGTCACTGTGGAAAGCAGTTTGGGGGATTTCTAAAAGAACTAACAGGCCGGGCGCGGTGGCTCACGCCCGTAATCCCAGCACTTTGGGAGGCCGAGGCGGGCAGATCACGAGGTCAGGAGATCGAGACCATCCTGGCTAACACGGTGAAACCCCGTCTCTACTAAAAATACAAAAAAAATTAGCCAGGCTTGGTGGCGGGTGCCTGTAGTCCCAGCTACTGGGGAGGCTGAGGCAGGAGAAGGGCGTGAACCCGGGAGGCGGAGCTTGCAGTGAGCCGAGATCGCGCCACTGCACTCTAGCCTGGCTGACAGAGCAAGACTTTGTCTCAAAAAAAAAAAAAAAAAGAACAATAGAACTAATAGAACTACCATTCCAGCCAGTAATCCTATACTCGGTATATGTTCAAAGGAAAATAAATCATTAAAGCTATGAAAAAGACACAAGAATTCTCATATTCATCACCATAATGAAGACATGGAATCAACGTAGGAGCAGATCCATGGCACATGGGGTACATATGAACCTGGAATAGTACGCAGCCATAAAAAGAACAAAATCATGTCCTTTGCAGCAACGTGGATGCAGCTGGAGGTCATTAACCTAAGCAAATTAATGCAGAAACAGAAAATCAATATTGAATATTCTCATAAATAGGAGCTAAAACTTCGGTGCGCACAGAAATAAAGATGAGAACAATAGACACTGGAGACTTCAAAGCAGGGACAGAGGGAGAGGGGCAGGGGCTGAAAACCTTCCTATTGGGTACTAAGTTCACTATCTGAGTGATGGGATCAACAGAAGACTAAACATCAGCATCACACAATACACCTTTGTAACAAGCCTGCACATGTACTCTCTGAATCTATAATAAAAATGGAAATAAAAAATGAAATAAAATATTATTAAAAGAAATAACAAATTACATTTTAGAAGTGACATTACTGCAGTCATACATAATTCAAATATGCTGATAAAGTCTATATAAGCTTTATGGAAACAGTGAATAGTCTCCTGACTGTCTTTAAAAGTATAAAAGATGGGATAGCTACCTTTATGCAAATTAACTAGACTTCAGTTGCACTAATTAAGACAGCAGCAGCTGAGTCAAATGATAATATACAAGTTATAATTGATGCCAAAATTCTACCTTATTATATATTGACTTACAAAATCATATCCCAAGTTTTCTTCTATTTTGAGAAACATCACTCTACTAATATATAGAACAAATATTGATTTTGCAGAATTGCATGATTTCAATAGAGCACATTTCATCTTCAAATATGATAAGCACTTTCCAATCCATAAAACACTGTTAGAAAAAAGGGTCAATCAGGCTAGACACACAATTCAAAGAGCCTGTGAGGTTGCAAATCACTTATGCCTCAGTCTCCTGTTACCATGATAATGCATAGCACTTACATAATGTTTCTTAGCTTGAAAGACCCTAGGAACTTTAACTAATTAATCCTTAGACTACCCAGTGAGAGAGTGATGAGAAGTCCCTTGAAGAGATCATTTAACTATATAATTCACACTTACTTAAATGTAATTCAGCTTATGTGCCATGTTGTGTTTTCCTAGCTTTCTATTTCAATCTTCAGAGAAATAATATTTATCTGTGAATATATGATGCATAGGCATCTATTATGAATAAAACTATGTAGACTGCACTCTATCTGCTACTAAAAGGGAACAGATATATGTACGTCCAACATGCAGAAAAACATCTGGTACATTCTGCTGTATTTTCTTGTCTTATTCATTTCATATCTTATTTTCAGATATTTCAGACTGGACTTCTTAGATTTGAATAGGCTAAAGCTTTTAAAAAGAGGAATATACAATTTTCTTTTTAATTTTGTAATTACTTTATTTTTGGAGAGTGTATTAAAATTCAACTTTTATAATTATGCTGAATGTAAAAGAATGTCAGATGTGAATGTTTCACCTAAATGAAAGAATATTTAATTCTTCAATTTAGAATTCTCTCTAGTAAGATTTCCTTCTCTGCAGGTAGTTGGCTACAGGGGTCTACCAAAACCAATCTATTTCTGCAGTAAAGGCCAACACTGGTTTACTCAGGAAAGAATTCTTTTCTGAATGGTAATGCCTAGGTTTTCTTCTAG
This sequence comes from Homo sapiens, assembly GCF_000001405.40. Taxonomy (NCBI): domain Eukaryota; kingdom Metazoa; phylum Chordata; class Mammalia; order Primates; family Hominidae; genus Homo; species Homo sapiens. The sequence goes on from NC_000024.10 coordinate 22,288,493, forward strand.
GGTTTTTATGGTTTTAGGTCTAACGTTTAAACCTTTAATCCATCTTGAATTGATTTTTGTATAACGTGTAAGGGAGGGATCCAGTTTCAGCTTCCTACATATGGCTAGCCAGTTTTCCCAGCACCATTTATTAAATAGGGAATCCTTTCCCCATTGCTTGTTTTTCTCAGGTTTGTCAAAGATCAGATAGCTGTAGTTATGCGGCATTATTTCTGAGGGCTCTGTTCTGTTCCATTGATCTATATCTCTGTTTTGGTTACCAGTACCATGCTGTTTTGGTTACTGTAGCCTTGTAGTATAGTTTGAAGTCAGGTAGTGTGATTCCTCCAGCTTTGTTCTTTTGGCTTAGGACACTGTTGGTGGGACTGTAAACTAGTTCAACCATTGTGGAAGTCAGTGTGGCGATTCCTCAGGGATCTAGAACTAGAAATACCATTTGACCCAGCCATCCCATTACTGGGTATATACCCAAATGACTATAAATCATGCTGCTATAAAGACACATGCACACGTATGTTTATTGCGGCATTATTCACAATAGCAAAGACTTGGAACCAACCCAAATGTCCAACAATGATAGACTGGATTAAGAAAATGTGGCACATATACACCATGGAATACTATGCAGCCATAAAAAATGATGAGTTCATGTCCTTTGTAGGGACATGGATGAAATTGGAAATCATCATTCTCAGTAAACTATCGCAAGAACAAAAAACCAAACACCGCATATTCTCACTCATAGGTGGGAATTGAACAATGAGATCACATGGACACAGGAAGGCGAATATCACACTCTGGGGACTGTGGTGGGGTGGGGGGAGGGGGGAGGGATAGCATTGGGAGATATACCTAATGCTAGATGACAAGTTAGTGGGTGCAGCACACCAGCATGGCACATGTATACATATGTAACTAACCTGCACAATGTGCACATGTACCCTAAAACTTAAAGTATAATAAAAAAAAACCCAAATAAATAAATAAATAAATAAAATAAAATAAATAAAAAAAAAGAATTATTGTAGTCTGCAAAGCACAGTACCTCTTTTCCCTTAGCAGAATAAATACTTACCCAGTGTTACTGTTCCGCTAAAAATTCAATTAAAGTTAATCATGTTCTTTTTTGTTACAAAGAAAATCTGGTTAATTTCTAATCCCTTCTCCTAAATCTATTCTCTATAACTATCTAAAATTACATAGACATACACACATGCATACAAAAGGAACAGTACAACTGGAAGACCAAACAATGTGTACATGTGATCTGTTAAAACAAAAACTTTCTACTCTACTATTTTCATTATAATTTATGGTTATAATTCAATCAATTTTAAATGAGTGCTTAAGACATCTCTGGAAAAAGTATGTACAATACAAGAAATATTTCCCTATGCATTCACTTTATTTGTAAATATATTTATACAGTAGAGTTAAAATGGTTAACTTTGTTGTCAAAGACTGGTACTGGCTAAAGTTTTGTTTTTTAATATATGTATCCGATTTGTTGTTTGGTATCCTATAAACCTTTTATGCTATATCTAAGACTTAAAATGTTTTAAACATTGGATGTTGGTCTTTATTGGAAGTCCGGTGGGGGGAACTCATGCAGTTGCTGCCTGGGGGATCTTATCTAAAGAAAGAAGTCAATAACAGGCAGCTGAGTGGGCAGTGGTCCAGTGCCAGGTTTTTAGCTGAGACATGAATAAGTTTCTCAGGAATTCTCGGAAGTATCTGACAGAAATGAAACTGGTTTACTAATGCTCTTTAAAAGAATTAGCTAAAGAACATCCAGTAGTGCCCTTAGGAGAAAAAATGAGCAAGGCACATAATTTCAGACAGGAAACATACTAGGTGATTGCAGGAGAATAGAAAATCTCAAGCAGCAGTTTCACATGACTAGCAAAAATACACCGTTAAAGTAGCTGTATAAACTGGAAGCTAATAAGACTCCGAAAAACCAGAGTGTGGGCAAAGCTGGCTAGCAACAACTGGACTCAGCATAGTGTTGGATTTGAGCTAGGTTTCACCTTGGAGAAAATAGCAACAAAAACGACAAAAAATTACTGCTACTACCATGCAGCTCTGCTACTACCATGCATTAGAGCCACTGATCAAAGCCAGCAACTGCCTAAGTATGGCTGGTTCACATTTGAAAACTAGAAGTCCCTGTTTGTTTAATTCATGTTTACTTTTTCTGTTGTATGAAGTAAAAAAAATTCCTTACTGACACAGTGTTGCATTTTTCTTCCTTATTCTGTACCATTTATTTTCTTCTCACATTAGTTATAGTTTGTAACTTATTTTGTCAAATACATGCAATGAGGTAACACTGCAGTACTGCAGAAAGCACACTGCACTGGAAACAGACTCATATAAAAACCAGAAAACATCCCTTATCCTCCCCTGCAGAGCGAGCAATGAGGTCAGGTTGTGGGGCTCCCACCCCAGGCAGCATCTAGGGGTGAAAGTTTATAGCTCCTGAATCCCCAGTGGCCATGTGTTACAAGGTGTTAATTTAGTTTCTCCATCTGTAGGTGGCTTGTGTTAGCTCAATTAGACACTCCACCTTACTGCAAAGACAGAAGGCTTTCTGGAGCCCAGGGTTTTCTGCCTTGGTGTACCTGAAAAATTGGCTCACACATGGGCTTGGAGAATAAGTGCAAGGTTTCATTGAGTAGAAGTTGTCAGCAGATGGATGGGCAGTCAGAAAGGAGATTGAGTGGGAAGGTGGTTTTCCCTTGGAATGGGGCAGGTCAGCGCTCTCCTCCCACAGCCCTGCGGAACTCCATGCTCTGCAGTGGATGGCCTGCCACCTCCGTCCTTGTACTCTCCTTCCTCTGGTGTCTTCTCGAGGTCCAGTTGCTGTGTCTTCTTCTGCTGATGGTTCCTCTCGATGTCCAGCTGCTGTGTATCTGCCTGCTAGGGTCTCAGGGTTTCTTATAGCACAGGATGGGGGTATGGCAGGCAAGGGTGGTCTTGGAAAATGCAACACTTGGGCAAAACAACAGAAGTGCATGTCCTCACCAATTTGGGCAAGAAAACAGAAGTATATGCCCCCACCTAGTTCAGTGAGCACAGGCTTGAGGGTGGAGCCCTAGCCAAGAACCACACTCTCCTCTACCAGGCACTTCCTGGCCCCACCTCCATATCAATACTTTTTTTAAATTTAAAACTCCAAAAATAGTACCCAAATCATTTAGAGAAGACAATTGGAGAAAATGGCTTTAGAAGAGCCAGTCTAGGATTAGGGTCACTACATGGAAAATGGAAACACAGAGAGCATGTCCTGCAGGCCATGGAATCACTGGGGAAACGTATTCCCTGCTGAGAAGGAGACGGACACACACTAGCTTCTCTCATCTTCTTCTTCTCTAATCTCTACAGTGTCACCTTGACTGAGCTGAAACAGGAAGTAATTTTTATGAGGGCTTAGGAACCATGCCTCCCAGTGGTGGGTCTCTCTATTAGAGAACAGTGCCAGGGAGAGGTGATTGATGTACCTGTGGGGATACAAACCCAGGACCTCACACAAAGGATTACCAGAGACAAATATAGTATCAAGGGACCAAGAGAAAAGTAGTCTCAGGAAAGATTCATGCATGATATTTGTGAAAAGACCAAAAAGTAAAACAGAGTTTATGAGGTAGTAAACATAGAAAGAATGTAAAGAAAAGCAGCAAAATTGCAAAGTCCAGGGTATTTACCTTTCCTTTATAGGATTTTGAAGTGCTACTGCAAATGCAAAATTGAAAGAAGAAATTAAGTCTAACATATTGCAATATTCTAAAATCCAAAATTTTTTCACTGAGGTCTAGTGGTTCATGCCTGGAATCGCAGCTCTTTGGGAGGCTGAGAAGGGAGGATTGCTTCAAGTCCAGAGTTCAAGTCCAGCACAGACCTATCTCTACAATATAGCAATACCTATCTCTACAAATGTAAGCAATTAATTAATTAAATTGGACATGATGGCACACATCTGTTGTTTATTTACTCAGGAGTTTGATGTTATGAGAATCAACTTTCAGCTGCCAACAGGGGACAAGGAGAATGAAAAGAATGAAGCTATCTGCAGTTAACATTATTGGATTAATTGAAATGAATGTTAATAGAGATTTTGTTGGCTTTACATCACATTGAGTGTAGTACTTCAAATTGAGTATTTGGTAAGGATAAACTCTTTTCAAATTTCCCACATGTAAAACTGAGGATTAATTAAAAGATTATACAACTGATACATATGGGTATGTCATTTAAATTTATACACACGTGCAAACTTTCAGTGTGCAAATATTTGTCTATATCTAAATACATCCAAATCCATTGATGAACAGTTAGAAATTTAGAAATTATTCTCCCATTTTACCATTCCCTTTTCTAGAATTTTGTCACAGATAAAATTTTTCCTACTGTTTGAAGCCTACTCTCTGGAGGCATGTAATGTATGGATACAGAAAAGCCATGAGATATCACAGGGTTTGTATCAGAGAAAACAATAACACTGGTGTTATATAAGAGCCATTGTGAGAAGAAAGTTATACTTCACATGACTACAAATACAGAAGTATTATTTCATCAAAAGCTGATATCAGTCAATACAATTTGTTTTTAAAGTTTTACTGAAAATATTTAATCCCAAAAGGATTACTCAAGTATAATGTTATTGGTAATAAATAATGATTAAGAATTTCCTTTAATTTGTTAATTGTTTAAAATGTAAGTAAAATACCAAAAAGTAGTGTATAATGTAGTTTCATGAAACATTCTCTATGGTTTATGTAAAATTAATAGCCTCAATGGAATTTTTTGATACAGACAAATTTCCTTATATCATTTTATTATTATACTTTCACTTTATTACTTGCTTGCATGTCATAACTGAAGGAAATAAAAATATTTTATTTACACATATATGAAGAATGAATTTTTGTTTATGTTTTCTAGTGAGAGAAAGTTACCAATAATTTTTTCATATAGGAAAATTTTGACAAGCCCAAAGTTCTTAACTTTCTTTTCTTTTCAAGCTTCTTATTTCAGGCTAGGTATGAGATGGAATTGATTGTGATCATTTTTTTATTTCATTATAACTACTGAGTTTCTGATATAGTGTTACAAATATATAGACTTAAAAGCTTACTTGATCCTTCTTCTTCTCCCTTCGGACCTGTACATATGATATCTGCAGTAATGAGCACTGTTATCTGAAATAATGTTGCTGAAAGATACAAGCATAAATGGAATTATTTACTTATGTGAACTTTTAGGAACAGACAAGTAGAACTGAAAGATAATTATGATATTAATTTAACTCTGCAGTTTCTCACAGAAGTATGATAATGGTGAAAATACATTTAAAAATACTTGCCTCATCCAAAACATGAGGTAGAAAAACAAAAAATTTAATTTGACATAAAGAACAGTTTAAAAGTTGTGGTTATTTCTGGTGAGAGCAAGTAGCACTAAAAATCCTATTTTCCGTGTTGTAATTTATGAAACTATTACTGTACCTTCAGGCTTTAAAAAGAGTTAACTCTAACTTAAGCAACAACCTTAACAGCCATTTCAAACAGTGGGTGCGTCATCTTAGAATTTCTCCGAGAATCTTTTGGGAGAAATATAATCTAATCTAGCTCTCTAAACCATTGAATTAATTAATGAAATTATTATGACTGTAGTCTCACAATTTCATTGTCCTTCTCTTTTTGGTTTTTATGTATTCTCTTTAAAATTCAAAAGCCCCTATGAAGCATATGAAAAATAACAATGACTGAAACAGTTGAAAATAAAAACTAAGTAGCAGCCACATTTCAAGGTTTCCTTTATGAGAATGCTACATTAGCCATGTGATATACACATGGTATAAATCACCATGAGGATGGCACAGAGGCCATCAGCCAGGGCATCTCCAGCTTCTGGGCCAGAGCCACATCTTTGCAGCTGCCCATTCAGAATGACTGGCAGCAGGGGGTGGGCATCTGGCTTCTTGGGGTGGGGAGCAGGGGAGCCAAGCAAGGGGCACAAGGGGTCAGCCAGGAGGCAGGGAATGGGGGATAGCGAAGGGAGCTGAGGCCAGGGTCCTGCAGATAGGAGGGCAGCTTGCTTGAGGGTGTCCTGAGGGCACGTGGTAGGGACTGGGCGCCAAGCTCAGCACTCACACGGGAGAATAGTGGCACCAAGGACACTTCATGCACAGCAGGAAGTTGTAGGGCATGTTTCTCTGGGAAAGTCCTTGAAGGAAGGGATGTCTGCAAGCCCATGCCAACCATAGAAGCTACCCTGGCTGCCCATGTCTGTGTCCAGCAGCCTTACCCCAGAAATACAAGGTGCTTAAGACTCGGGTTCTGGTGTACTGGGCTGCTGTCCTCTGCAAGGCAGGCACCAGCTCCCCAGACAGGCTTTCTTCCCTCTGCCTCGCTGTACCCAAAGAGCTGTAGGCCCTGAGCATATGTAAACTCTGTTGCACACACGCCTCTGTTGCACACACACGAGCCCCATGGGGAGCACCAGGCACAGCCCTGCAGTCCCTTCTACCCATAGCAGCTCCCTCAAGTGGACACTCCCACCCCTCAGGGAGACCAGGAGAAGAGGGGACAGCACACCTGGACACCCTCAGCAGAGCCTGTCCAGCACCCAGTGCACAAGGGCCACATGCAGCTCAGGAACTCTGAGGAAACAGCTGCCTCACACCACAGTACCCCACACCAAAATCCCCTGCCTACTTGTGCTCTCAGCTTATTGTCGGCGAGGCTTTCTGGGCCTCTCTCCACCTGCCCACGAGACCACCACACCCTCTACCATTCCTGCATGCCAGATAGAGACAGAACCACCAGTGCAGGGTGCCAGGCCAAAGGTCAGGGGGATAGCCCTGCCCAACACTCTCCCAGATCTTGCAAAGTTTCAGGTTGTTCTCTGGCATGCCCACCCAATCATCTGGAGGCTCCTTGACCAGAGGCACAGATTGTAGGGCACACCCAGATATTGTCTGGGTTCAGAAAGCATAAGGAAGTCCTACTAAGTAAGCTACAGGATGGATTTGCAGATCAGGCCGGGGAGCCTGGGTCTAGGGGAGGGGTCGAGGGTCCTGGTCAGGTTGAGTTCCTCCTGGACTCCAGGGGTGTCTCAGCAGGAGAGCTGGGAAGCGGAAACACATGCTTCACCCCAGCCAGCAGGCCCTCAGCCCAGCTAGATGAAATCATCCCTTTGAGTCTGTACTCTTCTCCTTGGCCTGGCAGGTGGAGGAACTCAGCTACCCGGGGTATAAGTGGCAGGATGAAGTTTTCCTTTCATCACAAACTTTATTTATGCAATGAAGTGATCATTAAGGAGTATCATGTTGGCATCCTCAGTAAGGAGTGCCTCCTGGCATGGTAGAGGGGGTAGAGTGTGGGATGCTAGGCCTGGCATGAGCCTTCCGGACTCCTGTTGCTCCAGAATACAGGGTGACTGGCTCTACTGTAGTACAATGGTTCTAGACTCATACAGGAGGAACCTCCATCTTCATGCAGGATGCAGCCTGAGATTCTTCAGCTGGTTGGCTGACCATGACTACTCAGGGTCAGCCAGGATTGCTGAGGTGTAGGCCACTGCGGGGCATCATGGGAAAGGACCTTTCTGGTCTTTCCTTGACGTCTGGGGAATTGGCTTTGGACCACGACCTGACAAGTCACGGATGCCTTTCCCCAGTCCCCCAGATCATCATTCAGGGCCTCTGTCTCAATCCCCCCCACAGCACTACTGGAGGGAGTTAGGCCCTGAGAGAGGGAACAGAGAGGAGGCCAGGTAAGCAGCCCAGGGCTGGGGCTGAGAGGCCTGTGGGTCCTGGAGCTGGGATACACAAGGAGAAATCAAGGATCAGGGAGGAGCCTGCAGTGAGAAATCTCAGGCCATCCCAGGGCTGGGGGAGAAAGGCCCATCAGGGAACTGTAACATTCATATTTCAGAATTGGAGAACCTGAAGTCACCTAAAAGGCAGAAGTGGCAAAGGTCAATGGGTGAGAAACAAGGCTCAATGGATAGTTGCCTTATCATCCTTCTCTGGCTCCTTTCTGTGCCTTGAGGCCTGGTAACACCCAGGACACAGTTTGGGCTCAACTAAGGCCCTCTTTCCATCCACGCAGAGGTACACACGAGGTGCACTTAGGTCTACATCCTTCTAGAATGACCAGTCCTATCATGTTGTGTTTCAGAGACTCCAGGTTCCCCTGACATGCTTTCTCCCCTCTGCCACCCTCACTCATGCTGCGCTGGCACTGAGACATTTCCTATGACATTAAAAAACAGACATAAAATTTGTATAATGCCTTAATAGTATAGATGCAGATAAAGTATTTTATTATAAAAAATGCTTTTCCTCCTTACTTATATCAAAGTCTTTTTCATGATGGGGGAAAGAATGCAACATACTTTGGTAAGTTAAAAAAGTATAAAAGTAAAAATAAATCCCACTGTAGACGATCAATTAAATGGCAGGGGACCTTCTGTGTGTGTCCAGCAAGGGAATGTGGCTGAGCATTAAGGTTCATCTGAGTATTGGTGTAGACACCCAGACACCCACCCAGTTTCCCTGGTACCAATGTGAGCGTGTGCACGTTCCAGCCTGCATGTTTGAGCTGGTGCACGCCTGTACACACCTGCACCTGTTTCCCCTTGTGTACCTTTGTTTGGCCAGAGGTGGGGCCCACACTCCCACCCACAGGTGTGCCTCAAACGCAGCTCTTGAGCTGGCAAGCAGGGGACCACTGGGTTTGACAATCCAACTTCAGGACCCGTGAAGCCTGCCCGCTGGGGAGACACGAAGAGTCCTCACAGTTCTCATGAATGGCAGAGGTAGGAGGAAAAGAGTGGCTGGGCGAACTACCTAAAGGAGATGTCATGGACCTGAAATGACATCCGGAGGGAAATAAAACCTAGTAGCTACCTGTGTCTTCCTGTGTGTTCGGTCGGGGAAGGCAGGCATTCAGGGAAGAAGCAACAGAACCTGCAGGGCTTTGGGATTCACTGTCTGGGAATCCCTGTGCACCAGAGAGTGTCTAGCCCATGAGAGACGACAGCATGTGGGTCCTGCAGGGCCTGAGTCTCCAGGGAGGCTGGCATTCTCCCCAAGAGGGCACGGGTCTGTAAGTGGAGGAGAAACCCGGGCTGCGGGGTCGGGTAGATGGGACACTTACCACTAAGCCACGTAGGAGCTCAGGAGAGGTCCTGGTGAGCAACGGCCTAACAGGCCAGTGACACCCCATTCCAGTGCTGCAGGTGCTCATATGACCTTCGCCCCGCACATCCTCTCCAGGATGCCTCACCTGGGAGGATAGGAAGCAAGGCACATAAGAGCTTAAGCTTGAGTGGACCCAGAGGAGGTCTCCAGTGTCACTGGTCCCAGGGGAGCCAGTCTTGCTGGGTCTCTTCAGGACATGGGGAAAATGCACAAGCCCAGCTCTCCACCCAGTGGGTGTCTTGCCATGACAGATACAGCAATTCCACCTAGATTGCAGATCCACAGGCTTACGACTTCCCCCCGGCCTTCTCCGGGACGGGCTCCTGGACTCCGGAACAGCCAGTGCCACACGGGTGTTCCTTCCCAGCCTCCAAGCTCAAGGTAGGCTCAGTGACCCTCCTCCTAGTACATGGCCACCCACAGGCACTGTCAACAACCCAGGGCCCTTGTAGATTCCGAGATCCTGCCGCCTTACCCAGCAGTGGGATAATGGGAAGGGAAAGAGCTGGAACATACAGAGATGAGGCCACAAGCCTTACCCTCCCACATGGCAAGGGAATGAAGAGATCCTTCCCAGCCCAGGGAACGGTTCCCGGACACACCTGGAAGCCCAGCACCAGCTGAGGGATTCACTTCACCACACCTGGGCATGGGGGATTTCAATGTGTGCCGGAGACCTTGATCCTGGGCGCCTATGAGGTATACCTCTTCTTCAGGTCACATTATGCTGACACACTCCTTAACCCGGAGGGACTCCTCACACTAACCACATGGTTTTGGCTGGAAGCATTACTCCTGGTGCCCTAGCCACTGTTTCAAGGTGCAGAGATGGACCAGCAGACCCTTGAGTCCTTGTCCTGTCCAAGTACTATCCATAGAAATAGAAGAGCGGCACATTAGACCTCATGACATTTTTAAGGCTGACCTCTTTATAAGCATTTCTTCCAGATATTTATGAGTTTATGTCATTTATTTTATTTATTTACAGCTCTCGTTTCAAAATCAATTTTTGCTTGAGAGTTATTTCAACATACAACCAAATGTTTGGAGCTATGACATTTAGGTTTTAAGCTTAAAAGTCTGTATCTGCTATTATGTTGGGTAAAACGCATCCAGCACTTATAAAAATAAGTAATTATTAGGCATGGCCATTGTAGTGGTCTCAGTCACATTCTCCACAAACCCATTTGAAAATATTCCTGGTGGTACTGAATACAGTACTTGCTGCTAATGAATAGAAAACAGTGCAAGCCTTCTCTGGATACTGGGACACCTCTGGCCTAGGTTAGAAAAGGTGACACAGCTCTAACTAAATCTCCTGCTCTCATGGGACAAACCCCTCAGGAGCCCCCAACCAGTACATCACAAAGTCTAACACCCTGATAACACTATGCTGAAAGGACATCCCATGGAGAGACTCACAGAAATAGAAGGAAGGCCAGCACGGTGGCTTACACCTGTAATCCCAGCACTTTGAGAGGCCGAGGTGGATGGATCACAAGGTCAGGAGATCAAGACCATCCTGGCTAACACAGTGAAACCCCATCTCTACTAAAAGTACAAAAAATTAGCTGGGCTTTGTGGCAGGCGCCTGTAGTTCCAGCTACTTGGGAGGCTGAGGCAGGAAAATGGCCTGAACCCTGAACCCAGGAGGCAGAATTTGCAGTGAGCCAAGATGGCACTACTGCACTCCAGCCTGAGCAACAGTGCAAGACTCCATCTCAAAAAAAGAAAAAAAGAAAAAAGAAAAAGAAATAGGAGATGCCTGAAGATCTCAGCAGGCCAGCCCCCACTATTTTGAGTCAACCTAGCCATGGCACCAGGGAGACGAGAAGACACCGGACAATGTCCCCATCCTGAGCCATCACTAGATTGCATCCTCCTGAGTGACCCTGAACCACAATCATTTGGCTGAGAGACTGTGGAAGATTGCAGAGACTGATAGTAAATTATAATTATTGTTTTAAGCCACTAAGTTTTACATAATTTTAAAAAGCACTTCAGACTCCTAGGATAACTATAATTATTGTTTTAAGCCACTAAGTTTTACATAATTTTAAAAAGCACTTCAGACTCCTTGGATAATTGAGTTGTCTACTGATTTGAGTAATTGAGTAATTGTGGAGAGCTTTAAAGGCCAATGTCACGAATGCTACCCTGGAAAAGTCAAACTATCAAGACTCTTCTAAACACAACAGATCTTTAATGTCCCTTTGCTATGGCTGGAGAATAATCTAACATGCAACTGATAGAGTTTTTTGAAAGCTTCTGTTCACATCTCTTATCTGGGTAAGGGTCAGCTCTGGTCTGGTTTAATTCTAGTCAACTGCAGCAACACATCTTTCATTTTACATCCTGGCCTACCCTCATATTTTGATCACTGCCTGTGTCTGTGTCTGTGTGTATATGTTTTCTATGTTACCATATTTTACCTGAAGGGGCTAAATAATAGTACTGTAGTTGTTTTGTAAACATAAAGCATTCCAGGAAGACAATATTGCTTATCAACTGAGGTTTAGAACAGATATGAGGTAGGGCATGGAGGCTGCACTCCCAGCAGTTTGGCAGGCCGTGGTGGGCAGATCTCTTCATGTCAGGAGTTCGAGACAAGCCTGGCCAACATAGCAAGATCCCATGTCTAATATCATACCAAAGCTAGCTGGGCTTGGTGGCCCATGGATGTTATCCCAGCTACTTAGGAGGCTGATGCAGGAGAATCCATTGAATCCCAGTGATGGAGTTTGCCATGTACTGAGATTACACCACTGTGCTCCAGCCTGGGCACCAGAGCAAGACTCTGTCTCAAAAATAAAAGTAAAATAAAATAATAAAATAGGAGAGATCACTGAGGAGAGAAATGCATAAAACTGGGTGGGCACTGTGGCTCATGCCTGACATCCCAGCATTTTGCCAGGCTGAGGTGGGTGGATCACTTGAGGACAAGCATTTGAGACCAGCCTAAGCAAACATTGTGATACCTGCTCTCTACTAAAAAAAAAAAAATATATATATATATATATATATATATATATGCGCCAGGATTTATGTCACAGGCCTACAGTCACAACTACTTGGGAGGGTGTGACTGAAGAATTGCTTGAACCCAGGATGGGGAAGTTTCAGTGAGCCAAGATCATGCCACTGCACTCCACCTTAGGTGACAGAGCAGGAGTCTACCTAAAAAAAAAATCAAAGGGAGATACAGAGATAGAGAAAAGAAAGAGAGAGAGAGAGAGAGAAAGAGGTAAAGAAAAGAGGGAAAAAAAGAAAGAAAAAGAAAGAAAGAAAGAAAGAAAGAAAAAAGAAAGAAAGAAAGGAGAAAGAAAGAGAGAGAGAGGAGACGGGGAGAAGGGATGGAGGCGGGGGAGGGAGGGAGGAAAGGAGGGAGGGAGGGAAGACAGAAGAAAAGAAGGAAGGATGGAAGGAAAGGCTGAAGGAAGGAAAGAAGGAAGGGAGGGAGGGAGAGAGAAAGGAAAGAATGAAAGTAAATAAATAATAAAAATATAACTGATAGTAATATTTTTGTTTTACAGTTTGGAAACACAAATTTCCCTTCATCAAATATAAGAATATTTGATAGTCACTAACACAGCACATTTGCTTGTGTATGGGAACCAATGCAGGAAAGCAGTGGGATTGGATACTCTTTCTCCTTAATGGCTGAACACGTAAATACTGTGATGATAAGGGATCACCCTTTCTTTTTGGCATAAAACCAAAAAGAAATGAATAAAAATAAAAACTTGCCATTTTACCCCTTATCCACATGAATTTTGACCTATGTTTAAAATAACATTTAGGTCTCTAGTGGACTAACTGAAACTTTAAAATAAGCTGGTATATATTGTTAAAATTACTTATGTAACTATGGTGTTAACTAAGATTCTTGTAGTTTTCAATGACCAAATCTAATTGACATTTGTCGTCAAATCGCATACTACTAGGGGCAGGGTATTCTGTGTCATGCTGCCTAATCTACAGTAAATTAAAAATGAAATCAAATCTGTGAGAGGTTTTACAGTTACTATTACCAGTAATGACTGTTTTGTTTCCTGACTTGTGGACGGTTTTATTTCCACAGCGTTGATGGCTCTGGCAGAAAGCCTTCTTGGTCCAAACTCACGCCTTATCATATGAAACCTGGAATTGTACACAGCCAGAAAAAGAACAAAATCATGTCCTTTGCAGAAACATGGATGAAGCTAGAGGTCATTAACCTAAGAAAATTAATGAGGAAACAGAAAATCAAATACAGCATAGTCTCACTTATGAATAGGAACTAAAACTTGGGTGTACACAGAAATAAACATCAGAACATTAGACACTGGGGCCTCCAGTTATTGGATGAGCAGGCAGGCCACTGAAGCATAACTGTGGTTAAAGTTGTAAAAGTTTTGGCAAAATTGCACATAACAACATCTCCACAGAAAACTTAGAATTTGGCTCAGCTAGGAGATGTTGAAGAAAATGACGTTTATTTTATTCTTAATTATTCCCCAGCTGGTTCTTGAAGGGAGATAGCACAATATTGTGGAAAGAGGTAGTTTTTTAATCTGAAATTAGACTTTAAGAGAAGTTAATTATTTTGAGACCCAAATTTCAGATGTATGAAGTGGGGTCTAAAATATCTAGTACCTATGTGTGGTTATAGAGATCATATAATAACAATTCTATTTGCCTTATACTTTTCTGTAAAATAAAGACATCATTTAATTGTGTTACTTAGTATAGCTTTGTGTGGGCATTTTTAAGGAACATTTATCTCCTGATACATAAAATAGTAATACTGGCAGAGAATGGTACTTACTTCAACATTGACATTGCAGAGCTCCAGCTGTTCTGTAAAGAAACTAACATGAATTGAGAAAAAAAAGTGGATGATTGAAGATGACTTATGGGCCACTCCTTATTTACTAAGACTATGTAATTCTCGGAGACGACACACAACCTGTGAAGAGTTGGATATGAATGATGAAGAGTCATTGAGAAAAGGCTGCCTCAAGGATCATCCTCTACATTTCTAGCTTGAAATACAGGGTATTTTGTGCTGTGAATTTCTGAAATAATGGAATATCGTAGGAGGAAACATGTTTTGGGCATGAAATGAAGGTCTGGTTTTGGTATGTGGAGATGTAAGGCATGCAGTTGGATATGCCAAGTCTGAAGGTAGAACAAAGATCTGGCCTGAAGTTGGGAATTTCTTAATGGTCAGCATAGAAAGGGTGTTTCAGCCTTGAGAAAACCCAAGAGGATCCATGACTGAGATCTGAACAACTTCAACACCTGTAGATTTAGTAAAGATGCCAACAAAATACACACCAAGTTCATATTAAAATTAATAGGAAAAGACAAACTACTTAGTGAGAGGTATTCAGGCAACTAGCACTAGGTCTATTAGGTAGCAAATTTGGGAAAAAATAAAATGTATAAAGAATCTTTGATCAGGTTTCCAACTATACAAAATAAAAAACACATGTTAGAAGTCAATATATAAAAATTAGATTATTGTAATGGTACTAATTAATGCTAAGAGACAAAATGAAAATTATTCTGAATTAAATCAACAGACAATACATTTTCTTTCATTTTCTTTTCTTCTCAATTTATTTGTGTGTCCTTTTGACTTACTAAGCAGTGACTCCTCTTAATCACATTATTTTTTATTTAACACTGCATTTGTTTTTCATATGTGCAATATTACACCTCCCAACGGATAAAAAATACAGAATTTGGGCTGTTATGTCAGAAACACCTTCAGTTTTCAGATTTGGGCTTCTGAAGTGTGCTTAATTTAAGTATTCTCATCAGGCCTTGATTTTTCAGATTTCTGTAATCGCTCCTCCAACATAAACAGTCTCTGCAGGTGATGACTACAATAAAATTAAAACCATGCTGGCTTTTAAGAAAATTATATAAATTTGGTGCTTTTTTTGGAGTGGGGATGGCAGGGGAGACAAAGTTTTGTTCTTGTGGCCTAGGCTGGAGTGCAGTGGCACCATCTTGGCTCACTGCAACCTCTGCCTCCCGGGTTCAACCGATTCTTCTGCCTCTGCCTCCCGAGTAGCTGAGATTACAGGCACCTGCCAGCACACCCAGCTAATTTTTGAATATTTAGTAGAGATGGGGATTCACCATGTTGACCATGTTGGTCTTGAACTTCTGAAATCTGGTAATCCACCAGCTTTGGCCTCCCAAAGTGTGGGGATTACAGATGTGAGCCACCCCACCTGGCCTTCAAATTATATTATCATACCCACTCAGTCAGACAATTTTTTGTAACTATCTGCATATTCTCCTCAGGTGAGGGAAAAACAGAATCAGAGTTCTTGAAGAATTTATGAAAGAGAGAATGACAACACTACAAAAGGTTTAACCTATTCACAATATTGTATTTAGTGAGTAAATACATTACTTTTAAAATCTTACTAAACTATTGAGTAAATAAATAAAATATGTTATTTCAATAACTCTAAAATACATGCCCCTGAAGAAAATAGAGGAAGGCTTCAAAAACATAAACAAATAAATGAGGCTGGGTGTGGTGGCCTGCGCCTGTAAGCCCAGAATTTTGGCAGGCCAAAGTGGTGGATCACTTGAGGACAGGAGTCGGAGACCAACCTGACAAATATGGTGAAACCCAGTCTCGACTGAAAATACAAAAATTAGCTGGACATGGTGGCATGTGCCTGTAATCCCAGTTCCTTGAGTGGCTGAGGCAGGGGAATCACTTGAAGGTGGCAGGTGGAGGTTGAGGTGAGCCAAGATCCTGACACTTCACTCCAGCCTGGGTGACAGAGTGAGACTCCTTCTCAAAATACACACACACACAAAACTAACAAATGAAAACAAAAATGTATACTAGAAAAAGTACTCATGGTCAAACTCATATATCTAACAGAAAAAAGTGTCCTTTAAAACAGAAGTTCCACAAGAGGCAAATAAGAAAACAAATTCATCAGTTTGCATGTAAAGTTCAAATAATCAACTGAAGAGAACCATAGGGGATAAATAAAAATGTGCAATTGAGTACTCTAAAAGAAGCTGAAAGTCAGTCAAAAATTTTCTGGATTCTATATCTCTACATTGCAAACATGACCATAAAATTTGCCAGGAGCAGAACAATCAAAATGTGTCTTAAAACTGAATAAACGTTTCAAGTCTCCTATAAGAATTGCAATGAAAAATGAATGTGTCTGCAGCATTTCCGTACAAATCAGAACAAACACTATTTCTTTGTACTCATTGTTTCACTATTCTAAGAAAATAACTTCCATATTAATATTAGGGGATGTGACAAAGCATGTCTTCATCATGATAAGTAACACTGGGTGTCCACACCACTACTTAGGTGGGCCTTAAATCCCAGCCAGTTTCTCTCCCTGGACAAACACCGAAGGTCCCAGCCATTTTGCAATCTCTTCACATTTCCTCCCCTGTGAGCACAGTGTGGTCCTCCAGATGCCCTGAGTAGTGGCCTCTCTTGTCTCAGGGGGCGGGGCAGTGTGAGTGATGATCCCAGAGGGGAGAAAGCATGTCAGGGGACCCCTGGGTCATTATAACAGAAAATGATGGGCCTCGGAGAGCCATTTTGGGAGGACATAGAGACAGGCCTTGCGGGTACATCTGCATGGAGGGCCTTGGTTGAGCCCAAACTGAGCCTCAAGTGGTAGCCGGCCTCAGGGCATGGAAGGGAGCCGGCGAGGGATGATGAGACAGCTGCCCCTTGAGCCTTGCTTCTTACCCACTGACCTTAGATCCTTATACCTCTTAGGTGGCTTGAGGTTCCCCAATCCTGAAATGAGGGTGTTACAGTTCCCAGATGGCCATTTCTCCGCCAGACCATGGATGGCCTGGGACTGCTCACTGCAGTCACCTCCCTGAGGCTTGGATTCTCCATGTGGGGCACAACTCCAGGGATCAAAGGCCTCTCAGTCCCCAGCCTAGACTGCTCACCTGGCCTCTTCTCTGTTCCCTCTCTAATGGCCTCCCTCCCTGGAGAAGTACTGCAGGGGACTGAGCCTGGCACACGTGGACTCTGAGCCCTTTGGAATTGTGGGTATGGAAGACCTACACACTAACTGGCATCCTGAGTGGCAGGCTCTGGCTGATGATCTGGGGGACTGCAGATGTAGGTACAGGACAGGTCAGGTCATGGCTCAAAGTCAATTCCCCATAAGCCAAGGCAAGGTTCTTTCCTATGATGTCCCACTGTGGCGCCTACCTCAGGAATCCTGCCAGAACCTGGGCAGTCACAGTCAGCCAATGGGCTGAAGAAGCTCAGGTAGGAAGTGTACTGCCTGCAGCTGGAGGCTTGACCTTCATGATCCCACAACCACTGGACTGCAGTGGAATGAGACTCCCTGTATCCTGGAGAGAGAGGAGTCAGGAAGGTTCATGCCAGACCTACCCTCCCACACACCAGCTCCCCTACCATGCTGGGAGGTGCTCCTTACCTAGGATGCCAATGCAATACTCCTGAATGGTCACTTCATTGTGGAAGTAAAGATTGTGATGAAAGGAAAACTTGATCCTGCCACCGGTACCTGGGATGGCTGAGTTCCTCCCCTTACCTGGCCAAGAAGGAGGAAGAGGATGCACTCAAAGGACCATTTCATGTAGCTGGGGTGAGGTGACCTGCTAGCTGGGGTGAAGCATGCGTTTCCCCTTCCCAACTCTCCCGCTGAGACAACCCCGGGTCCCAGGGGGACCTCAGTCTGACCCAGACACCGGACCCCTACCGCATACCCAGGCTCCTTAGCCTGACCTGCAAATCCATCATGCAGCTTAGCAGGACTTCATCATTTGTGATCCCGGCCAACATCTGGGTCTGCCGCACGATCTGCCTCTGGTTAAGGAGCCGCCAGATGATTGGGTGGGCGTGAAGGGAAACACCCTGCAACTTTGCAAGAGCACGGAGAGTGTGGGGCAGGGCTACCGTGCAGGCCGTTGGTCTGGCACCCTCCCTTCCCGCTCCTCTGCCTCTGTCTGGCGCTGGGGGGCACCTTTGCGGCTGTGGTGGTCCTGGCGGCGGGTGGAGGAGGCAGGCCCAGACAGTCTACTCTGACCAGAGGCAGGCACAGAAGAAGTGGGGAGGGGGTTGCGGGAGGGGTGTTGTGGTGTGAGGCGGCTACTTTCTCAGGGTTCCTGAGCTGTGGGAGGCCCTCGTGTGCTGGGTGCTGGACAGGTTCTGCTGCTGTCCGGGTGTGCGGTGTCCTCTTCTCCTGGTCTCACTGAGGGGTGGGCCTGTCCACCCGAGGGAACCGCTGTGGGTAGAAGTTGCTGCAGGGCTGTGCCTGGCTCTCCCCGTGAGACTCGAGTGGTTTCAACGGAGGTTATATATGCTCAGGGCCTAACCATCTTTGTGTGCAGCGCTGGCAGAGGGAAGAAATCCTGTCTGGGGAGCTGGTGCCTGCCTTGCAGAGGACAGCAGTCCCATGCACTGTGAACCCGAGTCTTGAGGACCTTGTGTTTCTGAGGTAAGCCTGCTGGACATAGGCACGGGGAGCAGGGGTAGTTCCCTGGCTGGCCTGGGCACGCAGACTCCCCTTCCTTCAGGGATTTTCCCAGTGAAAAGTGTCCTTCGACTTTCTGCTGTTTATGACGGGTCCTTTGAGCTGCTATTCTCCCTTGTGAGTATTGTGCTTGGCTTCATATCCCTACCTCGTGCCCGCAGGGGACACGGAATTTTGCTGCCCTTCTATCTGCATGAGTCTGTCCTTGGTTCCTCTCATTGTCCCCCATACCCTGAATCCTGGCTGAGCTCCGGTGCCTACCACCTTGTTTCCCCCAACCCCGCTCCCGGGAGCTCGGCGCCCACCCACTGCTGCCAGCCATCCCGAATTGACAGCTGCAAGGATATGGCTCTGGCCCAGAAGCCGGGGATGTCCCGCGGCCTGGGGCATTTACCGAGCCCAGCTCCACGTGAAGGACGTCCAGCGAGTCCGTTGCCGGCGGGGGCATACTAGGGCCAAGGCCAGGCTGGGCCTGCTGGGCCTCCTGCTGCCGCTCCACATTGGCCTCCTCCTTGGCCACCACCTCCATCTCTGCCATGATGTCATCCCCCACTGGCATGCCTCTTCCCCCAGGGTTGTCTCCCTGCTCTCCACACAGGCCGCCCTCTTCTGCAGAGCCTCCACCTTAACACGATGCCCTCCTTGAGGCTTCCACTGACTAAGGCCTGCACCGCCCATCTCACGTCCCTGGCACCCCTAGACCCTAGGGGAATCTGCCGGAGGGGCCCCCGGGCCTTGCCCTGCTGAGACCCATGTCCCACACCTACGTGGATGCAGGGTTCCCGGGGAGCCCCTCAGGGCCCACAGCTCGCCCCACTCGCAATGCGGCCCAGACACCCAGCAGGGTTAGCTGCACACAGTAGCCCTGGAGTTGGAGGCCGACGCCCTGGGCTTCCAGAGCCCCGCTAGCAGGCAGGACGGCCACTGCTGCCCTTGCGGGAGCCTCTGCGCCAGGAAGGCAGTGCACACGGGTCATCGGATTGGCGACCATGGTGGCTGGCCTCCCATGTGCCCACGGCACAGGATGAGAAGTCCTTTGGAATGCCCCTATGAGTACAGCATCCTCAGGGAGGAAGCATGGAACTCAGAGTCTGTATTTGGCTAGACCTTAGAGAGTCCTTGTGGGGTTTCAGCTTCTATTGCAGACAAATTCCACCCCAGCAACGTACCAGTCGACTTTCCTCACAGGCAACCGCCCTGCCCCACTCCCCTCAAACCACCGCCGCCGCCCTCACCCCAGCAGGCAGCGCTGGTCCCTCTCTCTCCCCTCTGGATCTGCAGTATTTAGTACCATCAGCCTAGCCTGCCTTACGAAGTAAGATGTTTCATGTGTTCTTTGTGGGTTAATTAATGTCTTGCCACACTCAGGATGCCAGTTAGGGTGTAGGTCTTCCAAGCCCACAATTGCAAAGGGCTCACAGTTCGCCTGTGCCTCAATCTACCGCTGCCCGCCACATGGCACAAGCGTGGTCTCGGAAGAGTTACCGCGACATAATGGAGCTGCAGGCCCGCAGGGGCGGAGGGGCCTCAGGACTCGCCCACAGCCTTTGCAGTAACTGGCTGACGCCCACCGCCTTCGCAATGATTGGCCGCTGGAGGTAGGCGGGATTTCCGGGCACGGCTTCCGGCGTCCTTCCCTCTCAGGGTAGCTCCAGCTGTCCCTCCCGCAGTTGGCCCTGTGGTGTTCCGAAGCCGGTTACGTACGGCCTGAGGGCCAGGCGAACCTCAGGCTCTTTGTCCTACTAAAAAGCGCAGGTATTTTCTGTTTCTCTGGACAGCTGGGTCTCTCGGCAAGAATAGAAAGCGAAGGTTTGGGATTTTGTCTATAAAAGGGGATGGGTTTTCTATGTGTGGGTGTTGAATTATGGGAGAAGACAGTGGGGAGAGAACTCCTTAGTGCTATTAAGAAACTCATTTTTGTTAAACTCATTGATTTTTCTTGAGGGTTCTACCTTTAACTGCCTAATATGTCCGACTAGTTGTGGGAGATTGTGCTAAGGCGCCATTGTTTTCATATGCACTTTTTATTAAAGCGGGTTTTCTCTGTGACTGTGGTCATCATTCAAAATACAGGCAATATACTTAACCAAGGCGATTAAAAACGTATACTTTTAGTCAACGCATGTCACATCTCTGATTTGCTTGACGGGAATTATCAACTTTTGACATAAATTGTGTTACCTTAGTTAATGTAGAAGTCTGGGGCCATAAATAATCTCAGTTTAACTTTGACTCTGTAAAGACTGTAAAGGTCTCCTTCCTTGTATGACAGTATTTGAAACATGTTTTATGTATGTTTGGCACCGTAAATAATTTAAACCGAATAAGTGGGTGTAATCCAGATAAATGGAGTTGGATAGCCTAAAATGGGAACAAAATAGATGCGCTTAAATTATTCTGTTAACCAGGCACACTGCCTTACTCCTGTAATCCTAGCATTTTGGGAAGTGGAGGTCGGAGGATGGCTTGAAGTCAGGAGTTTGAGACCAGCCTGGGTAACGTAATGGACTCTTTCATTGCTATTTTCGCATCAGGGACTGGTTTAGTGGAAGTCAGTTTTTCCTCAGACAAGGGTTGCGCAGGGGAAGAAGGCGACGAGGTGGACAGGTTTGGGAGTGGGGGCTGGCGGCAGGTCTCCGAGGGGCACGTGGTGGGGCGGGTCTTCCGGTAGGAGCAATGTGACAGAGGCCAGGTGGGGCAGTGAGGCTGTCACGGGGACAGGGAGGGCCAGCGAGGGAGTAGGCAGGATGGTTTCCGGATAAAACTGTACCACCTCAGGTCATCCTCAGGCGTTACATTCTCCACAGACAGGTATTACAGGTCATCCTCCGGCATCACATTCAGGCCACAGATAGGTAAGGGTTGAAGGCTAGGGTTTGGGGATCTTTGACCTATTGTATATTTCAAATCACTTAAAGATGGTAAAATATTTAAAATGTTCACCCCAAGAACATTTTAATTTGCTTGATTTAATCTTTTATCCGCGTATCTCGCTGGCCGTGGTTGTTCACCCTTGAAATCCCATCACTTTGGTAGTCCTAAGCCGGCAGATCACTTGAGCCCAGGATTTGGAGACCGGCTTCGGCAATATGGGGAAACCCGTGTCTATTCACACACACACACACACACACACACACACGCACACAAAATTACACAGCTGTGGTAAAAAGCCCTTGTAGTACCAGCTACTTGGGAAGCTGAGATGTGGGAAGATCAGTGGAGGCTGGGTGGAGGAGGCTGCAGTGAGCAGCGGACTTCGGCAACAGGAGATACACATCTCAAGAAAGAAAATACACAAAACATCACAGTGTACCTCATAAATGTATAGTTTTCAAATAAAATTATTTAAATGGGGGCAACCTTCACATTACAACTTAGTAAAATTACAATAGCTTTTCTTATCTTATTTATAGAAATGAGATTTTGTCAGGTACGGATTATAATGCAGCATTTGTCCATGAAATCAGTGCCCCCTTTGCTCTGTATGTTACAAATTTTATATATTTAAAGTAAGAAATACTAAAACGATGTCAGCCTCTGGAAGGGAATTTTACTTGAGTTTTCAACACAGTATGTAATAAAATTTTATCTTTTTAGCATATTTATTTTTATCTAAATATAGATTTTTCTTTGACCACTTGCAGCACAATGGTAGAAGCAGATCGTCCTGGCAAGCATTTCATTGGTGGCCTAAATAGGGAAAACAATGAAAAGATGTTTAAAGCAGTATTTGCGAAACATGGTCCCATATCAGAAGGTAACCCTTAAAACCATGGGTGTGTGTATATTTCAATGTGTATATTTAAAATATGTATGTTATGTATGTGCTTTGAAAAAATGTATGGTTTTCAAAGTTCATTGTATACCTACATTAAAATGCCTTATTTTTAAACTCTTATTTTGAAGTATCTATTTGATATTTGGAAAATTCTCATAGTAGCAGGTTAAGGGTCTGTGTAAGGATCACCTACTACTTAGAAAGGAAAATGAGGAAAAGTAAATGTGTTGTGGAGTTAGGGAACAAACTGGAATAAAATAGGCTGACTATAGGGGTGACTTAGTATTAAGAATCATAGTAGTGAAGTAAAATGCAATTATTTTTTGATGTGATGTAACTTTCAGATGGTTAGTACCTTGGTGAGTCCATTATATACATGGAAATGTTTTCATGTATTTTAGTTCTTTTGATAAAGGATCGAACCAGCAAATCCAGAGGCTTTGCATTTACTACTTTTGAGAACACTGCAGATGCTAAGAATGCTGCCAAACATATGATTGGAAAGGTAAGAGTCCCTTATTAATAGTATTCTAACTCTGTTCTTCAATTAAGAGTATTTCTAGGTCTTTTTAGTATTATGTAACTTTTGAAGTTAGTAGAATGCCATATGAAGCCATGCTCTTCTTTGTGCCATATACATCCAATTGTAGTTGGAAGGGTATTGGAATTAACATTATATAGATTAATATATGGTAACCTTTTTCTAAGTTTGTATTTCAATACGAATGTAAATAGATTTTAAAAGGTTTTGAAGAGCTTTAAAACTTATAAGGAGCCCTCATGTAAATGAAAGGAATAAGTCAACATTTATTAAATGCTATTAAGGGAATTACTTCCAATTCATGGAACTACTTCTAGAGCATAGAAAAACTGTGGATAGACATCTAGACAGACTCACAAGAAGGAAAGATTCTCTCTCATTTTCTGAAAAACATATTCTTGAGAAACTATATTAAAATAAGACTTTTACATTTAAGGAAGTGGTAAGTACTTGAAAATAGAAAAACGTATGATAACACTGAAGTTGGATAACAGAAGAAGTAACTGGCATTTTTGGCCCATCCTTGCTCTTTTCTGCTAAGGACGTTTTTCTCCTGTCACCAGAGTGATTTATGTAACACGAATACCTAATTACTCATTGTCCCAGTGTGTTTGAGGACTTGTTTTGATCCAACCAATGGTCTCTTGTCCTATTGAGTCTTAACTCTAGGGATTGTGTGTTTACAAAAGCTTTAAACTTTTATGTAATTCTATTAACTATTGAATTCCTTTACATTGTAGTCAATATCATTCCATTCTGGGCCCTTTAGAGCTTTTTTGCTTTGTAACATTACCCCAATCCGGCTGGGCGTGGTGGCTCACACCTCTAATCCCAGCACTTTGTGAGGCTGAGGTGGGCAGATCACAAGGTCAGGAGAACGAAACCATCATGGCCAACATGCTGAAACCCCGTCTCTACTAAAACACAAAAAATTAGCCATGCGTGGTTGTGTGTGCCTGTAGTTCCAGCTACTTGGTAGGCTGAGGCATGGGAATCAGCTGATCCCGGAGGCAGAGGTTGCAGTGAGCCAAAATCAGGCCACTGCACTCCAGGCTGGTGACAGAGCAAGACTCTTTCTCAAAAAAAAAAAAAAAAAAGAAAAGAAAAATAACATTATCCCAATCTGTTTTTAGTTCCTGTTAGTCATTACGCTATCCCAAAAATGCCTTTTTGGACTTCCTGGGAATTTTCCTTCCCCGTGTATGTCTCACAAATAATAATTTATGCTTCAAAACAACTTAGATTTCATATTTTCTTCCTCATTGCATATTGTAGGTATTTTGTACTCACAGTACCATATATTAACCTATTGATAGTGAAATTGTATGTAGTGCATATTTCAGTGTTCCTGGTTGCTTTTCTCTTACATCTATCATACTTCCTGGCACATAGCAGAAAGTACATTTTTATTCATTCTTATAAATTAATATTTTAAGCTGTGTTAGAAACCGAGAGTAGCTTTCGGTTCATGGCTTTGTGGTAAGTATGGAGATAATTTTGACTTACATATAGTAATCTATGATAATTTCTCCCCCCTCCGCAATTTTCAAGCAAAAGAGCAGGTAATTTGTGTAGAGTTTTGTTTGTTTGCTTGTTTGTTGTTTAAGATGGAGACTCACTGTGTCACCAGGCTGGATTGCAGTGGGGCGATCTTGGCTCATTGCAACCTCTGCCTCCTGGGTTCAAGTGATTCTCCTGCCTCAGCCTCCGAGTAGCAGGGACTACAGGCATGCGCCACCACGCCCAGCTAATTTTTGTACTTTGAGTAGAGTCGGGGTTTCACCCTGTTGGCCAGGATGAGCTCTATCTCTTCACTTTGTGATCTGCCCACTTCAGCCTCTCAAAGTGTTGGGATTACAGGCGTGAGCCACCATGGCCAATGTTATTTCTAAATTACTTCATCTCACATATTTTATTGTGTTAAAATAACTATGAATGTTGTATGCACATTAATGTTAAGATGGCCAATAAAGGAGGTTCTTTGAGTTTTCAGGGGGAATTAACAGTTAAGGAATTTTGGCTGACTTCAGAACACTGGGAAGGAAGCAGCCGTGGGCAAATCTGGGGAAAATATTTTGAGCCCAGAAATAACAAAAGAAGTTTCAAGGTAGGAACAACGGGCGATGTGGCTGCAAGCGGTCTTGTTCAGGGATTTAAGTCCTTCCTCCAAATAACAAAAGCCATGTAATTTTTAAATCGCATTATTAGCTGAACTGTTTTCAAAAATTGCTGTGGCCTGTAGAAAAGATTACAGTGAAAAATGTTATTATGAAATTAATTAGGATAGTTAAGCATTTCTGAGAAATTACCTGAAGTACTATATTAAGATTCGTTTTTTAGGGGCACGTCTAAGGCAATGTAAGAAATGAGTATGGCAAGAAAACTTAATGAGATCGAACAAGGATCACATTTACAGAAACATTTTTAGAGTCAATATAGAATTGTAAATCATATGGGGATATTTTATGTAAGTGTTAGCAAATCCAACAAGAAACACCTCATAATGAGTAATGTGACTAATCACTTTGAATAAGTAACCTCATTTTTTTAAATGACACAAGTTTCATTGGGACACTGAAACTTTTAAATTAGTGACGTGAATACAAAGATGAAGTGGATGATATATTGGGGAAAAAACAGATGTGCCACATTCCTCCATAGAATATTTGATGGGTTAATCTCTTTTTGTTAGTTTGAGGATTTTTTTTTTAAATAATGGAGAAGTTTTCAAGGAATTTGAATAATAGAATTTGTGTTTGATCCCTTAATGGAAGGCATGTGCTCAGTAAATGTCTCAAATTTGGCATTGTGAAAGATGTGTTCATTTTAGGAGAAAAAAACAAAAGTTTGCTTTGGGAGAAAATATCTAGAATTGAGCTATAGTTGATGTAAAAATGCTTGTAAAATGTGCTTAGGTTAAATATGCCAGTGTTATTGATAATACTCTTAATACTTTAGCCTTTGGATGGAAAAGCAATAAAAGTAGAACAAGCCAAGAAACCATCTTTTCAAAGTGGTGGTAGGCAGAGACCACCAGCTTCCTCAAGAAGCAGAAGCCCTTCAGGATGTCTGAGATCTGCAAGAGGAAGTAGTGGAGGAACAAGAGGATGGCATCCCTCACATGAAGGACGCTTGGGTAATGTTTTAAAATGTAAAGATGGAACCATAGGACTGAAAGAAAATAAGTTTGAAGATATCGAAATTTCTCAATTATATTTATTTCCTTTATGAACAGAAAATTGACTTATAATAAGCAAACTTATTTCTAAGTACTAAAGGTGTATTACAAGAATGATTGAAGTAATATCTAAAATTTGTTGTAAAATTGTAATAACGTTGGATTGAAATAACACAAATTTCAAACTGATTTGATTTTATGAATGCCAATTGCTGCTACTCAACAGGTTTTCTGCAGAACTCATTTATATTCATCATACTTTAGAGTTTTCTACTTTGGGGCCCAGAACTTCATATCAGTTGTATTATCAAAGTAAGCAATATTTAAAACTTTCCAACAGGGAAAAGTAACTCAGTACTTAAGATTGATTTTGCAATATTTGTTTTCTTGTATATATGTGTGCAAACATCTATGCAAATGTATTGCTTTGTAATTTTGATACAGAGAGTTTGTACATTGGCCTGCCATAAAGCATTTTCAATTTAAGAAATGTAGAACTTTAACTTCTGCAAAGAGTCTGTGACTCTGAAAAGGTCTAAAAACCACTGCTTCACATATATGTATGTATCTTTGTTTGCTGGAGGATAAGACACTGAAAATGATATTTATAGTGATTTACACAATAGAAATGAGGGGTCAATTTTTACATAAAAAAGAAAAACCACGTATTTTTTAAAAAAGAAAAAACTATTGGATGGGCTGGGTTTAGTAACTCATGCCTGACATCTCAGCACTTCAGGAGTACGGAGCAGGTGGACCATGAGGTCAGGACTTCCAGACCAGCCTGGTCAACATGGTGAAACCCTGTCTCTCCTAAAAATACAGAAAATTAGCCTGGCATGGTGGCATGCACCTGTAATCCCAACTACTCAGCTGAGGCAAGAAAATCGCTGGAACCTGGGAAGTGGAAGCTGCAGTGAGCCGAGATCAGGCCATTGCACTCCAGCCTGGGCAATAGGGCAAGAGTCCATCTCAATAAATAAATAAATAAATAAATAAATAAATAAATACCTATCGGTTAACTTGTATTATCTATTAACTAACCTTCAATAATCTAACATTTAACTTGGAGTTTTAATAACCAGATGTGTAATTAATTGGAGATTTTTTTAAGTGGAAATTGCAGTGTTTGCTCCATTTTAAGATGCATAGCTACATGGTTATTTTGTCTCCATTGCTTTTGAGGGTGAAGTTCAACAACACTCCACCATGTCTGAGAATGTGTGTATTCTAACCTGTAACACCACCTATGTTATGTATGTAGATATATTGCCGCATATCTACATTTTTTGTAGATATATAAAAATCTTTATATATTATTTAATATGCAATTCTTAATGACTATTAAAATTTAGCATAGTGTAATCTGAAAATTAGTGTTTCATAAGGGAATTGTAAGAATTCTATATTATGTTAACAAATTTTAGAGATAATGTATTTTCCTGATGTGTCACTTTTTGATATCATAAATATTTGAATTTGTTTGAATGGAATTTAGTTTATCTTTATGACATGCTTTGAAAATTTTTCCTCAAAACACAATGATATAAACAGTCATTTATCATTTTTCTTTTAATATTTTATGTCTATTATACTTAGATATTTTAGTGATAGATTTCTGCTCCCTGTTCACTCCCCAATTTGTCTTCATCTCTCTCTCACACCAATATATTATGATTCTTGAGTTTCTTTCTAGATTTTCTCAACAGACTTTTATTGCTTGAACTGTACTTATTTCATATAGAAATGTTAATTTTATTAGCTTAGACAAATATGAATTTATAAGATGATAATATGTAGATAATCTTTATAAACAACTAAAACTTAGCCATTTAAGAAACAGTGATGTTAGTTAACTGAAAAGATTTTGTTTGAAATACAGATGATGATGCATACTCTCTTGATCTCAACACGAGTTCTTCTAGGCAACCCATTCTAGTTAAAAGAGGTCCCTCTTCAAAAAGTGGAGGTCCTCCTCCTAAAAAGTCTGCTCCTTCTGCTGTGGTAAGAAGCAATAATTGGATGAGAGGCCAAGGTAAATGCTATCTGATAGAAAGACTGTAGTTTTTGTATGACTAAAAATGAGCTATTTTACCTGGATGCTTAACTTTAAGTTCACTGAACAAAGGAGAAGTGACACATACATGGGCATAATTACTGATCGATAGCTTTTATTATAGTTTCTATCTCACTGGGTACATTTCAGATTTGTTGTGAAGAAATACTTGAGCTTCTCATTGCAGATCAAAGAAGTGATTAGAGTGAGGACAACATTCCTTTTAATCCTGTGTTTGCTAGAAAATTCCCCTTAATTTTCTAAAAGTTCCTAGCAATATTCTTTGATGGTAGGCTTCTTCATCTAATGAATTCTTCCATTTCCTAGGTAGTGTTCCCCTGGTGTCCCAATCTAAAAATTGCTTGTTCAGTTTCTTTGTTGGTTTGGAGTCTTGCTCTTACCAGGTCAGAGTGCACTGGTGAGATGATGGCTTACAACGGTCTCAAATTTCTGGGCCCAAGCAATTCTCCTGCTTCAGCCACCTGAGTTTCTGCAACTACAGGCATACACCACCACAGCTAGCTAAATTTTTTTCCTTATATTTTTGTAGAGAGAGGATGTTGCTGCATTGTCAAACCTGTCACTACATTGTCAAAGCCCGTGGCTCAAGCAGTCCAGCTGCCTCAGCCTTCCACACTGGCTCACAGTGTGAGCAACTGAGCCTGGCCATCCAGCTTCTGAGACCTCAGTAATGCTTATATGCAAGACATCGTTACTGCTTATACAAAGATTCAAAAGAACTGCAAGAACATTTAGCAGAAAAGGAGTCACTGGGCTTAAATATTATTTAAAAATAAATTTAAGGCTTGAAAGGTAGACATGAAGGAGTCCAATATTCTTAACTGAAGTGGATTTTACAGAAGTGCAGAGTTGTGAAATACAAGGGGATGTAAATCAATAATTAAGATTGTTCCAGGATGCTTAAACATTAACACAAGATCCTTAGTGTGAGGTTGGAAATTATTTGAGGAGCGAATTTAGATCTAAGCACATGAGGTGAGCAGTAGGATTGAATAGAAGAAATATTTTTGAGAAGGAGAATTGTAAGATTGCAGACTGAACAGAAGAAAGCAAGACAATAAATAAAAGTTTTTAGCAAAGAAGTTAAGCAGAACAAATTAAAATTCTTACTTAGTCCTCCATCCTAATATGGAGGAAATTAAAACCTGACATTTTCAATTTTACATTTCATATGTAGAGTATCAGTGAAGTCAGGTATTTATTGACTTCAGGATAGAGTATAGGTGAAGTCAGGTATTTAGTGACTTCAGGATACAGAAGCCAACACATTTCCATTGAAAAATAAGCCAGTGAACATATCACAGGTGAAAGACTGACCTCTAAGGAAAAGCACTGTGAAGAGTATATTAAAGGAGAAACTTTTCTATTTTGAAATAGCAACAGTGTTGTAATGACCCCTTTAATAGTGTTGCTTATTGCACTAAAAGTAATTCTTGGCCATCATTAGAAAGTTTTCACTAGCACATTTTAATTTGTCAACATTTAAGATAGAGCCAACTACTTAGAGTTAAAGGAGAACTGTTATGTAAAAATTTGGCATGCAGTCATTCAAAGGTAGCAGTATTTGTTTGTGTGAGGTGGATTGAACTACATGGGAAAATTTACCTTCTTCAGCTGAGAAAGGACAACATATGTAAACTTTATATTCAGTGAAGAGTTTGATGGTTTTACATGTTTTCCCTGTGTCATTGGTAATCATCAGTAATTCATATGAAAAGGAAAATATAACTAAGCAGTGATTAACCATTACAAATGAACTTTTACCTAAGAATGAGCATTTGGCTTCAGCTTCATTAGAAGAACTGGCCTTGTGGGAGCCATGGGATTATCCAAAACCATAAGAAATATTCACAGTGTCATGACTGGCTAGTAATTTATGGAACAAAGAACGGAGTCATAGAAGAAACAATTTTAAAAGTTGTTTGAGATAAGAGAAAACAGTGTTTCAGATTTGATGTTCTTTACATAAAGTTCCATCATTTTAATATTAAAGGTCCCATATCATGTGGAAGAGAGAATTATGGAGGTCCTACACGTAGACGGCCAATCTCTTCCTGGAGAAATGACCACATGTCTCTAAGAGACGATGGTTATGCAACTAAGGAGAGGTAAAGGAAAAATTTTTAAAAAGTTGATTTTTTTTTGTTGTGGTGATGAAATTTACATAACAAAATGAAATATTATAAGGTAAACAGTTAAGTGGCATTTAATACATGCTGTGTCATGCAACAACTACCTCCATCGAGTTCCAAAACATTTTCCTCACTCCAAACTAAAACTCCAATTACCAGTTAAGCAGTCCCTTCCATTTTCTCCCTTTCCTCAGCTGCTAGCAAACACTAATCAGTGTTCTGCGTCTGAACTTACTGTTGTGGGCATTTAATGTTAATGGGCTCAAACACTACATGACTTTTTGTATCAGTCTCCTTTGCTTTTGCATGATGACCTGAAGGCTGATTTACATCATAGCACTTCACTCCTTCTACAAGCTATTAACCCATTATTTTATTTGGGTTGTTTCCACCCCAGTATTTCTATGCAATGATGTTTGTTTGAATACACTTATTCAATTCTGTGTGTATATGAGTGGAATTTTTTGGTACTATGATAATTATGTATTTTCTTGAGGAACCACCACACTTCTCCATGGTAGCTCCATCCTTTTGCATTCCAACTAGCATTGTATCAGCATTCCAATTTATCTGCATCCTCTCAAACACTTGTTATTTCCTGCTTTTTAAAATTTATTGCCATTCCAGTGTGTGTGTGAAGTATGGTATCTCATTTTGGATTTGAAATGCATTTTCTGAATCACTGATTGTGAGTATCTGTTCCATGTGCTTTTTGGGCATTTGCCTATTTTATTTGGAGAAATATCTATTTAGATGTTTGGCCTTTTAATTTTGTTTAAGTTGTAACTTAGTTATGCTTTGGATACTAGAATTGAAAATTTAAATTTTTTTAATTTAATTTAATTTTTTATTATACTTTGAAGTTTTAGGGTCCATGTGCACAACGTGTAGGCTTGTTACATATGTATACATGTGCCATGTTGGTGTGCTGCACCCATTAGGTCTTCATTTAACATTAGGTGTATCTCCTGATGCTATCCTTCCCCCCTTCCCCCACCCCACAACAGGCCCCAGTGTGTGATGTTCCCCTTCCTGTGTCCATGTGTTCTCATTGTTCAGTTACCACCTATGAGTGAGAACATGCAGTGTTTGGTTTTTTGTCCTTGCCATAGTTTGCTGAGAATGATGGTTTCTAGCTTCATCCATGTCCCTATAAAGGACATGAACTCGTCATTTTGCATGGCTGCATAGTATTTCATGGTGTATATGTGCCACATTTTCTTGATCTAGTCTATCATTGTTGGACATTTGGGTTAGTTCCAAGTCTTTGCTATTGTGAATAGGCCCTCAATAAACATACGTGTGCATGTGTCTTTATAGCAGCGTGATTTACAAACCTTTGGGTATATACCCAGTAATAGGATGGCTGGGTCAAATGGTATTTCTAGTTCTAGATCCCTGAGGAATCGCCGCACTGACTTCCTTAAACTTATGAACACAGAAATCATCCAAGCTCCTGAGAAACTAGGACACCACCTAGAGACTATGCATACCATGATTATGGTCATTCTAGCTGGGATGAACATTCTTCTAGAGGATATAGGTACTACAACTTTTTCTGGATTTGTCAAAAAGATTTCTTAAATTATTCATTCTAACTAATGTTGTATCAGGGTTCCAGTTTATCTACATACTCTCAAACACTTGCTCTTTCCTGCTTTTTAAAATTTATTGCCATTCCAGTGTG
This sequence comes from Homo sapiens, assembly GCF_000001405.40. NCBI lineage: Eukaryota > Metazoa > Chordata > Mammalia > Primates > Hominidae > Homo > Homo sapiens. Next base: position 22,320,609 of record NC_000024.10, read on the forward strand.
TTTATGAAGTCTGGAATCTCATTTTGGATTTGAAATGCATTTTCTGAACCACTGATTATGAGTATCTGTTCCATGCGCTTTTTGGGCGTTTCCCTATTTTATTTGGAGAAATATCTGTTTAGATGTTAGGCAATTTAATTATGTTTAAGTTGTAATTTAGTTATATTTTGGATATTAGAAGTTGAAAATTTAAAATTTGTTGCTTAAACTTACACACACAGAAATCATCCACGCTCCTGAGAAACCAGGGATTATGCTCCACCACCTAGAGACTATGCATACTGTGATTATGGTCGTTCTAGTCGGGATGAACATTCCTCTGTAGGATATAGGTACTATAATGTTATCTGGATTCATCAAACGGGTTTCTTAAATTGTTTATTCTGACATTTAAAAACTTTTTTCAATTTACTGATCCTGTTGGCTATGGTGAGACCAGTGGTAGAGATCATTCTGAACATACAAGTGGAAGTTCTTACAGAGATGCATTTCAGGGATATGGTAAGAGTCTAGGATGGATTTTTAAATTACAGAATTTTATGTAATAGACCAGATCATTATTTTAATGAAATTCTAAGGAAAATTATAAAGGACAATATAGCATGTTTAAATATTGAGTATTCTTAACAGTATAAAGCATAGGGAACGATATGAAGGAGAGAACTTCAGTTCACGTGCAGAAAATATGACTCAATGTTTACTTTAGGATTAAATTTGTTAAGCTTCAAAATACTACTCTCACACTACTTTTAAATAAAACCTTCTGACCAATGCAGGCTTAATTAATATCTATCCTGTCAACAAGGGCAGAGGAAAGCAGATATTTCCAAATAGTAATTTAACTAATTCATCCTTTAGTGATGGCAGTAAAAAATGTTTAATTGTAGTCCAACATATTATTTTATCAGCCTGCAGGGACCTCTCATGGTGCACCACCTGCACGAGGGCCTCGGATGTCTTATGGTGGAAGCAGCCGCCCTGATTATAACAATACACTAGATAGATATGGCAGAAGTCAGGAGAGTTACTCAAGAAGCTGCGGTGATTTTTATTTTTGTGGTCATGAGCACGTTGGCAGAAAAGACCAAAGGAATCCACTTTCTCTGGATAGGGTGCACCCTGCTCGTCGTGAAGCATATGGTAGCTCAAGTTATGTGGCATCTACAATAGATGGTCGGGAAAGTAGATCTGAAAAAGGAGACTGAAGCAGATATTAAAGCAAGTATTCCAAATAGTAGCTATTGCATACCAAAGCTTGTTTGCAAATTGAAAATTGACGTGTTATTTCTACATTGTTACCTGCATATTACTGAAAGAAACATGTTAGTATTGGGGAGAGATGTAGATACTAACTTCCTCCATCAATCTGTTGAGGTATTCCAAGGAAAACAATTTTTTTCGGAGTAATTTCATACTTGTTAATGCTATTTGAAAACTATCTGTTTAGATGTAATATCTACATTAAAAATTTCAGAAAAAATTTTACATGTAATGCAAAATAGCTGATGTTATTGGTTAGCTGCACATGCTTAAAAGCAAATACAATAGAAGAGTAAATTGTGTTTTTGTTGAACATTTTCCTTTGTTTCTCTGAACATAAATATATACAAAATTAGGCATATGTTACATCTCCCTGCAAGCTGCACAAGTTTTCTAATTAGGCCTTTTCTCTTTAAAAACTTACAAGCTTGAAATGTTTGAGACTCCTTCAGAAGGACTACAAAACTGTCTGCCTCATCATAAAACATTTATTTTTTAGAGGAATAGTACAGGTGAACGGAAATAATTAGATGTGGTTGATACTAAAGTTTAAAACATCTGGAACATTCTACCTGAAGCATTCTGTGACTGAAGGGGTATAATGGTAATGAAACCTTTTTTTTTTACCTAAATCAAAACTGAACCAGCTAAGTTTCTCAAGTGAATAACATAATGAAATTAAATGTTCCTAGTTTAAATAGTGGAAAGTAGGTGTTTTATCTTGGGAGGTACTCATGTTAGTTTTTTCTTGAAAGTTTTGACAATGGTTATTGTAAGTAATGATTTAGTAATAAGTTCTTACAAATAGAGATAATCTAGAATGGTTGGGATTTTATCAAAATTTTTTTTTGAGATGGAGTGTAGCTTTGTCGCCCAAGTTGGACTGCAGTGGCTCCATCTTGCCTTACTTCAACCTCTGCCTTCTGGGTCCAAGCTATTCTTTTGCCTCAGCATCCTGAGTAACTGTTATTAGAGATGTGTGCACCACAGCTCGCTAATTTTTTGTATTGTTAGTACAGACAGGGTTTCACCATGTTTGCCAGGCCGTTCTTAAAAATCCTGATCCACCCTCCTTGGACCCCCAAAGTGCTAAGATTACAGGCATTAGCCCCTGCACTCAGCCTATCAAATTTAATTGATGATATGAATGGAAATGATTTACCTCATACTTTTGGGAAAATGAAGTGTATAAAACATAAACAACAGCATAAAGTTTCAGATGGATTGCTTAAAGGTTTGAGCAATCATCGAATGATAAAAATAAAAAGATTTGGACCTAAATAACTAAGTCGATTTATTTTCCTGATTATGCAACCTAGAAAAATGAAATACATGAAGTTCCAGAAGTTTTGCCGTCCATAATTCTTACAATTAACAGACTAATCTGCAAGGAAGGAGTATTTTCCTGAGAAAATTTTGACAAGATCATCACTTTTTATAGGGTAAGGGTGCAAATAATTTTAAAGGGAGAAGTTACCAACTTCGATTTTCAAGTGAGTTATTCATGTTGTGAAGTTGTGTTTTTATTCAGCTGTAGGATTGTGAGGATGAAGTGAAAAGATAAAACTCCCTAGTTTTGCATATCTTACTGTCCAGTTGTGATGGCTCAGGTCTTTAATTCCAACATTTGGGGAGGCCAAGGCTTGCAGATCACTTTAGGTCAGGAGTTCAAGACCAGGCTGGCCAACATCATGAAATCCCATCTCTAGCAAAAATATAAAAATTAGCCATGTGTGGTGGCACATGCCTGTACTGTTACAGTTAATTGGGAGGCTCAGGCAGTAGAATCATTTGAACCTGGGCGGCTGAGCCTGCAGTGAGCCGATATTATGCCATGCATTCTAACCTGGGCGACATTCCTCCTTCACTCTATTAATTCTTTTGAGATATACAATAAATCATAATTAAATGTACTCATTCTGTGCTACCGAACACTAGATCTTATTCCTTCTAAGCAACTATAATTTAACCCACCCTCATCAGCTCTTTGATCCCGTCCTTACCAGTACACATTGCTTGTATCAAAATATGGCAGGTATGCCAAAAGTATCTATGACTGTTATGTACAAATTTTTTAAAATAAGTAAAAAAATAATAAAAAGGATATCTCCAACAAGTTGATAAAATAGAAGGCTCTAATTTGTTCCTCCATCCACAAATGCAACAAATAAAAGCCACACCCACATCAATTCCCTATGAGATAAACTCAGAAACTAGTTGAGATACTCTTGCACATAGGATTGTGAAAATGCTCACTTAAAAAGAGGTAAGAAAAACTGAATCATGATCTTGTTCTAGAGTTTGTGTCTGACACAGTGCCCTAGAGTCAATAGGGAACTGTTATTTCACAGCTTCTCTCAGAGGACTGAAGTATTAAACCACATATGTAATGCCCCAACTGTTACAGCTGCTTCTCAAGGAAATTATTACCTATCTCTGGATTCTAGCACAGATTGGTATTCATAACTCTCCTAGGACCTCCAAGATAAAGAGGGATTTAAATAGACATTCAAGCACTTCTAAAACTGTTTCCTCCTGGTTTACTGAATCTCAAGTAGTCAAGAAAACTCAGCTCCCACTTTGTACCTTGAAGATCTTAGATTGTACATCTAACGTCTTGACATTTTTTTTGTTTGTTTTTCTTTTGAGACAGAGTCTTGCTCTGTTGCACAGGCTGGAGTGCAATGGCATGATCTCGGCTCACTGCAAACTCTGCCTCCTGGGCTCAAGTGATTCCCCTGTCTCAGCCTCCCAAGTAGCTGGGATTACAGGCACCTGCCACCATGCTATGCTAACTTTTGTGTTTCTTAGTAGAGACAAGTTTTCACCATGTTGGTCAGGCTGGTCTCAAACTCCTGACTTCAGCTGATCCACCTGCCTTGGCCTCCCAAAGTGATAGGATTACAGGCGTGAGCCTGCACCCAGCCATATCTTGACTTTAATAGCTTCTGCCAGTTCTCCTGACTTGGATCTGTCAGGATCCTCTGAGAGCAGGCACATAGGCATTTCTCATCAGTCTTCATCATCCCTCACTCTAACAATATATAGAGCTTCCAAATTTTCCTTCCAAGAAGTCAGATTACCCAACTATGGCCCTGACTTCTCAGGTTGCTGCCTAAGAGTCTGAATACTAACTTGCCAATCTCGGGAAGCTAATGAATCCCAGCTTTTTGTAGTTCCAGGATTCTAAAGAGGAAAAAGGATTGTTTTACTGTAACTCGGCATGATTTTTAAACTTGCCTATTGATATAGTTTGGACATTTGTCCCTCCAAGCCTCAGGTTGAAATGTGGTCCTCCACATTGTTAATGGCATCTAGTGGGAGGTGTTTGTTTGTGTCATGGGGATGGATCCGTCATAAATGGCTTGGTGCCCTCACCATGGTTATTAAGTGAGTTTTCCACTGTATTAGTTCCCACGGTGGAGATTACATCCAAAGAAGTTGTTGAAAAGAGCCTGATACCTTCTCCTCTTCTCTCTCTTGCTCTCTCCACACCTGACATGTCTGTTTTCCTTTTACCTTCTGTCCTGAGTGGAAACCTGGCGAGGCTTTCGCCAGATGCAGATGCTGGCACCACACATCTTTTACAGCCTGCAGAACCAAGATCCAATGAAAGCTCTTTTCTTTATAAATTTTCCAGTCTCATAGTCTTTTATAGGAACACAAACAGATTAAGATATGTATCTCTGGCTGATAACTTGCCTATATCAGTAAGCAGTGGAGCTCAGAATTTGCTATTTCCTGCATTCCATAGAGGACAAAGAGGTAGTTTTCAGTGGTCCTGTGAGCTCTTCCTTAAATCCAACCCTTGGTTTGCTCTAGCTTTCAGCTTTTCCATGGAAACACCCCAACATTTTAAACTCCTCCTCCCTTAGGACCACTATTTTTTCTTTGAGATCTGATCTCACTTTGTCACCCAGGTTGGAGTGCAGTGGCATGATCCCAGCTCACTTTGACCTCTACCTCCTGGGTTCAAGAGATACTCCTGCCTCAACATTCCATGTAGCTGGTACTACAGGCACGTGCCACCAGACCTGGCTAATTTTTTATTTTTTGGTATGTTTAGTAAAGAGGGGATTTCACCCTGTTAGCCAGTGTGGTCTTGACCTCCTGACCTCATGATATGCCCACCTTGGCCTCTGAAAGTGCTGGGGTTACTTGCATGAGCCACTGTGCTCAGCCTGAACCAGTCTTTCAACTTGCCTGTTTCTAGGGTCTGATGTGACAGAATAGGCATTCTGTGATTCTCCTAACTCCCTCCCTCTCTGCAAAACCAAAACCTCAACTCACAGCTATCCTTAGATAAGGACACCTTAGTGAATGATTCTATAACTTGGGATTGAATCTGTGACACCTTCTTCAGTTGTAGAACTGAGAATAGCCACACACATAGAATAAAAGAACAGTTTTTTTTTTTTTTTTTTTTTTTTTGAGGCGGAGTCTCCCTCTGTTGCCCAGGCTGGAGTGCCATGGTGTGATCTCGGCTCACTGCAAGCTCCGCCTCCCGGGTTCACGCCATTCTCCTGCCTTAGTCTCCTGAGTAGCTGGGACTACAGGTGCCTGCCACCACACCCAGCTAATTTTTTGTATTTTTAGTAGAGACGGGGTTTCACTGTGTTAGCCAGGATAGTCTTGATCTCCTGACCTCGTGATCTGCCTGCCTTGGCCTCCCCAAATGCTGGGATTACAGGCATGAGCCACTGTGCCCGGCCAAAAGAACAGTTTTAATCTGATACTTTTCTCCTCCCCAAGCCAGCACAGTGTTGCATACAAAAAATTTCCCCAGACTCACTGTTTCTTCAGGGTGGAGAGAGTTGAAGGTGTACATTCAGCCTTTTCTTTTCCATTTTGCAATTCTTTACATGATGTTCTCTCTAGTCTTACCCTGTGGGAAACACTAGGGGTATTAGACAACTGGGGTCAGTTAGAAACAAAGTACATGCATGGGGCTCACATTGACCATGACAGTAATCTTACTGGTGGCTTTGCTTTCCAGCCAGCAGAGGTGCACCACCAGAAAAACTAGGCAACAGCATCATTCTGCAGCAACCAACCATGGTTGAGGAGTCTGCCAGGCTCAAATCACTGGCCGACTGCCATATCCAACCCTGATTTTCTCTGCAAAACTTCCAAGGCTGTGACAAAGCAGCAGCTTGATGACTATCCACAGAAGGGGCATGTGTCCCCACCCAATCTCAGCTGCCATACTTTTGACCGTCCTAACCCTGTGTGCTCCACCCATCCCCAGGCTGAAAAGCAGAGGCAATTTAGTAGTGAAGGATGAAGTTTCTGGCCCTACGTGGACCCAGTGTGCAAGTAGTTTATATAATAAGCCTTAGTACCCCTGGAAGGAAGATCACTTCTGATATATCTAATGGAAATCTCTGGGCATTAGAATCTCTAGAGCACATGACTTTATTCAGAAACAGAGAATCGCAGTCTCAGCTCCAGCCCCTCCCACTGTGACAGCAGATGTCAAGGGAGCTGATAGTCAGTCCGAGGACCTCTTGCTGCAGGCAGAAAGCTAGCCCATCCATGCAGAGACCTTCCAGTAACCATCACAGCCAAAATTACAGGCTTGCCATTCTCCATTCCACAGCAGAACCTAAGTGGACCCAGTCTCAGCTCCAACCTGTCCAATTTCAATTTCCAAAATGGAATCATTAGTAATAAGTAACCAACCAGCCAAAAAAATAAATAAATAAAACCCAGGAACTGATTGATTCAGGATGAATTCTAACAGATCTACGAAAAGCTGCATCATATTCCATTGTGTGGGTGATCCTAGTTTGTTCAACAGGTTTTGTATGTATGCTTACACACACACAAACACACACACACAAACGCACACACCTATGTTGCATGTTCTCTCAAAAAGCTGCAGTGGAAATGCCAAGCTGGCCTTTGGTATCATCTGAAGACTCAGTGGGGAAGGACCCACTCCTTTGCTTGCATTACATTGTTGCCAGCAGCCTTGTCCACAATGGTAGTTTTTCAGTGGTTTCTTACAGTTCTGGAGAGCCTGCAATTATGTTTATTTATATGGTTTATAATATATTCATTAGCATTTATCTCTAAACTTGAGCCTGGGTACAATGGCTTAAGTCTGTAATTTCAATACTTTGGGAGGCTGAGATTGGAGTATCCTCTGAGGCCAAAAGTCTGAGACTGCAGTGATGTATGATTCAGCCTGATGACAGAGCAAGACCCTGCCTCTAAGTAAATAAATAATACAAATACAACGGATGGTAATATTTTTGTTTTACAGTTTGGAAACACAAATTTCCTTCATCAAATATTTGAATATTTGATAGCCGCTAACACAGCACTTTTGCTTGTGCATGGGAATCAATGCAGGAAAGCAGTGGGATTGGATGCTCTTTCCCCTTAATGCCTGAACATGTAAATACTGTGATGATAAAGGGTGAGTTTGGACCAAGAAGGCTTTCTGCCAGAGCTATCAACACTGTGGAAATAAAACTGTCCACAAGTTGGGAAACAAAACACTCTTTACTGATAATAGTAACTGTAAAGCCTTTTGCAGATTTGATTTCTTTTTTAATCTAGTGTAGATTAGGCAGCATAACACAGACTACCCTGCCCCTAGTAGTATGTGATTTGATGACAAATATTAATTAGAATTTGGTTGTTGAAAACTACAAGAATCATAGTTAACACCCATAGTTACATGAGTAATTTTGATGCCGGCTTATTTTAATCTTCAGTTAGTCAACTAGAGACCTAGATATTATTTCAAACATAGTTCAAAAATTCATGTGTATAATGGGCAAAATGGCATCTTTTTATTTTTATTCATTTCCTGTTGGTTTTATGCCTTTAATTGTCTCCTTTCTCCCTTCTTCCCTTCCTCCCTCCCTCCATCCGTCCTTCCTTCCTTCTTTCCTTCCTACCTTCCTTCCTTCCTACCTTCCTTCCTTCCTTCCTATCTTTTTCTCTATTTGAGTTTTTTTAAGATGGAATTCTGCTCTGTCACCTAGGCTGAAGTGCAGTGGCATGATCTAAGCTCACTACAACCTCCCCATCCTGGTTTCAAGCAATTGTCCAGTCACACCCTCCTGAGCAGCTGCGACTGCAGGTATATGACACTAATCCGAACTATTTTTGTTTGTTTGTTTTTTTAGTAGAGACGAGGTTTCACAATATTTGCTCAGGCTGGTCTCGAACTCCTGTCCTCAAGTGATCCACCCACCTCAGACTCTCAAAATGCTGGGATCCCAGGCGTGAGCCACAATGCCCACTCAGTTTTATGCATTTCTTTCTTCAGTGATCTCTCCTGTTTTATTATTTTATTATTTTTTTTTTATTTTTGAGACAGAGTCTCACTCTGGTGCCCAGGCTGGAGCACAGTGGTGTTATCTCAGTACCGTGCAAACTCCTTCCCCAGGGTTCAATGGATTCTCCTGCATCAGCCTCCTGAGTAGCTGGGATAACATCCATGGGCCACCAAGCCTGGCTAACTTTGATATGATACTAGACATGGGATCTTGCCATCTTGGCCAGGCTTGTCTCAAACTCCTGACATCGAGAGATCTGCCCACCTTGGCCTGCCAAACTGCTGGGAGTGCAGGTGTGAGCCTCCATGCCCTGCCTCATATCTGTTTTAAAGCTCAGCAGATAAGCAATATCGTCTTTGTGGAATGCTTTATGTTTACAAAACAACTGTAGCACTATTATTTAGCCCCTTCAGATAAAGTATGGTAACACACAAAACATACACGCACAGACACAGACATGGTCAGTGATCAAAAAATCAGTGTAGGCCAGGACCTAAAACAAAAGATGAATTGCTGCAATTGACTAGAATTAAACCAGACCAGAATTGACCCATACCCAGCCAAGAGATGTGAATAGAGGCTTTCAAAAAACTCTGTCAGATACGTTATATTATTCTCCAGCCATAGCAAAGGGACATTAAATATCTATTGTGTTTTGAAGAGTCTTGATGGTTTGACTTTTCCAGGGTATTAGCATTCATGACATTGGCCTTTAAAGCTCTCCACAATTACTCAAATCAGTAGACAACTCAGTTTTTCTAGGAGTCTAAAGTACTTTTCAAAATTACCTAAAACTTAATGGCTTAAAACAATAATTATAATTTACTAACTTCAGTCTCTGCAGTCTTTCACAGTCTGTAAGCCAAATGATTGTGGTTCAGGGGTACTCAGGAGGATGCAGTCTAGTGATGGCTCAGGATGGGGACATTGTCAGATGTCTTCTCATCACCATGGTGCCATGGCTAGCATGACTCAGATAGTGGGGGCTGGACTGCTGAGATCCTCAGACATCTTCTATTTCTACGAGTCTCTCCATGGGATGTTCCTTCTGCATAGTGTTATCAGGGTGTTAGACTTCGTGATGTACTGGTCCAGGGCTCCTGAGGGGTTTGTCCCCGTGACAGCAGGACACTTAGGCAGAGCTGTCTCACCTTATCTAACCTAGCTAGGCCAGAGGTGGTCCAGTATCCAGAAAATGCTTACACTGTTTTTTATTCATTAGCAGCAAGTACTGTGTTCAGTACCACCAGGAATATTTTCAAATGGGTTTGCGGAGAATTTGAATGTTTGAGACCACTACAGTGGTCATGCCTAATAATTACGTATTTTTGTAAGTGCTGGATGTGTTTTACCCACCGTAATAGCAGGTACAGACTTTCAAGCTTGAAACCTGTATGTCATAGCTCTGAACATTTGGTTATATGTTGAAATACCTCTAAGCATAAATTGATTTTTAAATGAGAGATATAAATAAATACAATAAATGAGAAAAACTCATAAATACCTGGATGAGATGCTTATAAAGAGGTCAGCCTTAAAAATGTCATGAGGTCTAATGTGCCACTCTTCTACCATTTCTGTGGATATTACTTGGACAGGAGGACAAGGACTCAGGGGTCTGCTTGTCAGTCTCTGCACCTTGAAACAGTGGCTGGGGCACCAGGAGTAACACTTCCAGCCAACACTAAGTGGTGAGGACAAGGAGTCCATCTGGCTTAAGGAGGGTGTGAACATAATGTGACCTGGAGGAGAAGTACACCTGGTAGGGCGACCAGGATCAAGGTCTCTGGCACACATTGAAATCCCCCATGCCCAGGTGTGGTGGAGTGAATCCCTCAGCTGGTGCTGGGCTTCCAGGTGTGTTCAGGAAGCAGCTCCCTGGGCTGGGAAGGATCCCCTCATTCCCTTGCCATGCGGGAGGGTGAGGCTTGTGGCTTCTGCTCTGTCTGTTCCAGCTCTTTCCCTTTCCATTATCCCACTGCTGGGTACGGTGGCAGGACCCTGGAATGTAGAAGGACCCTGGGTTGTTGATAGTGCCTGTGTGTGGCCATGTACTAGGAGGAGAGTCATCAATGAGCTTCCCGTGAGCTTGGAGGCTGGAAAGAACACCCGTGGGGCACTGGCTGGTCCAGTGTCCAGGGACCATTCCTGGAGAATGCCAGGGGGGAGTCGTAAGCCTGTGGATCTGCAATCTAGGTGGAAGAGCTGTATCTGCCATGGCTGACATCATCAGGGCAAGACACCCACTGGGTGGAGAGCTGGGCTTATGCATTTTAACCCTGTGCTGAAGAGATCATGCATGCCTGCCTCTCCTGGGACTAGTGATACTGGAGACCCCCTCTGTGTCCACTCATGACCATAAGCTTAGGATGCTGTGTGCCTTGCTTCCTGTCCACCCACATGAGGCACCCTGGAGAGGATGCACAGGGCAAAGCTTTTGTGTCCACACATGCAGTACTGGAACTGGGTGTCACTGGCCTATTAGGCCGCTGCTCACCAGGCATTCTCCTGAGCTCCCACCTGGCTAAGTGATAAGTGTCCCATCTACCTGACCCCGCGGCCTGGGTTTCTCCTCCACCTACCGACCCGTGCCCTCTTGGGGAGAATGCCAACTTCCCTGGAGACTCAGGCCTTGCTGGGCCCACATGCTGTCCTCCTGTCTCATGGGCTGGAAACTCTCTGGTGCACAGGGATTCCCAGACAGTGCATCCCAAAGCCCCTCCGGTTCCATTGCTTCTTCCCTGAATGTACCGACTGAACACACAGGAAGACAAAGACAGCTGCTAGGTTTCATTTCCCTCCAGATGTCATTTGAGGTCCATGACATCTTCTCTAGGTAGCTCGCGCCAACCACCCTTTTCCTCCTACCTCTGCCATGTGTGAGAGCAATGAGGACTCTTCACGTCTCCCTAGGGCTCAGGCTTCATGGGTCCTGAAGTTGGATTGCCAAACCCGGCTGACCCCTGCTTGGCAGCTCAAGAGCTGAGTTTGAGTCATACCTGTGGGTGGGAATGTGGGTCCCCTCCCCAAACCAAGGTACACAAAGGTACACAGGCACAGGTGTGCACACACATGCACCAGCTCAAACACGCAGGCTGGAACGTGCCCACACTCACTCTGGTAGGAGGGAAACTGGGTGTCTACACCAATACTCAGGTAGGCCTTAATGCTCAGCCACATTCTCTCGCTAGACACACACAGAAGGTCCCCTGCCATCTGCAGTGGGATTTATTTTTACTTTTATACTTTTTTAACTTACCAAAGTATGTTGCATTATTTCCCCCATGATGAAAAAGACTTTGATACAAGTAAGGAGGAAGGGGACTTTTTATAATAATCACAATGGATCTTTTATAACACCAGTGTTATTGTTTTCTCTGATACAAACCCCATAATATCTCATGGCTTTACTGTATCCATACATTACATGCCTCCAGAGAGTAGGATTCAAACAGATGGAAAAATAATATTTGTGACAAAATCCTCAGAAAGGGAATGGTAAAATGGGAGAATAATTTCTAAATTTCTAGCTGTTCATCAATGGATTTGGATATATTTAGATGTAGACAAATATTTGCATACTGCAATTTTGCACATGTGTATAGAAATTTAATTGAGATACCATATGTATGGGTTGTGTAATCTTTTAATTAATCCTCAATTTTACATGTGGGAAGTTTGATAAGAGTTTACCCTTATCAAATAATCAATTTGAAGTGCTATAGTCAATTTGATGTAAAGCCAATAAAATCTCTGTCAACATTCATTTCAATTAATCCAATATTGTTAACTGCTGATAGCTTCATTCTCCTTGTCCCCTGCTGGCAGCCTGAAAGCTGATTCTTACTCTAATTCAGCACTCAGGGTACCGTCTGCAAGAGCCTATCACGTTGCTGTGGATTACGACCTCTGACTCCACCACTTTCATCCTGTAACAGTCCTACCTTTGCATATTTAATGAACTTTGTACATGGTAAAAAAAAATAAAACTGCAGTGAAATGTCAAGCCATGCTGTGAAATGTTCCATTGTTTCTATATCTCTAATTGACCTTTCCTGTTATAGAGGACAAGAAAAATAATGCAATATATTTCTTAGTATCCAGTCCAATGCACTCTTTCTAATTAATATGCCAAAACCGTCCCTTCAAGGCACTGACATCTTATATAGCTAGATGTATCAAAATCTCTTCTCATTAGTAACCACTATGTTAATCACTGTTGCCCAGATCTGGACTCTGACTGTGAAATCCTAAGGTAGAAATTGCTATCATGGCTCAAACTATGGGAATGATTATTTTTTGCATAATTACTGCTGTTATCTTACTGAAAAATATCACATTAGATGGCAGCTAATCCTGTTGACTAATTTTTAATGTTCAGCATTTATGATATTGCACAAGTAAAGATCTTTGATAACTTAAGTGGTTAGCTGAGAAATGACTAAAATAACTCACAGCAATTCAAACACTTACTTACTAGAAGTGCCATACATCATTAACTCCTGATGAAAACAAAGTTGGGAAATTGCAAGTGCTGAACTGGTTACTAAAGTATGTATTTCAGGGTATTTTATAAAACTACCCATGCCATGAGCTGGGCGCGGTGGCTCACGCCTGTAATTCCAGCACTTTGGGAGTTCAAGACGGGTGGATCACGAGGTCAGGAGATCGAGACCATCCTGGCTAACACGATGAAACCCCATCTCTACTAAACAAAATACAAAAAATTAGCCGGGTGTGGTGGCGGGCGCCTGTAGTCCCAGCTACTTGGGAGGCTGAGGCAGGAGAATGCCCTGAACCTGGGAGGCGGAGCTTGCAGTGAGCCAAGATCACGCCACTGCACTCCAGCCTGGGTGGCAGAGCGAGACTCCATCTCAAAAAAAAAAATGAAAAACTATCCATGCCATGAATGATGCCTCACCTGTGAGGATAAAGCTTTAGCATATATAAAAAATAAATGTCTTTGGTTCTTAATATCTCTCTACATTTGTCTTCATAACCTCAACACAAAACACCCATGTACTCGACTGTCAGCCGACTTGACTACCAGTTATGAGGGTTTAAGTAACAGAATAAAGATTTGAAAATTTGGTGACCAAATATGAGAAATCACACTCTAAGAAATATTCTCAAGTGCCACTGTAAATGCAAAATTGAAAGAAGAAATTAAACCTGACATATTGCAATATTCTAAAGTCTAAATTTTTTTCATTGAGGTCTGGTGGTTTATGCCTGGAATTGCAGCTCTTTAGGAGGCTATGAAGGGAGGATTGTTTGAAGCCCAGAGTTCAAGACCAGCACATGCAACATAGAAAGACTTATCTCCACAAATGTAACTAATTAATTAATTTAATAATTTGGGCATGATGGCACACATCTGTTGTTCTGTTTACTCAGGAGTTCAAGGTTGTAGTGAGCTGTGATCACACACTGCGCTTCAGCCTGGGCCATGGGGCAAGACTTTGTCTCTACAAAATAATTCAATATAACAATAAAAAAAAATTAAAAACTCTTTCAGGTGTCTTTTGGAAGTTTGTATAACTGCTCCAAAAGCACAGACATTTTTTAAAGTTGAGCAGTTCATGGGGAATGGGCAATTAACATTGTTTATATTGTTTTCCAGAAATTAGGATAAATATGTTAGATTATTATATATAAATATCTAATAACCTTTTGAACAATAAATATTGACAAATGTCAAGCCATTGTGTTTATAGACTTTTCCTGTAAAATATTCATAGTTTAATTGGAGGATGAAGGGAAGAGCAATAATTGCAATGTACTCTGACAAGTGTTACAATATATACAATTTAGTAAGTTAATTGGAGAGGAAGGAAGTTCTTAACTGGGTTTACAGGGGTTTGGGGAACCTTCTTAGGGCAGGAACAATTGATCACATCTGTACAGTTATGAATTTTCCTGAAGAATATTTGGGAGAAAAACACTGTAGAAAAAAAGAAACATTCTTTCTATCAATGATAGAAGTACTAACAGTGCATATGATGCCATTTGCCCAATTCTTAGACCATACTAGCTCAGTAAATATTTCTTTTATGAATCCATGAGTGGAAGATATTGGGAAAAGGATTCTGTAAGGGATTTTCAAAATCCTATAAATGAAATGTAAATACCCTTGACTTTACAATTTTGCCTGCTTTTCTTTATCTTCTTGTCATGATAACTATCTCATAAGCTCTGTTTTACTTTTCGGTCTTTTCACAAATACATGCATGAATTGTTCCTGAGACAATTTCTCTTGATACCTTGATACTATATTTGTCTCTGATACACCTTTGTGTGAGGTACTGGGTTTGTATGCCCACAGACACATCAATCACCTCTCCCTGGCACTGTTATCTAATAGAGTGGCCTGGGCCCTGGGAGGCATGTTTCCTAGGCTCTCATAAAAAATTACTTCCTGATTCAGCTTAGTCAAGGGGTGACACTACAGAGATTAGAGAACAAGAAGATGAGAGAAGCCAGTTTGTTTCCCTGTCCTTCTCAGCAAGGGATATGTTTCCGCAGTGATTCCACGGCCTGAAGGATATGCTTTCTGTGTTTCCATTTTCCATGTAGTGACCCTAATCCTAGACCGACTCTCCTAATGACATTTTCTCCAACTGTCTTCTCTAAAGGATTTGGGTACCATTTTTGGAGTTTTAAATTTAAAAAAATATTGATATGGAAGGGGAGCAGGTAAATGCCTGGTAGAGGAGGGTGTGGTTCTTGGCTAGGGTTCCACCCTGAGGCCTGTGCTCACTGACCTAGGTGAGGACATGCACTTCTGGTTTTTTTGCCCAAGTGTTGCATTTTCCAAGACCACCCTGGCCTGCCATACCCCCATCCTGTGCTATAAGAAACCCCGAGCCCCTAGCAGGTAGAGACACAGCAGCTGGACGTTGAGAGGAACTATCAGCAGAAGAAGACACAGCAACTGTACCTTGAGAAGACACCAGAGGAAGAAGAGTACAAGGATGGAGGTGGCAGGCCATCCACTGCAGAACATGGAGTTCCTTGGGGCTGTGGGAGGAGATCGCTGACCGTGCCCCACTCCAAGGGAAAACCACCTCCCTGCTCCATCTCCCTTCTGGCTCCCCATTCATCTGCTGACAACTTCCACTCAATGAAACCTTGCATTTATTCTCCAAGCCCATGTGTGAGCCAATTTTTCAGGTACACCAAGGCAGGAAACCCTGAGATCCAGAAAGCCCACTGTCTTTGCAGTAAGGCAGGGTGCCTAATTGAGCTAACACAAGCCGCCTACAGATTGATAAACTAAATTATCACCTTGTAACACATGCCCACTGGGGAGTCAGAAGCTGAAAACATTCACCCTTAGATGTTGCGTGGGATCTGAGCCCCACAACCTGTCCTCATTGCTCTCTTGGCAGCAGGGGATAAGGGACGTTTTCCCGTTTCAATATGAGTCTGTTTCCAATGCAGTGTGTTTTCTGCAATACTGCAATGTTACCGCAAAGCATATATTTGACAAAATAAGTTACAAACTATAACTAATGTGAGAAGAAAATAAATGGTGGAGAATAAGGAAGAAAAATGAAGCACTGTGTCAGTAAGGAATTTTTTTTACTTCATATAACAGAAAGAGTAAATATGAATTAAACAAACAGGGATTTCTAGTTTTCACATGTGAACCAGCCATAGTTAGACAATTGCTGCCTTTGATCAGTTGCTCTGCTGCATGGTAGTAGCAGAGGTGCTTGGTAGTAGCAGTATATTTTTTTGCCATTTTCTCCAAGGTGAAACGTAGCTCAAAGCCAACACCATGTTGGGTTCACTTGTTGCTAACCAGCTTTGCCTACACTCTGGTTTTTCGGAGTCTTATCAACTTCTAGTTTATGCAGCTACGTTAACGGTGTGTTTTTGCTAGTCATGTGAAACTGCTGCTTGAGATTTTCTGTTCTCCTGCAATCAACTAGTATGTTTCCCATCTCAAATTATTTGCCTTGCTCATTTTTCTCCTCAGGACACTATAGGATATTCTTTAGCTGATTTTTTTTAAAGATCATTGGTAAACCAGTTTCATATCCCTTAAATATTTCTGAGAATTCCTGAGAAACTTATTCATGTCTCAGCTAAAAACCTGGCACTGGACCACTGCCCACTCAGCTGCCTGTTATTGACTTCTTTTGTTAGATAAGATCCTCCAGGCAGCAACTGCATGGGTTCCCCCCACCTGACTTCCAATAAAGACCAACATACAATGTTTAATACATTTTAAGTCTTAGATATAGCATAAAAGGTTTATAGGATACCAAACAACAAATCGAATACATATATTAAGAAACAAAACTTTAGCCATTATCAGTCTTTGACAACAAAGTTAACCATTTTAACTCTGCAGTATAAATATATTTACAAATAAAGTGTCTACATAGGGAAATGTTGCTTGCATTGTACATACTTTCTCCAGTGATGTCTTAGACACTCATTTAAAATAGGCCATTGATTGAATTACAACTATAACCTATAATGAAAATTGTAGAATAGAAAGTTTTTTTTTTAAACAGATCACGTGTACACATTATTTGGTCTTCCAGTTGTACTGTTTCTTTTGTATGCATGTGTGTATGTCTATGTAATTTTAGGTAGTTATAGAGAATAGATTTAGTACAAATAATTAGAAATTAACCAGATTTTCTTTGTAATAAAAAAGAAAATGATGAACTTCAATTGAATTTTTAGTTGAACAGTAAAACTGGATAAGAATTTATTCTGCTCAGGGAAAAGATGTATTATACTTTGCAGACTGAAAGAGTTCTTTCCTGAGTAACTCATTGTTTGCCTTTACTGCAGAAATAGATTGGTTTTGGTAGGCCCCAGTAGCCAGCTACCTGAAGAGAAGGAAATCCTACTACAGAGAATTCTAAATTGAATATTAAATATTCTTTCATTTGGGTGAAGCATTTACATGTGATATTCTTTTACATGCAGCATAATTATAGAAATTTAATTTTAATACAATTTCCAAAAAACTAAAGTAATTATAAATATTAATAAGAGAATTGTATATTCCTCTTTAATAAGTTTTAGCCTATTCAAATCTAACAAGTCCACTCTGAAATAACTGAAAGTAAGATATGAAATGAATAAGAAAAGAAAATACAGCAGAATGTACAAGATGTTTTTTATGTGTTGGCTGTACATGTATCTGTTACCTTTTAGTGGCAGAGTGCAGTCTATACAGTTTTATTCATAATAGATGCCTATGCATCATATATTCACAGATAAATATTATTTCTCTGAAGATTGAAATAGAAAGCTAGGAAAACACAACATGACATACAAGCTGAATTACATTTAAGTAAGTGTGAATTATATAGTTAAATGATCTCTTCAAGGGATTTCTCATCACTCTCTCACTGGGTAGTCTAAGGATTAATTAAAGTTCCTAGGCTCTTTCAAGCTAAGAAACACTATGTAATTGCTATGCATTATCATGGTAAGATGGGAGTGAGGCATACGTGATTTGCAAACTCACAGGCTCTTTGAAATGTGTGTCCAGCCTGATTGAGAGTTTTTTTCTAACAGTGTTTTATGGATTGGGAAGTGCTTATCATATTTGAAGATGAAATATGCTCTACTGAAACCATGCAAATCTGCAAAATCAATCTTTGTTCTATATATTAGTAAAGTGATGTTTCTCAAAATAGAAGAAAAGTTGGGATATGATTTCCTAAGTCAATATATAATAAGGTAGAATTTCGACATCACTTACAACTTGGCTATCATCGTTTAATTGACTCAGCTGTTGCTCTCTTAATTAGTGCAACTGAAGTCTAGTTAATTTGCATAAAGGTAGCTATCCCATCTTTTATACTTTTAAAGACAGTCAGGAGACTATTCACTGTTCCCATAAAGCTTATATAGATTTTACCATCATGTTTCAACCATGTATGACTGCAATCATGTCAATTCTAAAATGTAATTTATCATTTCCTTTAATAATATTTTAATTTTATTTTTTATTTCCATTTTTATTATAGATTCAGAGAGTACATGTGCAGGCTTGTTACAAAGGTCTATTGCATGATGCTGACGTTTAGACTTCTATTGATTCCATCACCCAGATAGTGAACCTAGTACCCAATAGGAAGGTTTACAGCCCCTGACCCTCTGCTTCTGTCCCTCCATTGAAGACTCCAGTGTCTATTGTTCTCATCTTTATTTCTATGTGCACCCAAGTTTTAGCTCCTATTTATGAGAATATTCAATATTTGATTTTCTGTTTCTACATTAATATGTTCAGGTTAATGACCTCCAGCTGCATCCACATTGTTGCAAAGGACATGATTTTGTTCCTTTTTTGGCTGTACTCTATTCCAGGTTCATATGTACCAAAATTTCTTTTTTTTTTTTTTTAGTTATTTTATTTTATTTTATTTTATTTTATTTTATTTTATTTTATTTTATTTTATTTTATTTTATTTTTTGTCTTTATTTTATTATACTTTAAGTTTTAGGGTACATGTGCACATTGTGCAGGTTAGTTACATATGTCTACATGTGCCATGCTGATGCGCTGCACCCACTAACTCGTCATCTAGCATTAGGTATGTCTCCCGATGCTATCCCTTCCCCCTCCCACCACCCCACAACAGTCCCCAGAGTGTGATATTCCCCTTCCTGTGTCCATGTGATCTCATTGTTCAATTCCCACCTATGAGTGAGAATATGCGGTGTTTGGTTTTTTGTTCTTGCGATAGTTTACTGAGAATGATGACTTCCAATTTCATCCATGTCCCTACAAAGGACATGAACTCATCATTTTTATGGCTGCATAGTATTCCATGGTGTATATGTGCCACATTTTCCTAATCCAGTCTATCATTGTTGGACATTTGGGTTGGTTCCAAGTCTTTGCTATTGTGAATAATGCCACAATAAACATACGTGTGCATGTGTCTTTCTAGCAGCATGACTTATAGTCCTTTGGGTATATACCCAGTAATGGGATGGCTGGGTCAAATGGTATTTCTAGTTCTAGATCCCTGAGGAATTGCCACACTGAATTCCACAATGGTTGAACTAGTTTACAGTCCCACCAACAGTGTAAAAGTGTTCCTATTTCTCCACATCCTCTCCAGCACCTGTTGTTTCCTGACTTTTTAATGATTGCCATTCTAACTGGTGTGACATGGTGTCTCATTGTGGTTTTGATTTGCATTTCTCTGATGGCCAATGATGATGAGCATTTTTTCATGTGTTTTTTGGCTGCATAAATGTCTTCTTTTGAGAAGTGTCTGTTCATGTCCTTCGCCCACTTTTTGATGAGGTTGTTTGTTTTTTTCTTGTAAATTTGTTTCAGTTCATTGTAGATTCTGGATATTAGCCCTTTGTCAGATGAGTAGGTTGCAAAAATTTTCTCCCATTTTGTAGGTTGCCTGTTCACTCTGATGGTAGTTTCTTTTGCTGTGCAGAAGCTCTTGAGTTTAATTAGATCCCATTTGTCAATTTTGGCTTTTGTTGTCATTGCTTTTGGTGTTTTAGACATGAAGTCCTTGCCCATGCCTATGTCCTGAATGGTAATGCCTAGGTTTTCTTCTAGGGTTTTTATGGTTTTAGGTCTAACGTTTAAGTCTTTAATCCATCTTGAATTGATTTTTGTATAAGGTGTAAGGAAGGGATCCAGTTTCAGCTTTCAACATATGGCTAGCCAGTTTTCCCAGCACCATTTATTAAATAGGGAATCCTTTCCCCATTGCTTGTTTTTCTCAGGTTTGTCAAAGATCAGATAGTTGTAGGTATGCGGCGTTATTTCTGAGGGCTCTGTTCTGTTCCATTGATCTATATCTCTGTTTTGGTACCAGTACCATGCTGTTTTGGTTACTGTAGCCTTGTAGTATAGTTTGAAGTCAGGTAGAGTGATGGCTCCAGCTTTGTTCTTTTGGCTTAGGATTGACTTGGCGATGTGGGCTCTTTTTTGGTTCCATATGAACTTTAAAGTAGTTTTTTCCAATTCTGTGAAGAAAGTCATTTGTAGCTTGATGGGGATGGCATTGAATCTGTAAATTACCTTGGGCAGTATGGCCATTTTCACGATATTGATTCTTCCTACCCATGAGCATGGAATGTTCTTCCATTTGTTTGTATCCTCTTTTATTTCCTTGAGCAGTGGTTTGTAGTTCTACTTGAAGAGGTCCTTCACATCCCTTGTAAGTTGGATTCCTAGGTATTTTATTCTCTTTGAAGCAATTGTGAATGGGAGTTCACTCATGATTTGGCTCTCTGTTTGTCTGTTATTGGTGTATAAGAATGCTTGTGATTTTTGTACATTGATTTTGTATCCTGAGACTTTGTTGAAGTTGCTTATCAGCTTAAGGAGATTTTGGGCTGAGACAATGTGGTTTTCTAGATATACAATCATGTCGTCTGCAAACCGGGACAATTTGACTTCCTCTTTTCCTAACTGAATACTCTTTATTTCCTCCTCCTGCCTAATTGCCCTGGCCAGAACTTCCAACACTATGTTGAATAGGAGTGGTGAGAGAGGGCATCCCTGTCTTGTGCCAGTTTTCAAAGGGAATGCTTCCAGTTTTTCCCCATTCAGTATGACATTGGCTGTGGGTTTGTCATAGATAGCTCTTATTATTTTGAGATATGTCCCATCAATACCTAATTTATTGAGAGTTTTTAGCATGAAGGGTTGTTGAATTTTGTCAAAGGCTTTTTCTGCATCTATTGAGATAATCATGTGGTTTTTGTCTTTGGCTCTGTTTATATGCTGGATTACATTTATTGATTTGCATATATTGAACCAGCCTTGCATCCCAGGGATGAAGCCCACTTGATCATGGTGGATAAGCTTTTTGATGTGCTGCTGGATTCGTTTTGCCAGTATTTTATTGAGGATTTTTGCATCAATGTTCATCAAGGATATTGGTCTAAAATTCTCTTTTTTTGTTGTGTCTCTGCCTGGCTTTGGTATTAGAATGATGCTGGCCTCATAAAATGAGTTAGGGAGGATTCCCTCTTTTTCTATTGATTGGAATAGTTTCAGAAGGAATGGTACCAGTTCCTCCTTGTACCTCTGGTAGAATTTGGCTGTGAATCCATCTGGTCCTGGACTCTTTTTGGTTGGTAAGCTATTGATTATTGCCACAATTTCAGCTCCTGTTATTGGTCTATTCAGAGATTCAACTTCTTCCTGGTTTAGTCTTGGGAGAGTGTATGTGTCCAGGAATTTATCGATTTCTTCTAGATTTTCTAGTTTATTTGCGTACAGGTGTTTGTAGTATTCTCTGATGGTAGTTTGTATTTCTGTGGGATCAGTGGTGATACCCCCTTTATCATTTTTTATTGTGTCTATTTGATTCTTCTCTCTTTTTTTCTTTATTAGTCTTGCTAGCAGTCTATCAATTTTGTTGATCCTTTCAAAAAACCAGCTCCTGGATTCATTAATTTTTTGAAGGGTTTTTTGTGTCTCTATTTCCTTCAGTTCTGCTCTGATTTTAGTTATTTCTTGCCTTCTGCTAGCTTTTGAATGTGTTTGCTCTTGCTTTTCTAGTTCTTTTAATTGTGATGTTAGGGTGTCAATTTTGGATCTTTCCTGCTTTCTCTTGTGGGCATTTAGTGCCATAAATTTCCCTCTACACACTGCTTTGAATGCGTCCCAGAGATTCTGGTATGTTGTGTCTTTGTTCTCGTTGGTTTCAAGGAACATCTTTATTTCTGCCTTCATTTCGTTATGTACCCAGTAGTCATTCAGGAGCAGGTTGTTCAGTTTCCATGTAGTTGAGTGGTTTTTGAGTGAGATTCTTAATCCTGAGTTCTAGTTTGATTGCACTGTGGTCTGAGAGATAGTTTGTTATAACTTCTGTTCTTTTACATTTGCTGAGGAGAGCTTTACTTCCCAGTATGTGGTCAATTTTGGAATAGGTGTGGTGTGGTGCTGAAAAAAATGTATATTCTGTTGATTTCGGGTGGAGAGTTCTGTAGATGTCTATTAGTTCCGCTTGGTGCAGAGCTGAGTTCAATTCCTGGGTATCCTTGTTGACTTTCTGTCTCGTTGATCTGTCTAATGTTGACAGTGGGGTGTTAAAGTCTGCCATTATTAATGTGTGGGAGTCTAAGTCTCTTTGTAGGTCACTCAGGACTTGCTTTATGAATCTTGGTGCTCCTGTATTGGGTGCGTATATATTTAGGATAGTTAGCTCTTCTTGTTGAATTGATCCCTTTACCATTATGTAATGGCCTTCTTTGTCTCTTTCGATCTTTGTTGGTTTAAAGTCTGTTTTATCAGAGACTAGGATTGCAACCCCTTCCTTTTTTTGTTTTCCATTGGCTTGGTAGATCTTCCTCCATCCTTTTATTTTGAGCCTATGTGTGTCTCTGCACGTGAGATGGGTTTCCTGAATACAGCACACTGATGGGTCTTGACTCTTTATCCAATTTGCCAGTCTGTGTCTTTTAATTGGAGCATTTAGTCCATTTACATTTAAAGTTAATATTGTTATGTGTGAATTTCATCCTGTCATTATGATGTTAGCTGGTTATTTTGCTCGTTAGTTGATGCAGTTTCTTCCTAGTCTTGATGGTCTTTACATTTTGGCATGATTTTGCAGCAGCTGGTACCAGTTGTTCCTTTCCATGTTTAGTGCTTCCTTCAGGAGCTCTTGTAAGGCAGGCCTGGTGGTGACAAAATGTCTCAGCATTTGCATCTCTGTCAAGTATTTTATTGCTCCTTCACTTATGAAGCTTAGTTTGGCTGGATATGAAATTCTGGGTTGAAAATTCTTTTCTTTAAGAATGTTGAATATTGGCCCCCACTCTCTTCTGGCTTGTAGAGTTTCTGCCGAGAGATCCACTGTTAGTCTGATGGGCTTCCCTTTGAGGGTAACCGGACCTTTCTCTCTGGCTGCCCTTAACATTTTTTCCTTCATTTCAACTTTGGTGAATCTGACAATTATGTGTCTTGGAGTTGCTCTTCTCGAGGAGTATCTTTGTGGTGTCCTCTGTATTTCCTGAATCTGAACGTTGGCCTGCCTTGCTAGATTGGGGAAGTTCTCCTGGATAATATCCTGCAGAGTGTTTTCCAACTTGGTTCCATTCTCCCCATCACTTTCAGGTACACCAATCAGACGTAGATTTGGTCTTTTCACATAGTACCATATTTCGTGAAGGCTTTGCTCATTTCTTTTTATTGTTTTTTCTCTAAACTTCCCTTCTCGCTTCATTTCATTCATTTCATCTTCCATCACTGATATCCTTTCTTCCAGTTGATCGCATTGGCTCCTGAGGCTTCTGCATTCTTCACATAGTTCTCGAACCTTGGTTTTCAGCTCCATCAGCTCCTTTAAGCACTTCTCTGTATTGGTTATTCTAGTTATACATTCTTCTAAATTTTTTTCAAAGTTTTCAACTTCTTTGCCTTTGGTTTGAATGTCCTCCCGTAGCTCAGAGTAATTTGATCGTCTGAAGCCTTCTTCTCTCAGCTCGTCAAAGTCATTCTCCATCCAGCTTTGTTCTGTTGCTGGTGAGGAACTGCGTTCCTTTGGAGGAGGAGAGGCGCTCTGCGTTTTAGAGTTTCCAGTTTTTCTGTTCTGTTTTTTCCCCATCTTTGTGGTTTTATCTACTTTTGGTCTTTGATGATGGTGATGTACAGATGGGTTTTTGGTGTGGATGTCCTTTCTGTTTGTTAGTTTTCCTTCTAACAGAGAGGACCCTCAGCTGCAGGTCTGTTGGAGTACCCTGCCATGTGAGGTGTCAGTGTGCCCCTGCTGGGGGGTGCCTCCCAGTTAGGCTGCTCAGGGGTCAGGGGTCAGGGACCCACTTGAGGAGGCAGTCTGCCTGTTCTCAGATCTCCAGCTGCGTGCTGGGAGAACCACTGCTCTCTTCAAAGCTGTCAGAGAGGGACATTTAAGTCTGCAGAGGTTAGTGCTGTCTTTTTGTTTGTCTGTGCCCTGCCCCCAGAGGTGGAGCCTACAGAGGCAGGCAGGCCTCCTCGAGCTGTGGTGGGCTCCACCCAGTTCGAGCTTCCCGGCTGCTTTGTTTACCTAAGCAAGCCTGGGCAATGGCGGGCGCCCCTCCCCCAGCCTCGCTGCCGCCATGCAGTTTGATCTCAGACTGCTGTGCTAGCAATCAGCGAGACTCCGTGGGCACAGGACCCTCCGAGCCAGGTGCGGGATATAATCTTGTGGTGCGCCGTTTTTTAAACCCGTCGGAAAAGCACAGTATTTGGGTGGGAGTGACCCGATTTTCCAGGTGCCGTCCATCACCTCTTTCTTTGACTCAGAAAGGGAACTCCCTGACCCCTTGCGCTTCCCAAGTGAGGCAATGCCTCGCCCTGCTTCGGCTCGCACATGGTGCGCGCACCCACTGACCTGCGCCCACTGTCTGGCACTCCCTAGTGAGATGAACCCAGTACCTCAGATGGAAATGCAGAAATCACCCGTCTTCTGCATCGCTCACGCTGGGAGCTGTAGACCGGAACTGTTCCTATTCGGCCATCTTGGCTCCTCCCCCTTGTACCACAATTTCTTTATCCCATCCTCCATGGATGTGCTCCTAGGTTGATTCCATGTCTTTGCTATGGTGATGAATATGATAATTCTTGTGTCTTTTTGGTAGCTTTCGTGATTTATTTTCGTTTGAGCATATACACAGTAAGAGCATTGCTGGGTGGAATGGTAGTTCAATTGTTAGTTCTTTTAGAAATCCCCAAACTGCTTTCCACAGTGGCTGAACATTCTCTCCACCAGTGTATAAGTATTTTTTTTTCCTCTGCAGCCTTGCCTACCTTGGTTATTTTTTTATTTTGGTGTTTTAATAATAACAGTCATTCTGACTGATATGAGATGATATCTTGTTTTGATTTTGATTTGCATTTCTCTGATGATCAGTGATGTTGAGCACTTTTGTTATGTTTCTTGGACACTTTTATGTCTTAAGACGATATTTTAAATAAACATACAATTATTTCCTCTACACATAGGTCAAATTCTGCCTATGTCATTCTTTCTTCTTCTGCTACGTGATTTTACATGGATAACAAGTCAACAAATGTGATGTGCTGGTAATACATTTTATTTCATACTTATAAATGTAAAATATATATTTTTTAAAGATACCACATTCTCCAATTTTTAATTTTTTAAGTCCTTGAAAGTGGCAATGGGCACAGGGAAATTTTAAAGCAATTACTTCATAAGGTGATTCCAATTTGTATGGAATATTGTTCATTATAAAATTATTTTGTTTTCCAGTAAAATTAAAATATATATATAAATACAAAATAACATAATAAATACCATTTTTACCCCACTTAAAAATAACCGCTATTAATGCATTCCTTGTTCTATTTACATTACCACTAGTTGCAATTGGAATACACCCCATCAGGTTCATTTGCTTTACTCCATTACCAGGGGCACCATAATCATGAACGTGGTATTACCTTTGCATTTTTTTATAAATTTATTAAAATCTTTATTTCTAAACAATACTGGTGTTTTTTTGCATTTCTAATGTTTATGTGAATATTATAAGCTGTGGTATCATTTCACATTTTCTTGTTAATATTCTTGTTGAGAGCTGCCATTATTGATGGCATAGTTCTCAGTCTACTGAATTCCATCATGTTCCATGTTGTGTTTATTGGAATGCTACAGTGAAAAACCTCCCCTATGCCTCTGGGTACACATGTGTGAGAGTTTATAATGAAAATACTAGAAGAATGGCTGGACTGCATTGTGCATACAGTTTTAACTGTGAGGGGATAAAATATTCTCATTAGTCCCAGGGCTACCGCTTAATTACTCTTGTTCATCCATGCTAATCGGCTTAGCATATGTCTTAGATTTTTCATTTTTAATGAAGTATTATTATAAGTTACATTGATTAGAACCAGCATGTGTTTGTTAAATGTTCATTTTGTTTAACAATTACAGCTATTCTCAGGGCTCTATCAGTATGTGAGGAAAATAAAATATTAACAGAATGATGACTTGAGTAGGGGGACAAGTCTGAAAATCAACTTTATTTTCCTAACACAGTTTATACAAAATATAGATAATGCTTCATTTTCAAGGACAGCATGCAGCAGAGTGTTTGATAATAAATCAGTATGCATTGAGTCAGTATTGGTTAGGAATGGCTAGCTTCTTCCAGTCTTGCCTGGTGATGGAAGAAGTATTTGACATATATTTTTTTCTATGTGGCTCACTCAAATGACACTGCCAGACCATCATATGGTGGGTTTGGGGAAAATGAAGGAAATAATAGGCTACATATATGTAAATTATGTGTTGGAAATAGAAGCTTAGCATACAAAGCATAGTTAATTTGTCTGGCCACAGTGGTTTTGTCATCTTTCACATACCTACAACTATTTATTTATGGGTTGCTTGCTAATGACTATTTTTAAAAAAATCTGTTTCAGCAGCAATGACCTAAAAATGCAAGTAGATATTTAATCAAAAACTCCTCAACTTCCCTTTCAATCAAATTATGGGTTTAAAAGTGCCAATAAATACATGGTGTCATCATAGAGCCTTGTAGTCCATGTTGGCACCATAAGGCTAAAAGTGATATCCTGAAATCCAGAATACAGAAGGCTGAGGGGAAAAATCAGCTGCTATTTCAGAAGGTAATACTTAGTTACATTAAGAAAACTATGCCTGAAGATGACATTAATATGTGAATTTGGAAAAATTAAGCATATAATTCTGAGATGCCTGGCTTTTTATTTACATCAAATTACTATTTTTTAAAATCAATTGTGTACATTTTAAATTCTAATTTTTCTGCACTTAAGAAATATGCATCAGCAATTGTTAGTATGTAAGCTCCATAAGCTACAGAAGAAATTCCAAGAGTTGAACAATGCCATTTAGATGTTTCAAACAGAAAGTTGGATTAAAAAGCGGTTTGAATTTTTAATCAATCATTGGGACCAAAATAAAGCTGTGGAAATATTATTGTGCCAGAAAAAAAATTGAACAGTATGATAAATTTTTTTTAAAGTTCACTTGAAAAGCTAAACATTGTTGATAACTTTTATTGATGACAAGAAGCAGCAACTTTGCAAAAGATGACAAGTAACTTTATTTAAAAATCAACATAATACTAAAACAAATGCATTTTCCAGAAAAGAACTACAGATAATTATTTTAAGAAAAAGATTAATTCATATAAATATGTTCTAGTATAATTATTCTGCCTACTGTTTTTAATATTTAAATAATAAATGTAAATAAGTTATTTTTCTATTTTGCTTCAAGATATGTATTTGTGGTTTTCAATTTTTGAAGGGATTTCATTTTCAAAAACAGTTGGAAGATAACTATTTCATAGATCCATCAATACAATAAAAAAATTGACTGTAAGGAAAAATGTAATAAATAGTAAATAATTTTGTATATGTTACTACTCTTTATTCTAAAAAAAGTTTCCACTGGAACAACAAAAGTTTTAGTCACTCTAATTTTACTAAATATCATTAGATAGTCCTGTGATTGATGGAACCAAATTACCATTCCTTACACCTTTGACTACACTCGGTATTATTAATTTAATAGTTGCCAAGCTAATGAACAAAAGTTGGAACATAATGTGGTTTTGATTTATATCCCTGGATTACTAATGAGCTCAAGCATCTAGCCATTTTTCACTGGTCATTTGACATTTCTCTTTTCTAAAATGTATCCATTTACCTGTCCTGCTTTCTTTTACTCGGCTAGATTGTCTTTATATTTTCTTGTCTATTTGTAAGTGTTATTTTGATTTTTTTGGATACTGGTGTTTTTATGTATATTTTTCTTAGTGAATTTCTGGAATTTTATAAACCCCCAAGATAATTTTTATAATTTATGATCTGAATATTTTCAAAAAGCTATTTCAGAAGTCATTTGTGGCCATAATGCTAACCTCTAATGAAAAAATAATTTTGCCAGTTTAGCAAAACATACTTTACAGATGCTTATTAGAAAGCACTAAAGTGCTCCATTCTATTTTTTTCATAAAACTTGAATTTAAATAGTCATTTCAATAAAATCCTTTACCCTTACAGCAAGAACCAATTATTAAATGTTGATTACCTACCTCCTCCCTGGTTTTCTAAATATTTCACAATTGTCATTTTGGTAACAATCACTTAGCATACTCGTGAGAATTGTTGGTTCTCCAGGTCTTATTTCAAATTATTGAACCAGGATTTTGATGGAAAATAATGAGAAGTATCTGGATATATTTTTATGACCCATGTAATTATTTGGGGATGTTTGTGAAACTCTGGTCTGACACATAACATAAAGTAAGACAATAACAACAGCAACAAAAAGAAAAGAATCAAACAAAGAACTCCAAATAAGGAGTCTGGAATAAATACCTTATCTTTTCCTCACTCCCACCTTCTCAAGTCATATGCCCCGTCTTCTTTCTCTTTCTTGGTAAATGCTACTCCAACTATCTAGCACTTCACAGGAGTAATTAACCTGTTAGCAATTTAGCAAAAAGTAAGAAACCTATTTCTGAACATTTTCTTTAGAAACATGGTTCTAGCTTACACTGTGTGTCAGTTAATGCTATCGATAACTCTAAAATAGCAGTATTTAACAAAAATATTTGACCACTGTGGCAAAATTGCCTTCTGTAAATGATCCACTGCTACTAAGATTACATTGACATGTGGGAGACTGTACTGAGATATGAATTACACATATTCATGGAATATTGGAAAGTGTCTTCAGATGTCATGTCTATAATGATAGGAGTTAATATTTGTATTAACTTCCAAATTTTTCCGTATTAAAGCAGGTGTGCAGGTATTGGATAAACAGTTATGCCACTGAAGCATAACTGTGGTTAAATTTGTAAAAGTTTTGGTGAAATTGCCCATGACAACATCTCCACAGAAAATTTATATATTTGGCTCACCGTGGAGATGTTCAAGAAAAGGACATTTTTTGTTCTTAATGATTCACCAGCTGGTTCTTAAAGGGAGATAGCACAATATTGTGGAAAGAGGTAGTTCTGTAATCTGACATTAGACTTTAAGATAAGCTAACTATTTTGAGACCCAAATTTCAGATGTATGAAGTGGGGTCTAAAATATCTAGTACCTGTGTATGTACTTACAAAGATCATATAATAACAATTGATTCTATTTGTCTTGTATTATTCTATAAAACAAAGACATCATTTAACTTTGTTACTTAGCATAGCTTCATGTGGGCATTTTTAAGGAACATATATCTCATGATAAAGAAAATAGTAATACTGGCAGAGAATGGTACTTACTCCAACATTGACTTTGCAGAACTCCAGTTGTTCTGTAAAGAAACCGACGTGAACTGAAAAAAAAATGGATGATTGAAGGTTGTTTAACGGCCAGTCTTTATTTACTAAGACCCTATATATAATTCCTGGAGAGGACACACAACCTGTGAGGTGTTGGATGTGACGGATGAAGAGTCATTGAGGAAAGGCTGCCTCAAAGATCATCCTCTACATTTCTAGCTTGAAATACAGGGTATTTGGTGCTGTGAATTTCTGAAATAGTGGAATACTGTAGGAGGAAACATGTTTTGACCATAAAATGAAGGTCTGGTTTTGGTATGTGGAGATGTAAGGCATGAAGTTGGATATGCCAAGTCTGAAGGTAGAACAAAGATCTGGCCTGAAGTTGGGAATTTCTTAATGGTCAGCATAGAAAGGGTGTTTTAGCCTTGGGAAAACCCAAGAGGATCCATGACTGAGATCTGAACAACTTCAACACCTGTAGATTTAGGAAAGATGCCAACAAAATACACACCAAGTTCATATTAAAATTAATAGGAAAAGACAAACTACTTAGTGAGAGGTATTCAGGCAACCAGAGTTTAGCTAGCTATTAGCTAGGAAATTTGGGAAAAAATGAAATGTCTAGAGAACCTTGATCAGGTTTCCAAATATACAAAATAAAAACCACTCACATGTTGGAAGTCAAGATACACAATTATATTATTGTAATGGTACTATTTAATGGTAATAGGCAAAATTGAAAATTATTCTGAATTAAATCAATAGTATGCTTTCTATCACTGCCTTCCTTTTCTTCTCAATGTATTTGTGTGTTGCTTTAACTCACTAAGCAATGACTCCTCTTAATCTCATTACTTTTTATTTAACACTCCATTTATTTTTCATATGGGCAATATTACACTGCCCAATAGAGAAGAAATGCAGACTTTGGGCTGTTACATCAGAAACACCTTTGCTTTTCAGATTTGGGCTTCTGGAGTATGCTTAATTTAAGTATTCTCATCAGGCCTTGATTTTTCAGATTTCTGTAATCACTTCTCCAAAATAAACAATGTCTGACCATCATGACTACAATAAAATTAAAATTATGCTGGCTTTTAAGAAAATTATATTTATGTAAACTTGATGCTTTTAAGTTTGAGGCCTATGTTAACCATGGCTTTCATCAGAGTTCTCTATTCACTTTCCCCAGAATCTCAATCATTTTTCCCTTCAGACAAGGTATTACAATGAAGAATATTGCAGAGCTTGACACTCTTATCTGAAGAAATAGGGACTGTAGGAAATCTTTCAAAAGTTTTAAGATCATTCAATGAAGTCTCAAGCTGAAATTTTGTTGTCAGACCTAGGAAGTATCAGTATCTTTAGCTTACCTTCTTCTTTCCAGGTGTCTCCTTTCCTTTCGCTGGCACCCAGTGTCTTTAGTCCAGAGAATTATGGTTTGAAAATCCAATTCTCCTTTTCACATTAATTTACTGATGACATCATATGGTATACGTTCATGAGGATGGATTCTATTGAAGAGTATGCCAATGCACATGCCAGTGCTAAAATCAAAGGAAAAAAATCACTCGCGGAAGGATCTGAAAGCCGTTTGGCAACATTTAAGAAGACTTATTTTTAGGCTAGGGTTCTTTGATTCATTCTACATTTTAGTAGTATTTTTAAGTTGTAAATGCATAGAGGATATGAAAGGAAAAAAACTTAAGACAATAACACAGAGTACGTGAGCCCAGATGTATAATTCTCCATTCTGAAGTTGTCCCTAATAGAAGTTTGTTCAATTTCTTGGAAATATATTAAAACATATAATTTTTTAAGTTAAAATCAGTGTATATTCTATGTGCTATTCTGTACCTACCTTATTTATCCTAATACTATTTTATCAACAAAGAGCAACTTTGTTCTCTTTAATAACACTAATGGCTATCGCATACCATCTTCTGGAGGCAAAATATCGTACTAAAGAAATTTCTTATTTCATAATGAACAATTATGTCATCTCAAGGCTTTTGCTGTAACAAAAAATAACACAGTAAGATTTTACACAGATATCTTTCTATACATATGCTAGTATATTTGAATATTTTATTTTTATTTTTGTTTGATGTATATATCCAAAAGATTCGTGAGAACTGCTTTCTTGTGTTTTTTTTTTTCATTTTTCCAATAAGCAGTGACTGAACGAATCATTTGTAATTGACTTCAACCTAATTGCATGAGGTCAAAGAACTTGTGTTTATGATGCTGCTTATTTGACATTTGTTAAGACTTGCTTACATCCCATCTTGTTACCAAATGTAAAATGATAATAGTGAAGTTTCATTTGTGTTTGAGAATATAGTTTTTATCTAATTATAGTACTTAGAAGTTGACATGTATCTATTAGAACGTTTAATTTTTTAAAACTTGTTAATGTTTCTTGTAAATGTGACCTATCGCCAATAAATTTTTATTGAAATCACCCATTTTGGGGGTTGTATTATTCTGGATTCTCTGCAGTAGCAGAAATAAATATGATGCACATATCTATGTGTGTGTGCACACAGATGCTCACAAATATGTATGTGTGTGTACACACACACACGCACATACATATATACACACAAAAAATATGTGGAGAAGGAAATCGATTATAAAAGTTGGTTCCTGCAATTATGAATGTGGACAAGTTCTAAAAAATACAGTTGGCATTTTGGAGACCGAGGAGGATTGATAGTATAGTTGTAGTCTGAGTCCAAAGTCCAGAGACCCAGGATGGTCAGTGGTGTGTTTCCAGTTTGAAGGCTTACAACCTTTAGGTCTGGGAAGAGCCAAGGTTTTAATTTGAATCTAAAGGCAGAAAAATTCAAAGCCCTAGCTCAAATACAGTCAAGCTGGGAGAATTCCCCTTTATTTCATCCTTTTTGTTCTACCCAAGTCTTTTATCTTTCTTTACTCATTAACTAAAACGTTAATCTCATCCAGAAACACCCTCACAGACACAATAGAATAATGCTTGACAACACATCTGGGTGCACTGTGGCCCAGTCAAACTGACACATAAAATTACAATGTGGGTGGATTTATTTATATATATATATCTGTGTGTGTGTGTGTGTCCCTGAAATTTTATCCTTCTTGAGTATATATGTGTCCTTATTTTGTTAGGTGCACATGCATTTTAGGTAACTAACTTCCTGTTGAAGAAAGACTTCCATGAGAAAGTGGCCTTCTCTATCCTTAAAAATATGTATTTTCTTATATTAAAGTTCGCTTTTTATAAAGTTAATATAAAGATATCATCTTTCTATTGGTTAGTATTTACCTAGTTTATTTCTTTCTATCCTTTTATTTTCAATCCCCATTTGCTTGATGCATTAGGCTTCTCTCTTGTTAAGTATTATTTAGCTGATATTTAATGAGAGAGTTTAGATCATTTACATTTATTATGATTGTAAGAAATAAAGAGAGAGGAAGGAAACACAAAAAGGGTGGCTCAACAGTAAGGACAGATTTATTTTAGAGAAAACAAACCTGAGACGGTGCCTTCTGGGTGAGTTAGGTCAGAGGCACACTTTCTTAGGGACTAAGAGTTTTTGAAGATTCAGGGTGGGAGAGTTTATCAGAGGCTTGGAGTGCTTCTGTGTCTCTTTGCTGTGCTTGTCTGGGAGGGAGAGTTTGTGTCTTCCCATACATCTTTCTGCAGCTGCAGGCTTATCCCCCCAGTCTGCTTTTAGCTTCCCTATCTTAGTGCACCTGAAGGGAAAGGAATGTGCCCAATAAGGCCCAGTGTTTTACTGGGGCCCACTGGATGAGGGGAATTTTGGCAGTTACTCAGGGGACTTTCCCTTCACCTACCTCTGTGCTGAGGTGTCTTATTTGTGTTTTACTATCTGCTCTTTTTAGCTGCTTGTAGTCAGAAGAGAAGTGATTTCCTTGAAATGCATGAGACCAAAAAAGGAGATGGAATTTAAAGTGGTGGTGTTTGTCCAAGATGCCAATGCTCTTGCTGTATCAATAATTATTGTTATGTTGGGACTTATTTCTAACAGCTGGCTTTCTACATATATACGGTCCTTTTGTCACCTAATAGCGGCAAGCAGATTTTCCTTGATTTTAAATTTTAAATGTTTGATTTTTTAAACAAAACTTTTGAACAAAATTTTAAAACAAAATTTTAAATGTTTGATTCTAAAATGTATGATACTTTTTAGAAAATCCCGAACTATGAAAAAACATATTGTAAATATCCATCCACATGTACTGCAGATGTTGAAGAAATGAGCCATGTAAGAAAGGGCATCATATGAATAGACAATAGACATACCTGGCTTCAAATCTAGCTCTATGTGAATTTGTGCAAGCCATTTAAACTTTCTTTACCTTAGTCTTGTGATCTAGGAAATGAGCATTATAGTAATACTACCTCTTAGGCTTTACCATTAAAATTAAATCAAGTAATATTTGTAAAGCATGTATAACAGTGACTGCTCCATACTAAGATATGAGTTTATTAAATATAATGCAGGAATTAAATGTTAACATTTTTCCATATCATTTAATCTAAGGAGATAAAAAATAAATAAATATTATGAGAGTATTGAAGGCTGTACAACACCTCCATCCTTTCTTCCTTCTTTCTCTCCATAAGTAATCATTATCCTGAATTTTGTGTATAATTCTCCCACATATATGTTTTATACAGTAAATATTTATCCATAAATATATATATTTTTACATATATTAACATATGTATAAATGTATACAAATGTATTCAAATGTATAAATGTATACAAATATATGTGTGTGTGTGTATATATATACTTTTGCTTTGGAGGCATTTAAAGAGTATATAAGTATTCACACCAAATATATCCCTTTCCAATGTAGTTTTCAAACTTGTTATTATAGTTTTGAAATTGCATATGTTTATACTGACAGTTCTACTTCATTCATTTCAACCACTGTATTACATTCCACTATGTGAAAGAAAAGCGATTTTTTACACATACTCTCCATTGACAGTTAATATTTTTCCATGATTTCTTCTTAACTCCAAAACATTTTGTCCTGTTTTCTTTTTAATAAACATATGAAAGTGTTTTTGTAGTGTATATCAAGAAATAAAAGTTCCTGGTAATTTGGTGTGCCTGTCTCCAAATTTATCAAGCCTGGCTACAGAACTCTCTGAAGTTACCATGTCAATTCATAGCAACAGTGTATTAAATACTAAGGTTCCTGCTTCCCCATACCCTTGTCAACACTTGATGTTTGACTTTTCAATTTTAGTCCATATCATGGATTTAAAAAATGGCCCTTTATTGTGGTCTTAATTTTTTCATGCATTTGTTAAACGTTCAGCGTTTTTTCCCTCTGTGAGGTGCCTGCTCATATGCTTCACTCTTGTTCTACATTTTGCCCTTTATCTGACAGATTTCCATTTTATGCTAATGCTTTGTGCTACAGCTCTAATCAGTTAGTCATAAGATTAGCTTATTTTTTCAGGATGTCTTATGTGAAAAAAGATTTTTATTTCAGTATGTGTGCTTTTAAAAATTTTTATTTTTACTACTACTACTGTTACCTTATTTATTTTTTTGAGATGGAGGCTTGCTCTGTCACCAGGCTGGAATGCAGTTGCACGATCTCTGCTTACTACAACCTCCAGCTCCCATCTTCACGCGATTCTCCTGCCTCAGCCTCCTGAGTAGCTTAGAGGAAAGGCACACAACATCACGTCTGGCTAACTTTTGTGTTTTTGGTAGAGATGGGTTTCACCAGGTTGGCCAGGATGGTCTCCATCTCTTGACCTCGTAATCCGCCCACCTGGGCCTCCCAAAGTCCTGGGATTACAGGTGTGAGGCACCACAATGGCTAAAATTTTTATTTTTTATCAAATCCTTTTAAATGTTATTAACAGTATTTTTCTGATAGTATAAATTATTCTCTAATATTTTCTTCTAGCAATTTGGCAGCTTTGGTGTTTACAAGTATTTTTAAAATCCTCATCTATTTACTATTTTGTAAACTATGACATAACAATTTATTTTTATATGTCATTAACAAATATGTTTACCCCATTTGCCTTCAATTTTTTTCTTAGGGTATTATTGCATTAGGATATTAAGATATTACTGCATTACTTCAGCATTGCTTAGACTGTAACTTCTGTCATAATACTGTACTTAGTTCCGGGTTAATTCTATTTGCAATAGGTTTTTCCATACTATAATATTCAGAAATAGCTGTATAAAAGTGTGCACTATTAAACGGAGTCCTCGGTCGGACGCAGTGGCTCATGCCTGTAAACCCACCACTTGGGGAGGCTGAGTGGGGCAGATCACAAGGTCAGGAGTTCAGGAACGGCCTGGCCAATATGGTGAAACCACATCTCTACTAAAAATACAAAAACTAGCCTGGTGTGGTGGCAGCCATCACCCAGCTACTCTGGAAGCTAAGGCAGGAAAGTCACATGAAACTGGAAGGTGGAGGTTCCAGTGAGCCGAGATAGCCTTACTACACTGCAGCCTGGGCAACAAGAGCAAAACTCCTTCTCAAAAAAAAAAAAAAAATTAAATAAATAAATAAAAGAGTCCTCTTTTCCATCTTCCTCTTCCATTCCATTGTTCTCCCGCACTTACTACAAATTTGCCTAGATGAGTCCCACCCCTTTTCAATTACATATTTAGAATCAGGTTGTCAATGAGCACGAACCATCTTGCTGTAATTTTTATTATTATTGCCTTAATTTATACATTAATATGGAAAAAGATGTCTTACCATGTGAAGATTTTTTTAACAATTGCCTGGCACACATTTTTATGTGTATTTTGGCTTTCACTTATTATGCCCTTCAATAAAATTTAATACTTTTCCTTGAAAATTTTCAGGTTTTTTTACTACATTCATTTTATATGGCTCATAATTTTGTTTGTTCTCATAAACTCTATCAATTAAATTGTAATTAAATTCTAATCATATTGTTTAGAATTTTAGGTGCACCTTACCTATATGCTTAATTACACATTGTTAGTGTTATTGTTTACATTGCTAATGCTACCTTAAGGATATGTTCTTAATTAATTTCTTTACTCACCTTACTTCTTGAATTTTCCCTTTTGTATGAAATTTCCTCTTTCCCGGAACTTTACCTTAAGAAATTATTTCATCAAACAAACTGTCTATACTACATCCTTTCAAGTTTTGTATATATAAAGTATCTTTATTTCACATTCACACTTTAACGATAGTTTTTTTAAAAAAATATTATTTTAGATCATGGCTTGAAATAACCCTACTTCATTTTTAATTGTTGCTTTTTAGAAACTTCTTGCTATACCATTCATGTATAGGAAATTCATCATTATTTCTAGTACGCTTTAAGATAATTTCATTGTGTTTGGTATCTGTTTAGTGTGTTTTTTGTTTCTTTGTTTTGGGGGAGAACAATAAAGATCTACTCTATGAACAAGTTTTTTAAGTTACAGTATAGTATTGGTAACCATAGTTACCATAGGGGAATATTTGCATGAGCTATCAGTGAAGTTCCAGCTGTCAAGACTTGCAGCAGATAATGAGTTTCCGTCTCCAGATGTCTCAGATCTGTAATGGTACAGCTTACTTCTCCCAGCATTTATAAACTTTTTTTTCAGGAAAATAGTAGTCACTGCAAATGTGGAACTTTTGCACTGTGCCTGAGGTCTGCAAATGTGTATTATCTCACACTCAATTTGAATGTTCTATATCAGACCTATTATCTAATTTTCACTACCACTGTCATAGCCTGTGACTGAGGATCAGTGCAGGGACAAACAGTGGCTCTCCCCCAACTCTTGGCCCAATGTATCACATATAAAGTAAGTGAAAACAGTGTGCTTACTTTGCAAATACTGCTTTAAGACATTTCTCTAAGCATCTTATGTATATCCAAGTTTAGCCCTCATGGATTTCCCAGTGACATCGTCCAGACTTATTCTCCACTTCTGTTAAAAATTTTATTTATTTCATTTTGGTTAGTTTTTATATTGCCTGTGTTTTTTTCTTTATTTTTAAAGAGAAGAACAAGACACAAGTTTGAAACATTTTTAAGCAACCTAAATAGAAGCAACTCTCTATATCGCTTAGAATGCGTGTGTGTGTGTGTGTGTGTGTGTGTGTAGAAATACTTAAGTTGTGTATTCCTTTTTATTATTTTTCCAGTATGTCAATAGGTGGAATTTGTGTTCTTTTCCATTAACTAACAAAAATAATTTGTGGGTATGGTTGTGTAACTTTAAAACTCAAAACAAGTTTATTTCATTATAAAACATTCAATTTTGTGATATCAGACATAGATTTTTAAATATCTTTAAATAAATTTAAAGTCATCTAACTTCTTTTAAATTCAATTAAGTACCATTTTTTGTTTGTTTTTTGATGGTCTCAAATCTTGCTCCATGTCATTTTCTCAGAGAAAATTAGTAACACAACATCAGCTTTGCCTTACCTCTGATTGATCTTAAAGTCTTAACTCATTTTATTGGTAGACTATACCATCTTTATTTCAACTAAGTTCTTGAAGACTTCAAAAGTGAATCGTTAAATAAATTAATTATCACCTATTTCTGTGGTGGAACTACTCCTACTTAGGCTGCTGGAGATGATAGCATTTCACGGCCTTAAGTTTCAAACCAAAGACAAACTAAATCAAATTGAATTATCCACTGCCTTTCCTTAGCCACCTGATATTATGGTCCAATCAGTAATATTTTAAAGACTGTAGGTTAGGTCAAAGAAAGCACAAGGCATGGTTCAATTGGACTCCTAATTTAAAACGAGCAAAGAAGGAGTGAAGGAAGGAAGGAAAGAAGGGAGGAAGGAAGGAAGGGAGGAAATAAGGGGTCACAAAAAGCTAAACATAACTTAAAGCTTGTCATCATCATGAACTCTGTTACTGCATTATTTCATTAAATAAGAAAGCCAAAATTTGTGCCATGCAGGAAGTGTAAATGGAAATGGATCTCTATTATTCATGTATTATTTGTAGGTTCTGGCTTCAACTGAACCAGGCAAACCCAACTTGCACCATATGGCATGAGCCGATCATCTTCCTGCAGCTTTTTAAAACATGGTTCATTTTTTCTGTTTATTGCTTTATTTCTTCAGTGACTTCCAGATAGTCTTATTGACCATCAGTCCCTTATTCACTCTCATCCTCTCAGTTTATTATATCTATGTTTATTTTTATTTTTTTGGAACTTTGTATTTTAGGAAAGACTACAGTGGCATGTGTCTCCTTTTGTTTTTCTCTGGCAATAAGGTTGATGTAGGGCCATCAATCTTCTGTCTTTAGGATTGTACATAACCTATGATTTACATGGTTTGTCATCAAAAATTTGCGTACATTTTCATTCAACATCTCTTTCCACTTCACTAATTCACCTTCTTGCCTTCTGAATGCTTTTCCAGTTGGAGCTTGCCAGCCACCTCCTCTTTCTACGAATAACTTTCTTTTTCAACAATGTAGATGAGACTGCTTTTCTA
The DNA here is from genome assembly GCF_000001405.40 of Homo sapiens. Lineage (NCBI taxonomy): Eukaryota > Metazoa > Chordata > Mammalia > Primates > Hominidae > Homo > Homo sapiens. The sequence continues at coordinate 22,359,926 of NC_000024.10, forward strand.
ACTGCAGTGATGGAGCTAATCAGAACTTCCTAAATCTTTACAAAATTACAACTGAATACATTGATTGCCATCAGTGAGGTACCACCAAAACTATTTTTGTCAAAATAAATCTTGGTATGGGGATGGTCAGAGATGTGGAGATGGACTTTTCCAAAAGAGTACCATCACTTTGTTTCAGTTTTTAGAATACATTTTTGGGGTTGGTAGAAAGGAATAACTGGAACTTCAATGAGTTGAAATAAAAGAAACCATTGTCACTACAATCTGTTACTATAAGAACTTCAGAAGAACCGGTACACTGAGTTTAAACTATAGTTAACGGTTCACAAAACTCCTCCTTTTGATAATACAGCATATTTCCCAAGAGGAACACTCTTTATTCAGATGGGTCCCATATTTACATGTGACTTTCGAGACTGGTGATTTTACACCAGAACCTACAGTAACCAGAGTAAAATTATTGCTTCCCTAGCTTTGTGTCTCTCTGTATGTCAACAGGGGGAAAAAAGGCTTAAAAAATCAATGCCAATGACTCTAGAGGGAATCCCTCTAATGCGTCAGCTGTTATTAACACACCCTGAGGGGAACACTTTAATGGCTCATGACCATAGCACTGCTTTCCTGGCCAATCTGCCCTCTGGATCTTCTGTAAGACCAGTATAGCCTCTGTTAACTTGAACTGAGCAGCAAGGCACCTTTTTCTGGCTCCACAGTGCCAACTTAAAACAAAACAAAACAAAATAAAGCAAAAACAGACAATGCATATCTTGACTATCCTCGAATAAGGCCTCAGTTAAAACAGAAAAAAATTGAGACCAATTGATACGTCCTTTCTTAATTCAGCAGAACTGTCTTCTATTTCTTTATAAGAAGTGATCCGTTGGCAATGAGAAACCTAGAAAAGTTGTGAAAATTAATTTGCTTCTCCAAGAATGTGCAATAAATCATCTTTTATAATTTTACTCAAATGCAGGAGAATGATGGTCTGTATACCATCCACTATTCTTTTCATTGCAATGAGGTTAAAAGAGAGCATGAACAAAAATGGTTAATACTATAGTTACATTTTAACTAAAAAGCTAAGATTTACAATGCATTTTATTTTACCCAGAAGTGGGTAGCCATTATTCCAACTATATTCATTTGGATGTGTTTGAGGATTATATCCATAATTTCTGAAACACAGTATACAGTCATATCTTAGCCTTTCTGTCTTGTGTGTAGATAATCCACATTTTGAAGAGTTGTGTCACTGATTCATGGGTACAAATGTGAAATAAGTGAAACTAGTATGTATCTTGAGTAACCCTTATGACAGTAGAGAACATTGCTGGATGCAATGTCATGGATGCAGTATCTCCAACAAAGCTTTATGAATCTCTTCATCACTAATAAACTAAGGCAGAATTCCAAATTACTATAACGCATAGTAGGATTTCTGCTTTGGGATTCCTGGAACCTAGCTTTTTGTTCTTCCTACAAATTACAGATTCCATTATTTGGTGGCAAATCATCTATTTAGCAGCAATATGTGCTGAATGGTTGTGTCAAGTAACACTAATAAGCTTTCTAGGCTAGAAAGTATTAAAAAATTGTCAAATGAGTCATTTTTAACAATGGCAACAGAAACTAGCAAATGCATATGTTGAAGGCAATAACATGCAGAACCTCTTTGTTGTTTCAGAGGAAAAGATGGCAACCCAATATCAGCATGATTGCATGCTCACCTTCAGTAGGACAGTGTTTATATTTATAGGTACAGTGTGATTCTAAATTTGCTGGGTTGATATTAAGGTAGGTGCATGATTAATTCCTGATGAATGAAACTAAATATTTTATATATAAAAATGATACTACTAGTCAGGTATTTAGGAATTACAAAATTTGTTCTCTACTGTCAGATATTCATTACCACCAATGAAAACTGTAAAAGAGCACAGCTTTTAAAGAAAATGTAAGTCTTTCTCTGGAAATATTTGTGTGATTGAAACTCAATGAGTCCTTCTCACCTAGAGGCTTCTAATGAAGAGATCATTGAAACACACATTAAAATAGACTCCTGAGATAACATCATTTATGTCAACATTAAGAATAATTTTGGGAGATGTTTGTAGTTATTTCTGTTGGTAGTTCTTTTTTTTTTTTTTTTTTTTTTGAGATGGAGTCTCACGCTCTGCCGCCGAAGCTGAAGAGCAGTGACGTGACCTTGGGCTCACTGTAAGCTCTGCCTCCCAGGTTCACACCATTCTCCTGCCTCAGCCTCCCAGCTTGCCGGGACTACAGGCACCTGCCACCACGCTCGCCCAGCTAATTTTTTGTATTTAGTAGAGACGGAGTTTCACCATGTTAGCCAGGATGGTCTCGATCTCCTGACCTCATGATCCACCCGCCTCAGCCTCCCAGAGTGCTGGGATTACAGGCATGAGCCACTGTGCCAGACCATAGTTATTTCCATATCCACTGAACAATTTTAACTTAAGGTAACTTCATATTTCTTTGTAACATTAAACAGCCTTTGGATTCAATTTTAAATCTTGAATACAGTGGATTTAACTACTTAGAGTAAGGACAGATAAATTTAAGAGAATAAATTTGGTTGAAATATCTAATTTATGACAGAAGATATGCTGTCTACACTGATTAGTTCTCAGTTACCTTGTGAAAGATCATAAAGCACACCATAGGCAAATCCAGGATTCTGTCCTTGTGCCCTGATTGTTCTTGCTAGGCCTTTCTCCAAATCCTGACTGCCTCACTGCCATTCAAGTTTCAGTGGGGCACTGTAGGTGGTTTAAACAATGAAAGCCTACCTGCAACCACAACAAAATGTTAACATATAAACTTATTCAGTGTCTTTGTACCACATTATGATACTAATCTCATTAAGCATAGTTCGGTTTCTGCAATCCTCTTGAATGAGGACTTTGTTAATAATTTTCTATAGTAACTTACTTGATATTGGAAATATATTCCTCTCAGAAATTTAGTTGTGTGTATCTATGATGTGTTGATTACTTCCTGGCTCTTTCGCTACCAGCAACTATACATAAGATCGAAAGAAAATTAGTAAAACGCAAGGTGCAATGGCTCACATCTGTAATCCAAGCACTGTGTGAGACTGAGTTGGGTGGATCACTTGAGGTCAGGAGTTCAAGACCAGCCTGGGTAATATGGCTAAAACCCATCTCTACTTCAAATACAAAAATTAGCCGGGCATGGTGGTGAATGCCTTTGGTCCAATTATTCAGGAGGCTGAGACAGAATAATCACTTGAACCCAAAGTTGGAGATTGCAGTGAGCCAGGATTGTGCCACTGCACTCCTGCCTGGGTGACCCAGTTAAGACTCTGTCTCAAAAATGTGTTATATATAGATATATATATCTATATATAAGATAAAATAAAAGCTCCAGGATATCCTGTTCCCTGTGTATCATACATCATCGTTTAAAGAACAGAACACCTATTTATAAAATTGAGACTATACCAGCAATAATGTTAATTATACATTTTAATTTTTAGTTTGTTATTAAAAGGAGTCTTAAAAAGGTGCAGAACAGATAAAGTTCCAGTGTGTATCTTATTAAAATAGGAAGAAATTTTTGGATCAAAAGATGAACTAATGTCAAAATTTGTCATATGGAATCTCAGATATATGATAATGTGTATTAATACTTTGGAACATTTGGCAATTTTGTGACAAAAAGAAAAAAAAGTTAACATATCTGCTTACCTTGTATTTAACAAACCATAATCCCTACTAACCATGTAAATTAAATTTAATATTTCATGTTAACTTGAATTATAATAAATTTGCCACGCAGAATATTTCAGTGTGTGTGTGTGTTTGAGAGAGGGCATTTCTTATTGTAAAATGGATTATGTTATAAAATTATTTCACTTTAGTAATTTTCAAAAAGGTATACATTTTCCCATAATAATAATGCCAAAAGAACTAGAAAGATATGTAACAATCTTTATAATTGCAGGATCCAAGATTAATAAATTCTGACAGGCAAGACATAATTCACTTTGATTCTAAAATAAGTAGGAGAATGGTTAGAAGAGTGGAGGAATACAGCCAGTGGAAGTGAGAAAAAGATGTGACAACTGAACACCTCTAAAATCAGGAGCAAGTGAGAAAGCTTTCTGGGTATGGATTTCTAGTATAAAGCTAACATGTACAAGTCACCTGCAATCTAATTGTTCACAGAATAAAAATCACCTAACAGCTTATTATTTAAAATTAATAGTCCTATTGCTTAGCATATATTCATACTTTCCATGGCAAATTTCTGCTTTCCTGTTGCTTGTTTCCTGTTAGGGGCCAATGGAATGCTCAGACATGCGAAACAAGGAAGGTCTTGAAATGTGTTTGGCAATTGAACTTATCCTTTGGCCTTCCTGCTCTTCTTTACAAGTAGAAAATAACTTAGCTGCAGGTTTAAAGAGAACACATCAGACTCTACTGAGACAAAACCAAGTCCAACTAAGCTTAGAAGAGTAAAAAAATCCCTCTTTATCTGCAATTACAAAGGCAAAAAATACATGCTTACTAGAAAATGCCACCAAGTTTCGTTAAGGGTAATTATGCAGCATTATTGATACACTAACTTTTATACTCTTTACCTAAAAAAAAAATAGTTTTGCCAAGCAAGCATTTGGTACAAAAGTGTTAGACTAAAGCCTATACAGGAAAATTAAAAGTAGGCAATATTAACAAGAACAGTGATGACCTCAGTAGCAATAACAATTAAAACAGAAAATTAAAAGTAACATTAACAAGAACAGGGATGATAACCTCAATAGCAATAACAATTAAAACAGAAGTGTCTTGCTTACATTATCTCATTTTATATAAAAAAGACTCAATTCACATTGTGAATTGGAATGCTTAAAACTTCAGCTTTTTTTATTTTAAACTACCATATTTCCATTTAAATGGAGTCCTGCGTTTTTCATTCAAATTAGTGTAGACATCCATTGATTGTGTTGAGCAGCTCTTACCTATATACGTGGAAATAAATCTTGTCCTAACTTTCAGTTTCTTGAATGAAACAGCCGTAATAACAAAAACAAGATGTCTTCGGCCAGGTGCAGTGACTCATGCCTGTAATCCCAGCACTTTGGGAGGCTGAGGCAGGCAGATCACGATGTCAGGAGATCGAGACCATCCTGGCTAACACGGTGAAACCCCATCTCTACTAAAAATACAAACAATTAGCCAGGTGTGGTGGCAGGCTCCTGTAGTCCCAGCTACACGGGAGGCTGAGGCAGGAGAATGGCGCGAATCCAGGAGGCAGAGCTTACAGTTAGCCAAGACTGCACCACTCCACTCTAGCCTGGGAGACACAGCAAGACTCTGTCTCAAACACAAAACAAATTAAAAAAAAGATGTCCTCATCACTGATGCTATGTATGGCTTTTTGAAAAATCAGTGTTAGTTTATTTTTTGATTGGGCTGTTCTTAGCTCTTCAAACAGGCAATATCTGTTTTAGAGAACATCGATCTTTGTGTCATCCTTTTGCTAGCATATAACATAAAGAGTGGGGGCGGCAGGGAGAGAGAGAGGCAAATAGAGAAACAAGAGAGGGAAACAGAGAAACTGAAAGAGAAGGAAAGAGAGAGAAACAGATTCTTCAAAGCAAGAAATTATTTCTGCATCTTAAAGTAAAATTTACAAGTGAGTTTGAACTAGGGAATGAAAACTTTGGTCCTGTATGTTTAATTAGTTTCTAATTTCTCTGTAATCTCATCGTGAGTCTCCAACAGGAAATAATATTGACCATACATCTGGTACAATTAGGTGCTCACATCTTAGATCATTCTCAAGGGGCTCACTAAATTATTTACTAAGCCTAATGTATTACTAACGGAAGTTAAACTCCACCTCTAGTGTAATTCTAAAATTCAATGAGTAAATAGTGCCCTGTGAACATCACGGTCTTATTACAGATAAGTGAATAAAGTGCCTAGCACAATGTCTGTTAAGTGTGTCCGGAATTGGTGGGTTCTTGGTCTCACTGACTTCGAGAATGAAGTCGCAGACCCTCGTGGTGAGTGTCATAGTTGTTAAAGGCAGCGTGTCCGGAGTTTGTTCCTTCTGATGTTCAGATGTGTTTGGAGTTTCTTCTTTCTGGTGGGTTTGTGGTCTAGCTGGCTTCAGAAGTAAAGCTGCAAACCTTCACACTGAATGTTACAGCTCTTAAGGCAGTGCATCTGGAGTTGTTCGTTCCTCCTGGTGGTTTCGTGTTCTCCATGCCCTTAGGAGAGAAGCTGCAGACCTTTGAAGTGAGTGTTACAACTCATAAAGGCAGTGTCGACCCAAAGAGTTGGCTGCAGCAAGATTCATTGCAAAGACAAAAAAAACACACTTTCCCCCCTCTGGAAAGGGCACTGCTGGTGCCCACAGCCTGCTTTTATTCCATTATCTGGCCCCACCCACATCCTGCTGATTGGTCCATTTTGCAGAGAGCTGATTGGTCCATTTTACAGAGAGCTGATTGGTCCATTTTGACAGGGTGCTGATTGGTGCGTTTACAATCCCTGAGCTAGACACAAAAGTTCTCCAAGTCCCCACTAGGTTAGCTAGACACAGAGCACTGACTGGTTCATATACAAACCTTGAGCTAGACACAGGGTGCTGATTGTTGTATTTGCAAACCTTCAGCTAGACACAGAGTGCTGATTGGTGTATTTACAATCCCTTAGCTAGACATAAAAGTTCTCCAAGTCCCCACTAGATTAGCTAGACACAAGAGCACTGATTGGTGCATTTACAAACCTTGAGCTAGACACAGGGTGCTGACTGGTGTGTTTACAAACCTTGAGCTAGACAGAGTGCTGACTGGTGTATTTACAATCCCTTAGGTAGACATAAATGTTCTCCAAGTCCCCACCAGATTAGCTAAATACAGAGTCCTGACTGGTGAATTTACAAACCTTGAAGTAAACACAGAGTGCTGATTGGGATATCTACAATCCCTTAGCTAGACATAAAGGTTCTTCAAGTCCTCACCATATTACCTAGATATAGAGTGCTGATTGGTGCATTTACAAACCTTGAGCTAGACACAGGGTGCTGATTGGTGCATAGACAATTCTCCAGCTAGACATAAAAGTTCTCCAAGCCTACACTAGACTCAGGCACCCAGCTGGCTTCACCTAGTGGATCCCACACCCGGCCGCAAGTGGAGCTGCCTGCCAGTCCCCTGTGTGCCTGCACTCCTCAGCCCTTGGGCGGTAGATGGGACCAGCTGCCATGGCGCAGGGAGCGGCGCTTGTGGTGCTCATTTGGGAGGCTTGGGCAGCTCAGGAGCCCACAGCGGGGCCAGGGGAGGCTCAGACATAGCGGGCTGCAGGTCCGGAGCCCTGCCTTGCAGGGAGGCAGCTGAGGCCCAGCGAGAATTCCAGCGCAGAGCTGGTTGGCTGGCACTGCTGGGGGACCTGGTGAACCCTCCGCAGCTGCTGGCCCAGGTGCTAAACCCAGCTGCTGGCCTGGGGCCAGCAGCACCGGCCAGCCCCTCTGACTGCAGGGTCTGCCAAGCCCACGCCGACCCAGAACTCCTGCTGGCCTGCAAGGGCGGCGCACAGCCCCAGTTCCCACAGGCGCCTCTCCCGCCACACCTACCTGCAAGCTGAGGGAGCCAGCTCCGGCCTTGGCCAGCCCAGAGAGGTACTCCCACAGTGCAGCGGCCGGCTGAAGGGCTCTTGAAGTGCAGCCAGAGTGGGCGTGGAGGCCAAGGAAGCACCTAGAGCGAGGGCTGCGAGAGCTGCCAGCACGCTGTCACCTCTCATAGGGTAATACTGTATCACCTTACCCTACTCCATTTAAAGCAATAAGGGTTTACATCATATTCCACACAAGGAAAAAATTTTTAAATGCTTCATTTTCCTTAAGGTAAACCACAATGACAACAACAACAACAACCAAAACAGACTCATTCTGTCTAGTTCTAGTCCAAAAATTAAATAAAACCCTGAGCTTTTCTGTAAGTTACTGACTCCCTAACAAAAATAACTTTATCTTGGCCTTTGAAATGTTGATATATAGAAATGGGAGAATATCATCTAATTTGGCAATTCAAAGAAGTTATTGTCTATCATGAACATTACAAATTTGATAAATTAAATATCTAGCCATTTTTTTAATTTTAGAGCAAGTTCTGTTAAAATCTGAACTCCAATTAATAATTTTCTGCAAATGAATTTATTTTCTTTTCTAAATGACTTAGTCTCCGAGTCTACCTTTGACATTTGATTTCCAGCAAATTCCCACAAACTTTTATATTACTGTTATTAATTATGCAGACATTTTCATTGTTCATAAATATGCTTAGATTCAAATATATACTCTCTATGATAAACTTTTAAGCTGCAATTATTCTGGTGACTTTAGCAGAGCCAGGAGACACTAAACAAACAATTTACTTCAGTTATTTTTGCTATATAAATAGTGATGCATGTTTCCTCCAAGGTTCAACTGAGCATTCAACTGAGTATTCTTATGACTACTCCATGAAGAAACGATATGATCACATGAAAACAAACCCAGCTGAAACATGTGGGAAACACTAATTTTGAATATATGATTATCATTTATTGCATATTTATTCACTAAGCACTGTCTTGATAAATACTGTAAAATACATCAAACAGCCTTAATAGACTGACCTACAGGAGTGGCTAATCACTCCCCATAGGTAGCCCCTTCTTACCTGGACACACTGTTTGTTCTGGATATGCTAACCACTTTAAAGACGTTGATGATTCTAAACACTCATTCAGGTACCAGCGCATGATCTGTTAGGAACTGGCTGCACAGCAAGAGGTGAGTGGCTGGCAGGCCAGCAAAGCTTCATCTGTATTTACAGCCACTCCTCATCGCTTGCATTACTGCCTTAGCCCCACCTCCTGTCAGATCAGAAGTAACATTAGATTATCATACCCCGTGGTGAACTGTCTATGCGAGGGATCTAGATTGTGCACTCTTATGATTATCTAATGCCTGATGATCTGTCACTGTCTGCCATCACCCCGGGATGGAAAACAAGTTCAGGCCTCCCACGGATTCTACATTATGGTGAGTTATATAATTGTTTAATTATATATTACAATGTTGTAATAATAGAAATAACAGTACACAATAAATGTAATGTGCTTGAATCATCCTGAAACCATCACCTCCCCACCCATTATCTGTGGAAAAATTGTCTTCCATGAAACCAGTCCCTGGTGCCAGAAAGTTTGGGAATGTCCACCCCAGACCAACCACTACAGATAAAACATAACGACTGAGATAAATGAGCCACCTGAGAAACTAAAAAATCTAAAAACCTGAACCAATCTGCACAAAAGACTATTCTCACAACATCCCAGGAGAATTTCACCTGCCCTACATTCTTACAGGGATGAAAGGGCCCATCCAAGTAGAAATGTCAAACAATTTCTAAGTAGGTTACCACTATCTTTTGTGTACATAAAACGTGTACATGTTCTTAAGGTTTACTTCAGCATTGTTTCACATTAATAAATCCAGTGAGTACTCAAGCACCCTCTGACCTGGTAAAAATGCTACCTTTTAACTTATCAATGTTGTTGCTAACTAATGAAGGATAAGTAATAATTGTTTATAAAATTTTAATACTTGTCTTAGTGTTTCTTTATTTAATCTTTTAAAAATTCAGTCAGCTAATGTTTATAATGTGTACTATTAATATGTCCTCTTTTTGGAACATCATAAAAAGAAAACTGCACATAAGAATGCTTTCACTACTATGGTTTTCATAAGGATAAACTTGGACAGAAACTATTTGTACATTCTAAAGCATATATTTAGTAAAATAATATGCTATCACCAAAAATTTTATTACTGAACTAATTAAGTGTTGTATCTAAGATGAATGGGATTATCTGAAATTATTACTTAAATAAATAGAATGCATTCATGTTTTAGTATGAACTTTAGTATGCCAATTTTCTAAATAGTTCAGTTAATGTTCCTCGTTCCTCATTCTGTTCCACAGTTTGTTGAGCATGTACTGCACATTTGGAAATTGGAGATCGATAGGTTGATGCACAATATATGAAAACTACCTTATCTGATATAAAAAATATGTATTTTTATGTCAAACACAAGCATGATATGAAAGCATACTTTTAATGACACTTTTAAAGTCTAAACTCTCCTTAAACTGACATTCATTCAAATTTCTCGATAAGCTTACACACAAAATTTTTATCCTAGCATTCCTTGTTTTCTATACTATTCTGCAATTAAAATATTTCATTGCAAAATCTACTCAATATTTTATTTTCCTCTGAATTATTTTCTTCATACCAGAGAAAATAAAGTAATGTAAGGAAAAGGTGCAGAAGATTAGAGAGAAAGTGTGACATGAGCTGAGCCCTGAAAGGAGAATAAAACTCCAACGAATTGCAGAAGGGACTTGACTTTCAGGCAAAGGAACTTAGAACCGATTTCATGGTAACCTCAGAACGTTCATATTTTCTCTTTCTGTCTTACTTTCTTCTGTGCAAGTCCTTCCTTAGTTTCCAGGTTTGGAAACATTGCTTACATTGTTACTTTGATTCAGAGGTCATCAAAAAATTTTAAAATGACTTTTCATCCAGCGGTTAAGAGATGGAATATGAACAAGAACCTAGCAAGGATTGTTTTATTTTATTTCATTTTATTTTTTCCCACTTAAATAAAGCTAAGTGAAATACTTCATGTTTAAGATATTCTCCTCTTTCCTGGGGCAAAATGAAGCTTTAAAGTTCAGAGGCAAGTAGAAAATCAAGCATCACTTCCCCTCTGACTACAGACAAAAGAAAACAAACCTTGCAGCCAGGATAGCAGGAGTCTGACTGGGCAAAACCACAATCAAAGCTGCTCTGTAGGTCAGCCAGCAATGCATCTCAAGTGGTAATCTGGGAGCATGCCAACACCATAATGCTTTCAACTCTAGTTAGCAAATACCCACTTCTAAGATAAAATCTGTCATCTATGAGTAACCATCAGGGCCATAATATTGTCAAACCCAAAGTAAAATATCTTTTCTTATCCTACTCCCATTATAAATTAGACATGTTTTGTAAATAAATACTGTTTAACATTATCTAGTTTTTAACCAAATACAAAAGTTTTATAGGTTCAAAAGTTATGTGTATTCTGAGGTAGGTATATTAATAGGAAATATATCATGATACGCTGTTCACCTTTTCAAAGGTAAAATGAATATATAATTACAGAACCATATATTAATCTTTCAGAGCCATACAGAGAAATGCAGACACCTACAACTAAACCCATGACAAATATAAATAAATGAAAAAAGGAAGAAAAATCACAGACTGTAGTGATATGATAAGAGTCATAGTTGTTATCTTTTTCTTTCATGTTTGTAAAAACATAATAATTGTTGAGTACCTGAATATGTGATGCTAATTCCCTTAATTACATGGTACTAAATATTTTCTTACAGGGTTTTTATAGCCTTTAGTTGAGACAAAATTAAGTTTAGCCAATGCAAATTGTTTTAAGGGAGAATTTATTTAGCAAATACTACTCTGGAATGGTAGGAAAACTTTTTTTTTAATTATAATTTGTTTACTTTGATCAATATTAAAACTAGTGGAAATTTTGAATAAAGACAATTCCTGTGAAAAAAGAAAACAGCTCAGTGTGTATTATATCTAAAATGCTACTAGCTTGCTTCTCCTTCTAAAAGAAATAAATTTTAATCATGACAAAGAATTTTTAAATATACTCTTAAGAAGTACAAAAATGATGTTGAGAAAACTGCCTAGCCATATGCAGAAAACTGAAACTGGATACCTTCCTTACACCATTTACAAAAATCAACTCAAGATGGATCAAAGACTTAAATGTAAGACTTAGGACCATTAAAATCCTAGAAGAAAATCTGGGCAATACTATTCAGGACATAGGCATGGGCAAAGAATTCATGTCCAAAACACCAAAAGCAATGGCAACAAAAGACAAAATTGACAAATGGAATCTAATTAAACTAGAGAGCTACTGAAAAGCAAAAGCAACTATCTTCAGAGTGAAGAGCCAACCTATAGAATGGCGGAAAATTTTTGCACTCTATCCATCTGACAAAGGGCTGATATCTAGAATATACAAAGAACTTAAACCAATTTACAAGAATAAAACAAACAACCCCATCAAAAAATGGGCAAAGGATATGAACAGTCACTACTCGAAGAAATTTATGCAGCCAACAGACATATGAAAAAATGCTCATCATCACTGGTCATTAGAGAAATGCAAATCAAAACCAAAATGAGATACCATCTCACTCCAGTTTTAATGGCAATCATTAAAAAGTCAGGAAACAACAGATCCTGGAGAGCCTGTGGAAAAATAAGAATGCTTTTATGATCTCGGTGGGAGTGTAAATTAGTTCAACCATTGTGGAAGACAGTGTGGTGATTCCTCAAAGATCTAGAACTGGAAATACCATTTGACCCAGCAACCTCATTACTGGGCATCTACCAAAGGATTATAAATCATTCTACAATAAAGACACATGCACACGTATGTTTATTGTGGCACTATTCACAGTAGCAAAGACTTGGACTCCCGAAAAAGAAGGTGAAGAAAGGAACCGCGCGGTAAACTCAGTGAGTAATCATTAAGTCATTGATTTGCACTCAAGGTCACCAAGCTCTGGGGGAAGTTGGTTCAAGCTGAGTTTTCATTATGGAACAACAGTTATCAGCACCTGAGAAACAGTATATAAAATATTAAAACAGTTACTTAAGGCTAGCAGAGATTCCGTTTCCCAGGTTCAATTAAGGAAATTAATGTAAACTGTGGTCTCATGTAATCCATGGTCCCAGAAGAAGGAACACTAGACGCAGAACTCTGGGAACAAGTAGGGAGAAATCTTAAACAATATTATGCACAGGGGCATCAGGTCCCAGCATCAGCTTTAACACGGTGGATTTTACTAAGAACGGCTTTAGTCCCATTATACACAGAAGAGCCTAAAAAGGAGAAGGAGGGAGAAACATCACCTGCCTTCTCACCACCTTTTCCTCAGTACCACTATCACTGGGCCAAAATAGCAAAGAGGAAACGGAGGGTTTGCTTGAGCCCCCTCTTACTATAAGTAGAAAAAAAGGTACAAAATATAATTCAGCTATGGGACCTTGTCTTAAACAAGCAGCATTAGAAGGAGAGCTCTTAGCCTGTCCAGTAATGCAGACCGACATGGTCATCAAGTGCATGAACCCATTTGCTTTCACACTTACAAAGAACTAAGAAAAAGCATTAAATAAAACAGAGCCGCTAGACCATTTACAAAAGGAATGATTGAGGTCTTAGCCGACCACTTCTGTATGGCCCAATGGGACTGGTCAACGCTGGCTAAAGCAACTCTGGAGCCTAACCCATACCTCCTCTGGAAGGCAGAATATGATGAGCTGTGCAAACAACAAGCCAACCAGAATCAGGTGGCCTGGAAAAATATAAGAGTGGATAAGCTGCAGTGGAGGTGTCCTCATGCTGATGTACAACAACTAAATTTTGATCCCCAGGCCTATCCTCAAGTGTCTTTGTGTGCTTTCAGAGCTTGGGACTGAATTCCCAAGAGCAGAGTTCAGCAGGGACCTTTTGTAAATGTTTGACAAGGGCCTCAGGAGCCATTTGTTGAGTTTATGGATTGGTTAACTCTGGCAATTAAGAGGTAAATTAGTCACACCCAGCCCACTCCTGTCTTATTGTTGCAATTGCCTTTTGAAAATGCTAATGTGGATTGCCAGCAGGCAATGCAGGCAAACAAAGGAAAGGCAAGCACCTTCAGGGAGCTGATGTAAGTGTGTCACCTGGTAGGAACTGAGACAAACAAGGCCAGAATATTAGCTATGGCATTAACACCTCCTAAAGTGAAAAGGGAGAGAAACCAAAATTGTTTCCTATGTGGAGTGAAAGGTCATGTGAAGAGGCAAGGCCCTGATAGTGATCTGAAACTCTCTTCTTCATGGCTGTCTTTCTTTACAGGAAACACATTTCGTTGCATGTAGGTTGGATATCTATTCTTCCTGACTCTCCTGCTAGTAGAAATTATTTTCTGCCTCACTGGGCTTAAGTCAGGAAATCCTGACTTCCTGATATCCCTTAGTAGGGAATTATTTTCTTACTTCATAGGATAAAATGTTTTTTGTTTTGCTTTGTTTTCCCAGTAGGGATTATTCCCTAACTCTGTGAGCTTAAAGTGTCTTTTTTCACTATCACCTCTTGGTAGGAATTGTTCCCTGACTCCTGGAGTGAAAGTCTCTTCTACCTTTTCTGCCCTTACCTAGTAGGGGTTATTCTCTGACTCTGTGCTAAATGTCATATCTCTTCGTTGTTGTTTTATTAGTGATTAATCCCAGGCTTTATGGAATAGAAGTATCTTTTTAGTTTATATCTTATCTGAATAGAAATTATTCCCTGATTTCTGGGCTAGTACTCTTTTTTCTGGCTATTTTACTTCAATGGGAGGTATTCCGTACCTTCTGGGGTAGAAAATTCTTCTTATCTTCTTCTTAATCTTGTTTTTCTGATTGAAGACTTTTCCCTGGACTCCTGGTTTGGAAATTTCTGGCCTTCTTTCCTTAGCAGGAAAAAAAAAATCCTGCCTCTATTTCCTGTGTAGAAATTTCCTGACTCCTGGAGTAAAAACCTGTTTTTCCTGGCTCTGTTTCATAAGAGAAATTATTTTCCTGATTGGACATCATGTCTTTCCAGACCTATTCCTTGAGTAAAATTTATTATCTCACTTCTTGCTTTGAAAGACATTCCTTCTGGCTCTCTTACCAAATGGAATTTATTCCCTGGCACCTGAGCTGGCACTTATTAGCTTCCTTTTCTGACTCTCTGGCTAGATATCTCTTCTTTCTGGTCTCTTTGCTAATGGGTAAAATTTTCTGACTACTTGATTGTCTCTCTCTCCTAAGTGAGAATAATTCTCATGTGATTCTGAGCTCAAAGTCACTTCTTGGTTCTCTGTCCTAAATTAATATTATTCTCTGAATCTTTGGACTGAACTTCTTTCTTTTCCTTTGTTCTTTTCTCTGAGGTAAATACTAAATGAGCTCTGTGATAAAAGACTGTTTTTCTATGTCTTTTCATGATTGAGGATTATTTCCTGGCTCGCTGGGATAGAAGTTTGTCATCCCTCACTCTTTTTCCTGATGTGAAATTTTTATCTGATGTTTAGGCTCAAATTTCTTCTTTCTGACTCTATTTCCTGATGGAGATTATACTCTGACTTCATTTAAAATCCTTCCTACTTGCTCTTTAAAAAAAATAATGATTATTGTAACTTTCCTAGGTAAAAGTTCCTTCTTATGGGCTCTGTCTTTCCCGAGTGGCATTTATTCTGAATGTGCAGAAAGTACTTTCCTCCTAGTGTTTCCCTTACTAGGGATTACTGTCTGACTCCAGGAAATGGACATTTTCTTATTTTGTTTTGTTTTTCTTAACTTTTTTTCCCTTATTACAGTTTATTCCAATTTTCTGGGGATTATTTCCTGATAAATTAGTTGGAAATTTCATATTTCTGACTCTTTTTCTTTATTGGGTATTATTCCCTGTCTCCTAGGGTGACATTTTCTTTTCCCAGGTTACCGTTTTTCTTATGATTATTCCCTGACTCCCTGGGGTTACAAGTCTCTCTTGCCTTTCTCTCTAATCTGACTGGAAATTGTTTCCTGATTTCTACGTCTGGAACTCTTTTTTTGTCAGCTTTGCTTCATGTTTGAGATTGTTCCTTTAGGTTCTATGTTGTATACCCTTCTTCCCAAGAGGGGCTCATTCTCTGACTTTGTTGGCTTGAATTGTCCTCTTTGGTGTCTATTCTCAAGTAAGATTTTTTCCCTGATTCTCTATGCTAAAGATGTTTTTTCCTTGCTACTTTCTGAGTGGGGTTTTCCTCGATGCCATTGGCTGGGTTCTCTCTTTTCTAGTCTCTTTCCTGAATAGAGATTATTTCCTGATTCCCCATGTTGGAGATCTTTTTGCTTAATGGGAATTTTCCCATCTTTCCAGACTGTCAGGAAGTTTATCTCTATCTTTGCCTATCTCTCTCTCTCTCTCTCTCTCTCTCTCTTTCTATCTTGCTGTCTCTATCTCTAATCTCCATTGAATCTCTTTGATACCTCTCTATTCTTTATTTGGATTCTTGCCTCTCCCATGGAAGTCTCATAGCCAACTAAAACCCATCTTCTTGAACCTTTGTGGACTTTAGGCTTTGCTAACTCTACATCCTTGTTGTTGGCATGCATTTTTCAAGGATAATTTGGAACTTAATGATCTTTCAGAAACTTAACATCTTCCTATGCTGGTGCCTCTTTGACATCTTCCTTCTTATTACTCATGTTTCTTGTTTCTCCTCTCATCACCTTCAATCTTCCCTTTACCTTCCTTGAATCCTTTGACACATCCTCCTTCCAACCTCTCATAATCCATTCTTCTACCTACCCCTAAACAAACCTTTCCCTTCCTATTTCAGCCTTTCAACTCTGTACAGCCAACAGAAATTTAGGCCTACTAAATCAGAGGCTCTTGAGGGACTTGAGTATCTTCCCCAGCCTCCAAAAAGTTATTGGCCTGAAGTTGAAATGAAAAATGGCTAATGAATTAGAAGAGATTGAGTATTTTATCTACCCAGCCTTTGGAGACACCCAGACTGCAACTAGATGTATTCTATGCCTAAAATGTAGTCCTCTGGCTCAACAGATTAAATATTAGGGCAAAATAATATCATAAAAGTCTTCTTCACCAATACAAACAAAAGGTATTAGATCTCCTACTGATTATACAACCTTGTCTCATTTCCCAGAAGAACAATTTAGATACAACATAAAATGGATATAACCAGTGAGTTTTATATTACTCTATTGTCTCATTCATAACTAAATTTTAGGAGAGCTATAAAATATGTTTGCCTCTATATTTTATGCAAATATGCTATGTGTGTGATATATTTCTAACTCTGGATGTTATTACCAAGTTAATTTTTAATATCATTTAAAAAGGTGCTATTCAAATTGGCTTAGAGATAAATGAGCACTATTGTGAATTACATACTCCTAATAATCCTAGAAATATGTATTCAAGTTCACATGACTCATGCAAATATTTAACTAAGATTACTTTAAAATTCTTTAATACAGACAACTACATATTATGAATTGTTGTTATTATTAAGTATAAAAAGACATTTGTGGGCCAGACATGATGGCTCATACCTTTAATCCCAGCACTTTGGGAGGCCGAGGCAGGTGGATCATCTGGGGTCAGGAGTTTCCCAGCCTGGACAAAATTATGAAACCCCATCTCTACTAGAAATACAAAAATTAGCCAGGAATGGTGATACACAACTGTAATCCCAGCTACTCAGGAGGCCAAGTCAGGAGAACTGCTTGAACCAGGGAGGCAAGGGTTGCAGTGAGCCAAGATCATGCCACTGCAGTCCAGCCTGGGCGGCGGAGCGAGATTCAGTCTCAAAAAAAAAAAAAGAATACGTTTGTCATTTGTGTCCTTCTCTTGGATTTACTAATTTACTAGTTAAGCTGTGTTATGTTCACTGGACATTTAAGATTTTATAAATATCTATATGGCAATAGAGTCATTTCTGAGGTAGTAAGAATGTATTCTCCTTTCAACAGAACCTAATTGGAACCTGGTTTTATTACAAAGCCTTGTCTGAAATATCAAATACATTTAAGAATGATTTGCAGAAAATCAGAGATAACCAGGCAACTTTAAGAACTAAAGTTGACTGTGGAGAAAATACTTAGACAGCCCTCTTGGAACATCAGCCTGGTAATTGGTTAGAGCTCCTAGCTTAAGAGGTGAGAAAGACAGGTCACTTCTGGGCAAGCTCTGGAACCTCACGATACTTGGGGACTTTGAGAGGAAAGGTATTCAACCAAGTGTATAGGTTCTGAAAGGGAAGCCTGGTGGCAAGTTCCTGGCTTAGTTCCTAGTCTCAAAGCTTTAAAAATTCTAATCTGAAACTAATTATATAAAGTTCTCACCTAGTAAACTGGAAAGGCCTCTGTGGCCAGACATGGTGGAAGACACCTGTAATCCCAGCACATTCAGAGGCAGAGGTGGGAGAATCACTTGAGCCCAGAAGTTCAAGGCTAGCCTAGGCACGTGGTAAAACCCCATCTCCAAAATCAAACAAGCAAACAAACAACATACAAAATTAGCCAAGCATGATGGTTTGCACCTGTGGTCTCAGCTACTCAGGAGGATGAGGTGGGAGGATCACTTGGGCCCATGAGTTTGAGACTACAGTGAGCTGGACATTGTCTCAAATTTAAAAAATAAATTATATATATAATAAATTTTATATTATATATAAAATAATAGATAACTTATTTATATTATAATTTATATCATTCATTTATATAAAGTTAAATATAAATATAAATTTATAAAATATAAATAAAATAAATATATTTATATAAATTTATTTATATGCATTTAATTTTTTACATATAATTTATAATTATACCTTTGTGGTCAATGACAGTTCTTAATGCACTTAGGTAAAAAATGAGGACAAATCTAGTCAGACCAGACTTATCTGGTGAACAAGAGTCAAGAGAAGTAACTTCAGAGAGAATTTTGTTTCAATGCAAAACTAAAACACACCCCCATGTGAGTTGTCTTACGTATTTTATTAGTCTACAACTTCAATTCTCATTTCATTCAATGTATAGCTACAAGTTTCTAAACTAAAATTTCAACACTGGGTCCCCCTTTCATGATTTAGCATCACTGAAAACCAAAACTGCCCAATTGTCCCCAAACCTTGTAAGCTGAAAGTGGATGACTACATATGAACAATCTGAAAAATCATTTTCATGCCTTTAATACCTGATGCCAACACTGGAGGCATTAAAAACTGCAAACCAAAGAATTAATTAAATCATCACTGCTATCCTCACTCCACCATCTAAAAAATACTTTAAGCTGAACATGTGGAAGTGTCAATTGGCTTCCCTCTGGAAGGGGAAAAGGGACTTTGATGGGAAGTAATCAGGTCAGGAAGGCAGCACCCTCATAAATGCCATTAGCAACCTCCTAAAAGGCTATAGAGTTCCCAACTCACTTCTATAATGTATAGACTCAGCAAGAGGGTT
Organism: Homo sapiens; assembly: GCF_000001405.40. NCBI lineage: Eukaryota > Metazoa > Chordata > Mammalia > Primates > Hominidae > Homo > Homo sapiens. The sequence continues at coordinate 22,379,098 of NC_000024.10, forward strand.
GTTTAAAATCCAGGAAGTGGCTGGGTGAGGTGACTCATGCCTGTAGTCCCGGCACTTTGGGAGGCAGAGACAGGCAAATCAGAAGGTCAGGAGATCGAGTCTATCCTGACTAAAATGGTGAAATCTTGTCTCTACTAAAATACAAAAAACTGTTGTGGGGTGGGGGGAGGGGGGAGGGATAGCATTAGGTGATATACCTAATGCTAAATATGAGTTAATGGGTGCAGCACACCAACATGGCACATGTATACATATGTAACAAACCTGCACATTGTGCACATGTACCCTAAAACTTAAAGTATAAAAAAAAAAGCCAGGCATGGTGGTGCACACCTGTCACCCCAGCTACTCATGAGGCTGATGCAGGAGAATCACTTGAACCCTGGAGGCAGAGGTTGCAGTGAGCCGAGATAGTGCCACCGCACTCCAGCCTGTTGACAGAGATTCCATCTCAAAAATAAATAAATAAAAATAAAACCCAGGAAGGGACCCCTTACCTGAACACTGTATTTGCTGATGCCTTGACCTTGGGCTTCTCAGCCTCTGGGATTACAAGAAAGGTTTGTTATAAACCACCAAGTCCAGGTATTTTCTCATAGTAATGCCTGTGGACAAAGATGGTAAAAAAAAATTAACCTATTATTCATTCAAAAGCATTATGTTCCTATGAAAAATGATGCAATAAGGCTTTCGCTCTTGTTACATAAAGGGTTTTCAGCATTTATTCTAACTTCTGAAACAGAATCCCTGTTCCAAGATTGATAAATTATATATTGCTGGTTACTCTTCTGTTTCCCATACCTTTTAATCATTATGACAGAATGTTTCATGCAGATAATTCGGGTTAAAAAAGCCTAGGGACAGAGTATCATAGACACCTTCTCCTTTTTTTATTTTTTTTATCAGTGTCTCGCTTTGTCACACAGGCTAAAATGCAGTGGTGTAAACAGACTCACTGCAGCCTGGAACTCATGGGCTCAAGCAATCCTCCCGCCTCAGCCCCCAAGGATCTGGGACTACACTGATGCACTACCACATCCAGCAATTTTTTGTCTATTTTATACAGACAAGATTTCTCCATGTTGCCCAGGCTGGCCTCAAACTCCTGAGTTGAAGCGATATGCCCACCTCAGCCACCCAAAATGCTGGGATTACAGACCTAAGCCATCACACCTGGATAGGCAGTATTTCTCCTGTTGCTGCTGTGAAGATACACAAGCCCAGGGAGTTGTATCTTTTCACTTAATCCTCACAATCCTATATTATAGGTGAATGTTAACACAATTTCATAACGTAAATAACTCACTTGAAAAATCAAAGTTAGTAACTTCTCACTTTAAAATTATTTGCCACCTTACCCTATAAAAATTATGATCTTGTCAAAATTTTCTCATAAAGATATGTCCTCTTTACAGATTAGTCTGTTAATTTTAAGAATTATGGACTGTAAAGTTCTGGATCTTCATATATTTCATTTATTTAGCTTGTATGTTCAGGAAAATTAATTGGTTTACTTATTTGGGTCCAAATCTTTCCAGTTTTATCATTAGATGATATATTAAACTGTTAAGCAATTGCCTATCTGAAACTTTATGATGTTGTTTCATGTTTTATATGCTTCACTTTCCAAAAAACCATGAGATTTAAAGCATTTCTATTCATATCTTCACTTAAATTTGATAGTAGGAGCCTGTTGGCTCATGCCTGTAATCCTAGCACTTTGGGAGGCCAAGGAGGGTGAATCAGGATTTTAAGACTTGTCTGGCCAGCTGTCTGTACTAAAAATGCAAAATTTAGCCAGCTTTGGTAGCACACAGCTGTAAACCCACTTACTCATGATGCTGAGGCAGGAGAATAGCTTGAACCCAGAAAGTTGTGGTCACAGTGAGCCAAGATCCAGGCACTGCACCCCAGCTTGGGAAACAAAAGCTAGACTCCATCCAAAACAAAAAACAAAAAACCTGATCAAATCCCAAGCCTTCTAGATAATTTCTATTTGCAAGAACTTATTGCTAAGCCATTACTTACAACAACCATTGTCAAATATTATAGGAAATAATTAACATGAGTACCTCCCACATAAAACACTTATTTTCCACTATTTAAAACTAGGAAGACTTAATTTCATTAAACTATATACTTAGGAAACGTAGCTGGTTCCGTTTTTATTTAGGTTGAAAAAAATGTTTCATCACCATTATCCCCCTTCAGTCACAGAATGCTTCAAGAAAAATGTTATGGATGTCTTAAACTTTAATATAAAACATATCTAATTATTTCTTTTGACCCACATGATTCCTCTGAATGATAAACAATTTATGGTGAGGCAGACAGTTTTTTAGTCTTTCTGAAGAGTTCTCAAACTTTTAAAGCTTGTAAGTTTTTAAAGAGAAACACAGCCAAATTAGAAAAGGTGTGCAGCTTGCAAGGGAGATGTAACCTATGCCTACTTTTGTATCTATTTATATGCAAAGCTACAAAGAAAATTTTTGACAAAAAACACAGTTTAATTTCCTATTTAATTTGCTTTTAAGCATGTGTAGCAATAAAATCAGGCATTAGGCATTACATGTATAATTTTAATCTGAAAATTTTAATACAGCCATATCATCTAAACAGATAGTTTTCAAATAACACTAACAATTATGAAATTACTTTGAAAAAAGTTCCTTTTCATCTTAATACCTCAAAAAATTCATGGAGGAAGTTAAGATCTACCTCTCCCTCCAAAATCAACATTTTGTTTTAGTGGTACTCATGTAATGATGTAGAAATGACATTTTAATTTTTGATTTGCAAGCAAGGATTGTATGCAATAACTACTATTTTTCTTTTCTTTATTTTTTTCTTTTTATTTTGTGAGACCATTTTGCTTTGTTGCCCAGGCTGGAGTGCAGTGCTGAAAAAGCACATGGAACAAATAATCATAATCAGTTATTCAGAAAATACATTTCAAACCAAAATGAAATACCATACTTCACACATACTGGAATGGAAATAAATTTTAAATAGCAGGAAATATCAAGTGTTTGAGAGCATGTAGATAATTTGGAACCCTGACACAATGCTAGCTGCAATGGACAATGATGCAGCTGCTATGGAGAAATGTGGTTGTTCCTCAAGAAAACAAAGTTATCATAGGACCAAGCAATTCCACTCATATATACCGAGAGTTGAATAAGTATACCCAAACACATATGTATATATGGAAATATGGTAGTGGAAACAACCCAAACAAAATAATGAGTTAGCAGCTTGTGTAAATGAACCTTCATGGCATCATGCAAACAAAAGGAGACAGTTATAAAATGTCCTGTGGTGTTTGGGCCCATTAACATGAAATGCCCAGAACAGCTAAGTTCAGAGGCAGAAAACAGATTGTTGTTTACTAGTGGCTGACAGAAGGGAGAAAGTGAAAGGAACTGCTTAACTGGTAGTGGAGTTGTAGTTTGGAGTGATGAAAATGTTTTGGAACTAGTTGGAGGTAGCTGTTGCACAACACAGAATATATTAAATGCCAATTAACTATTTACCTTTAAATGTTAAAGTTTGTTATGTGAATTTCATCACCACAACAGAAGTCAACTATTTTTCCATTTTTTCTTAACCTATCCTTAGTTGCATAACCCTCATCTCTTAATGACACATGGTCATTTCTCCAGGAAGAGACTGACTCTGCGTGGAGGACCTCCAGAATTCTCTCATCCACATGACATGGGACATTTAATGTTAAAATAATTAAATATTATATAAAGAACACAAAATCTGAAACACAATTTTTTCTTCTCTGAAACAACTTTTAAAAATTATTTCTTGAATCACTCCATTCTTCTTTCTCTAAATTACTAGACATTCATGACAACTTCAATATTTCTTATGGCTTTGGATAATCCCATGGCTCCACAAGGCCAGTTCTTCTAACAAAGCTGAAGGCAGACATTAATTCTTTGGTAAAAGTTCACTTTAATTGTTAATAACCAGTTAGTTACTATTTTTTCTTTTTATATGAATTACTGATGACTACTAATGATAACAGGCAAAACCTGTAAAACCATCAAACTCTCCACTGAATATAAAGTTTACATATATTGTCCTTTCTCAGCTGAAGAAGGTTATCCCGTGTTGTTCAATCCATCTCACAAGCACCAATATTGCTACCTTTGAACTACTGCATGCCAAAATTCTACATAAAAGTGCTCCTTTATCTCTAAGTGATTGGCTGTATCTTAAATGTTGACAAATTAAAATGTACTAGTGCAGCTCTTCTAATGATGTCCAATATTTATTTTTACTGCAATTAGCAATAGTCTTAAAGGGATAATTACAATATTGTAACTCTTTCAAAAATAGAAAACTTCCTCCTTTGACATACTCTTCACATGCTAATTCATAGAAGTCAGTCTTTCACCTATGATGTGTTTGCTGGCTAGTCTTCTAATGGAAATGTGCTGGCTTGTGTATTCTGAAATCAATAAATACTTAACTTCACTGATACTCTACATGAGAAATGTAAAATTGAAAACGGCAGTTTTCAATTTCCTCCATATTATGATGGAGGGCTAGGTAAGGATTTTAACTTGTTCTGTTTAAATTTCTTTACTAAGATCTGTTACTTTATGGTCTTGTTTTCTTCTGTTCACTCTGAAATCTCACACTTCTCTTTCTCAAAAATATTACTTCTATTCAATCCTACTGTTCACCTAATGCTGCTTAGAACTAAATTCTCTCCTGAAATAACTGAAGTCCTACACTAAGTATCTTGTGTTAAGGTTTTAACATCCCTGTACCATCTTAACAATTGTACACCCCCTCCATATATTTACACTCTCCATACATTAATTTACACCATATCTTAATTTACATCCCCCATATATTTCACAACTCTGCACTTTTGTGGTATGCTCTTAACTTAAAAATGCTGGACTCCTTCAAGTTTACCTATCAAGCCTTAATTTTATTATTCATTATTATTTAAGCCCAGTGATTGCTTATCTGCAAAATGCTCCTTTTGTTCTTGTGTATCCTCACATAACCAGTAAGAATGCCTTGCACGTAAGTATTACTAAGGTCTCAGAACCTGGATGGCCAGGCGCAGTGGCTCACATTGTGAGCCAATGTGGAAGGCTGAGGCAGCTGGACTGCTTGAGCCCAGGGCTTTAATGTCCTCTATGACAATGCAATGAGATCGTGTCTCTACAAAAATATAGAAAAAAGGGAAACAGATTTAGCTATGTGTGGTGGTGTATGCCTGTAGTCACAGCAACGCAGGAGGCTAAAAGAGGACAATTACTTGAGCCCAGGAATTTGAGGCCGTAGTGAGCTGTCATCTCATCGATGCACTCTGGCCTGGTGAGAGCAAGACTTCAACCCAAAAAGAAACTGAACAAACAATTTTTAGATTGACCCACTGGAGGACCACTACCAAGTGACCTAGGTAATGGAAGAATTCATTAGATTACGAAGCCTACCATCAAAGAATACTGCCAGGAATTTTAAGAAAAATTAAATGGAATTCTCTAGAAAACACAGGATTAAAACTAATGTTTGTTCACAGTGTGAATCCCAGCACTTTGGGAGGCTGAGGTGGGCAGATGATGAGGTCAAGAGATCAAGACCATCCTGGGCAACATGGTGAAACCCCATCTCTACTAAAAATAAAAAAATTAACTGAGCCTCATGGCGTGCAACTGTAGTCCCAGATACATGGGAGGTTGAGGCAGGAGAATGGCTTGGACCCAGGAGGCGGAAGTTGCAGCGAGCTGAGATCACGTCGCTGCACTCCAGCCTGGTGACAGAAGAAAATCTAAAAAATAACAAAGAATCATTTTATATTGGTGTGACAGAGAGATTTGGGATAAATGCAGAGTGAAGAGAAAGCAAAAATCTATCAGTTAAATATATAAATACAATCTACATAAAGAAAAAATATATTTGGAGAAAAATGATAAATTACTGTTCATATAATTCTACTATAAAAAAAGTGTTTCAAAACATATCATAAGGGTACACCAAATTCCATTCAAAGAAACTCATTTATTTACAAAATCAAAAAATGACACCTCAGAAAAATACATTATCTGTAAAATTTGTATCATAATATACAATTCCTAAAAATCCATTATGAAGTATTAATTTTTAGCTTAGTCTATGCTCAATTTTAATAACCTTTAAGAATTGCATATTAAATAATAAAAAATATTTTCTTATATCTACAAAAAATGTAGATATATTCTAATGCCTTGGTGGTGTTACAGGTAAGAAAATGCATATTCTCATACATGGCAGAGTAGTATTAATCTTCACCCTCAAGATAATTTGAGAAAAAAATACTATGAAGCTATGTACCTTAAAATGGAGCAAACACTGCAATTTCGACTTGAGAAAGCATATCCAATGACTTGCACATCCGGTTATTAAACTGATCTCCTGACCTTGTGATCCACCTGCTTCAGCCTCCCAAAGTGCTGGGATTACAGGTGTGATTGCCTTACTCATTTCTTATCTTGCCTTAGAAGTGTCCCTAATAAATGACTCTTAATATAGTACTTCATGTTATTTCTCAGAAATGCTTAAATGTCCTAATTAATTTCATAATAACTTTCTTCACTTTAATCTTTTCTATAGGCAAAGGTGATTTTAGAAGAAATGTCAGCAAAAATTGTATTTAAAACTTACATTGCTTTGTTATTTGGGGGAAGAACTTAAATCCTTTCCAAGATCTCTTGCACTCACATTTCTGGGCCCAAAACATGTTTCCCAGGTTTGTGCATGACTGCTTCCTTCCTACTATTCAGAGGTCAGCCAAACTTTCTTAACCTGTTCATTGCCCCTGAAACCTCTAAGTACTTCCTTTATTTCCCTTCTTAACTTTTGTGTGCATATTACATTTATATTTATTCTTACACAGTAAGATATGTTGGATGAAGTAATTTAGAAGTAACATCCACAGAAATCACCTGTTCTTGTGCTTGAAAACTATGGGGGAAAAAGAAATTATCATAGATTATTATACATAAGTCAAAATTATTTCCACACCTACAAAACCATGAGCCAAACGCAACTTTCAGTTTCTCCAAAAACTTAAAATATGAAAGCATAACCTGAATAAAAAGGCACCTCTGCTATATACCAGGAAATGTGCTAGATGTAACAGAAACAAAAGCAACTAGGAAAACTTAAATATGCACTAAAGACAATTTAACAATCAACAGATTAATACATGGTACAGTGAGGCCAAAATACCCACAATATACAGTGAAGATGAAAATGTAAAATCTAAGCTGTTTTTGGAGCATGAATTGCTATTTGTGAGATGTACGCCGGGAAGAATAACTCTCGAGAAGTCCAAAAAAGCATATTGGTGATAGCATAAAGAGTATTGGGAACTAAAAAGAGATTTGGATAATGTTATATAAAAAAATTCCAAAGTATCCAGAATGCAATGATTTTGATGGTAATATGAAGGAATTAAGCAGGTAATAGAACGACACAAAAGTTTAAAGCTGTAATAAACACAGGATCCCTAGAATTTAAGATTCAGTAAGACAGAGATCATTAGTTGGATCAACACAAGTGCTCAAACACACTGGAAAAATGAATAATTAGGTACTCATGTTACATAAATCACTATGGTGACAGGATAAAAATGTTTTAAGGAGGAAAAGAGCAAGGATGGGGCAAAAATGCCAGTCATTCTGTTACTCAACTTCAATATTCTCATATTATTTTCTACTTTCAAGTACGTAACACTTCCTCAATGTAAAGATCTTGTTGAAATATACTTTCTCAAGAATGTGTTTTCAGAAAATGTGAAAAAATCTTTCCTTCTTGTGAGTCTGTCTAGATGTCTCTCTATAGAAGATTCCCATCTTGTAAGTCTATCTAGCTGTCTACCCATAGTTTGTCTATGCTATAGAAGTATTTCCATGAATTGGAAGTAATTCCATTAATAGCATTTGATAGATACTGACTTATTTCTCTCATTTTTGTGAGGGTTTCTCCTAAGTTTTAAAGCTGCTTGAAAGCTTTGAAAATCTATTTACACTTGTATTGAAATACTAACATACAAATATGATTACCATATATTAATTTATGTAAGGTTTATTCCAATATCCTTCCAACTACACTTGTACTTAATATGGCAAAAAGAAGAGGATAGCTAAAGCATTTCAGATCATATGACATTATGCTATCTTCAAAAGTTTAGTAATACTAAAAAGACCTTGAAATGCTGTTAAGTGAAGAACAGTTAGGATATTATTAATAAGGAACTGTTAACATTTCCATTCATATCTTTGACAACATTTTTAGCATCTGCAGCTTTCTCAAAATAAATGCAAAGCATCTGAACTTGCTGGTTTCCCAATCATTTATCAGAAGAACAAAAATATATGAAAATATTTTACATTTATCTAATGGACTCACTGTAGTACTAACAAACCCAAAAAATGCATTTCACATCATTACTATGATTCTTTTAATACTAAGTCACCTCTATAGTCAGCCTATTTTATTCCAATTTGTTCCATGCGTCCACAACACATTTACTTTTGCTCATTTTCATTTTTCAGTAGTAGGTGACATTTACCACAGACCCTTCACCTGCTGCTATGAGAATTTTCCCAATATCAAATAGAAATCCAAAAATAACAGTTTAAAAACAAATAAATATTTTATATATCCAGTAAATACATTAAGTATATATTTACTTTAAAAAATATATATAACCAACATGTATATGTAGATACATATATATACACACACACATATATATATAACAGTTGCCTTCCAATATGAGACCATAATTCCCAAATACTGCTTTAAGTGTCTTTAACTGGTGTCTAAACGGAGGCCACCAATGAAAGGCTTGCCAGGCCTATCTGCTTCTACCATTTTGCTGTAAATGGTAACAAAAAATCTATATTTAGATAATAAATAAGCCAAAAAGATAAAATTTTATTACATATTGTGTTGAAAACTCAAGTGAAATTTCCTTGCAGAGGCTGACATCTTTTTAGATTTTCTTACTTCAAATATGTAAAATTTGTAACATGCACAGTGAAAGGGGCACTGACTTCATGGACAAGTGCTGCATTTTAATATGTACCTGACAAAAACTTGTTTGTAAAAATGAGAGGAGAAAAGCTACTCTAATTTTCTTAAGCTGCAATACGCAGGATACTCCATTTAAATAGTTTTATTTGAAAACTATGTATATATACTGTACAGTGTGTTTTGTGGATTTTTTTCTTGATATGTAATTTTTCTGTTGCCAAAGTGCACCGCTCACTGCAGCCTCCTCTACCGAACCTCAAGTGATCCTCCCACGTCTCATCTAATGGGTAAGCTACAGGCACTCACTACCAGAGCTAGTAGGCACTTTTTTGTGTCTTTCTTTAATAGACATGGGTTTCCCCGTGGTACCCAACCTAGTCTCAAACTCCTGGGCTCAAGCTATCTTCTGGCCTGGTGCTACCAAGGTGATGAGATTTCAAGGGTGAACCACCACGCCCAGCTTGATATTTTAATAAATGATTAAATCAAGCTAACTAAAATACATGCTTCCTTGGGGGAGAACATTTCAAATGTTTTACATTTTAGTGATTTGAAATATACAATAGATCAGGGATCCCCAAACCCTGGTCTCCAACCGGTATCTGTCTGTGGCCTGTTAGGAACCTGGCTGCAGAACAGGTGGTGAACCTCTGGCACTGCCTGAGCCCCGCCTCCTGTCAGATCAGCGAAGACATTGGGTTCTCACAGGAGTAAGGGCCCTACTGTGAACTGCGCATACGAGGATCTAGGTGGCGCTCTCCCTAGAAGATTGTAATGCCTGAGTGTGACCTGAGGTGGAACAGTTTCATCCAGAATCCATCCTCCCTATTCCCCGCTGGCCTGCCCTGTCCCCCTCGCAGCCCCGCTGTCCCACCACTGCCCCCCGTCACACTGCTCTGGCCTGAAACCCCTTCCTACACTGTACTCCTCCTGGAACGGCCGCCCCCCACCTCCCCAAGGTGTCCACCTCACCACCTTCTCCCCCTACCCACCTCTTTTCTGTGAAAAAATAGCTTCCACTAAACCGGTCCCTGGCGCCAAAATGGCAATAGATTAAAGGGCTCATTATGTTCGCAGACTGGTCTCCAACTCGTGACTTCAAGCCATCCTCACATCTCCTCTTCCCAATGGTAGGAATTACAAGAGTAAGTCAGTGTGGCAAGTTAATAGAATAACTTAAACGCATTTATTTTGTCTCCGTTTTAAGCTATCTATCACCATTTATCTGGATTACACCCACTTATTCGGTTTAAATTATTTACGGTGCCAGACATACATGAAACATGTTTCAAATACTGTCATACAAGGAAGGAGACAATTAAAGGTTTTACGGAAACAAATTTAAACTGAGATTATTTATGGCCCCAGACTTCCTCATACACTAAAGTAATGCAATTTAGGTCAAAATTTCATAATTCCTGTCAAGCAAATCATAAATTTGACATGTGATAAGTAAAACTACAAGGTGTTTTTTTGAGACGGAGTCTCGCTCGGTCGCCCAGGCTGGAGTGCAGTGGCACGATCTGGGCTCACTGCAAGCCCCGCCTCACGCCATTCTCCTGCCTCAGCCTCCCAAGTAGCTGGGACTACAGGCACCCACCACCACGCCCGGCTAATTTTTTGTATGTTTAGTAGAGACGGGGTTTCACTCTGATCTCGATCTCCTGACCTCAAGATCCGCCCACCTCGGCCTCCCAAGGTGCTGGGATTACAAGCATGAGCCACCGCGCCAGGCCAAAGTACAAGTTTTTAATCACAGTGGTTAAGTATATTGCCTATATATTTGAATTAGGACCACATTCACAGAGAAAAACCGCTTTAACAAAAAGTGCACATGAGAAAAATGGCGCCCTAGCTCCATCTCCCACAACTTGCCCACATGTCGGGCACGTCCGATAGTAAAGGGAAGAATACTCAAGAAAAAGCAGCGAGTTTAACGAAAGTAAGTTTCGTAGTAAGTAAAGCAGTAAAGAGTCCTCTCCCTACTGTTTCCTCCCATAATTCAACACCCACACATTGAAAACCCATCGCCTTTTATAGAAAAAATCCAAAAACTTCGTGGTCTTCGTACTCCTGCCAAGAAATCAGTTATACCCATAAACATAAATCCACACATAATAACAATTATAACCTTTCTTAACATTTGCCAAAAAAAGCCTGAGAAAAATGGTCTGAATTAACACATTTCCTCTATTCGCAGGAGATGATGTAGACATTAATTCTTTCACCTGAGATACAAACATGTCCTCTCTGCTTAAAATTAAGAATTTTTTGCCTAATTTTCCTGATTTTCTGAGAAACTGCCTGCGCGCCACCCTCTGTCACCACGAGCTGAAGGAACAGTTGAGGCTAGTGGCGTACCCAGCTATAAAACTTAGAAACACGGATATACCACCACTGTGAGAGCCGCAAAGGAAGTAGGCAAAGAGAAGCATAACATAAATAAAAGGAAGAGTGGCCCAAGAAATTTTGAATTAAAAAAAAAAAAGAAAAGGAAAATTTTTTATGTAATTCAATTATTTAAATGTAATATATAATTTAATTATACTTTTAGCTATTTTTAAATGAACAGTTAAATTATTTTTTAATATAGTCACCCTGTTGTGCTAGCAAAAACTACATCTTCTTTATTCTATTTTTTATACTGATTAACCATGTACCCTGCCCCTCCACCTTCCAACTCCTGATTATCCTTCCCCGCCTCTTGCAACCATCCATCTACATTCTATCACTATGAGTTCAATTGTTTTAAGTTTTAGCTCCCACAGGTAAGTGAGAACATGCAATGTTTGTCTTTCTGTGCATGGCTTATTTCACTTAACATAATGACCTCCAGTTCCATCCATATTGTTGCAAATGACAAGATCTCATTTTTCTATGGCTGAATAGTACCCTCTTGCATATATGTACCACATTTTCTTCATCCATTATTCTGTTGATAGACACTTAGTTTCCTTCCAAATCTTGGCTATTGTGAGTGGTGCTACAATAAACATGGGAGTGCAGATATCTCTTCAATATACCGATTTCCTTTCTTTTAGGTATGTATTTAGAAACGGGAGTGCTGGATCATATGGTAGCTCTATTTTTACTTTTTTGAGGGACTTCCAAACTGTTTTCCATAGTGATTGTACTAACTTCCATTCCCTCCAACAGTGTGTGAGGGTTCCATATTCGCCACACCCTCACCACCATTTGCTATTGCCTGTCTTTTGAATAAAAGCAATTTTAACTGTAGTGAGAGGATATCTCATTATAGTTTTGATTTGCATTTATCTGATGATCAATGATATTGAGCACCTTTTCAGATACCTGTTTGCCACTTGTATGTCTTCTTTCCAGAAATGTGTGTTCAGTTTTTTCATATATATATGTATATATACATATGAAAACATATATATATATATTTATTATATTTTAAGTTCTAGGGTACTTGTGCACAACCTGCAGGTTTGTTACATATGTATACATGTGCCATGTTGGTGTGCTGCACCCATTAACTCATCATTTACATTAGGTATATCTCCTAATGCTATCCCTCCCCCTTCCCCCCACCCCACAACAGGACCCTGTGTGTGATGTTCCCCTTCCTGTGTCCATGTGTTCTCATTGTTCAATTCCCACCTATGAGTGAGAATGTGCATTTTTTTTGTCCTTGAGATAGTTTGCTGAGAATGATGGTTTCCAGCTTCATCCATGTCCCTACAAAGGACATGAACTCATTTTTTATGGCTGCATAGTATTTCATGGTGTATATGTGACAGATTTTCTTAATCCAGTCTATCATTGTTGGACATTTGGCTTGGTTCCAAGTCTTTGCTATTGTGAGTGGTGCCGCAATAAACATATGTGTGCATGTGTCTTTATAGCAGCATGAATTATATTCCTTTGGGTATATACCGAGTACTGGGATGGCTGGGCCAAATGGTGTTTCTAGTTCTAGATCCCTGAGGAATCGCCACACTGACTTCCACAATGGTTGAACTAGTTTACAGTCCCACCAACAGTGTAAAAGTGTTCCTATTTCTCCACATCCTCTCCAGCAGCTGTTGTTTCCTGACTTTTTAATGATTGACATTCTGACTGGTGTGAGATGATATTTCGTTGTGGTTTTGATTTGCATTCCTCTGATGGCCAGTGATGATGAGCATTTTTTCATGTGTCTTTTGGCTGCATAAATGTCTTCTTATGAGAAGTGTCTGTACATATCATTCACCCACTTTTTGATGGAATTGTTTTTTTCTTGTAAATTTGTTTGAGTTCTTTGTACATTCTGCAGCCCAAAATCTCCTTAAGCTGATAAGCAACTTCAGCAAAGTCTCAGGATACAAAATCAATGTGCAAAAACCCCAAGCATTCTTATAAACCAATAAAAGACCAACAGAGAGCTAATTCATGAATGAACTCCCATTCACAATTGCTTCAAAGAGAATAAAATACCTAGGAATCCAACTTACAAGGGAAGTGAAGGACCTCTTCAAGGAGAACTACAAACCACTACTCAATGAAATAAAAGAGGACACAAACAAATGGAAGAACATTCCATGCTCAAGGATAGGAAGAATCAATATCATGAAATAGTGTCCAAGGTAATTTATAGATTCAATGCCATCCCCATCAAGCTACCAATGACTTTCTTCACAGAATTGGAAAAAAACACTTTAAAGTTCATATGGAACCAAAAAAGAGCCCGCATTGCCAAGACAATGCTAAATCAAAAGAGCAAAACTGGAGACATCACGCCACCTGACTTCAAACTATACTATACTACAAGGCTACAGTAACCAAAACAGCATGGTACTGCTACCAAAACAGAGATATAGACCAATGGAACAGAAAAGAGCCCTCAGAAATAATACCACTAATCTACAACCATCTGATCTTTGACCAACCTGACAAAAACAAGAAATGGGGAAAGGATTCCCTATTTAATAAATGGTGCTGGGAAAACTGGCTAGCCATATGTAGGAAGCTGAAACTGGATCCCTTCCTTACACTTTATACAAAAATTAATTCAAGATGGATTAAAGACTTAAATGTTAGACCTAAAACCATAAAAACCACAGAAGAAAACCTAGGCAATACCATTCAGGACATAGGCACGGGCAAGGACTTCATGTCTAAAACACCAAAAGCAATGGCAACAAAAGCCAAAATTGACAAATGGGATCTAATTAAACTAAAGGGCTTCTGCACAGCAAAAGAAACTACCATCAGAGTGAACAGGCAACCTACAGAATAGGAGAAAATTTTTGCAATCTACTCATCTGACAAAGGAAAAAAATTTAAAATGCCAAAATATGTTCTATATAATTTTCATTTTTTACTTTTTTGAGTTGTGGTAGTCTGATCAACCTTAAAAAAGTATTTTTATTATGAAATAGTCATCCATATTTCATCCCCCTCTCAAATATTAGCAATAAGCTCACTCTACATGGTGTCTGCTTATTTCATAAAATAATGCACAAAGGAGAAAAGCAATAACTGAATTTTAAAGAAATCTATAAGAAACAAGCAATAATAAGTAAAATAACATCAAAAGAAAGCAAGAAAAATAAGTCAATTAGGAATGTAAAGTTTTGTCATCTTAATCTTGTATCTTCCCTTTTTGGTTGTAATATAATATTTGAACAGCTTATTTTATTTGCTTATGAGATAAATGTAGTGATTTGACCCAAACTTCCAAAATTAACAGAAACAATATACACACATAGGCGGTTTCTCTGTCCTCAGTTTGTGTATAATAAATAACATCCTTAATTAACAGAGCTCTAGTAAAATAAATACCATTTATATTCCTGAAAAAAATATTTTATTAACTGACAGACTATAGTGTCCATTAAGTTATTCTCCCCCATCTATTACATTCTATGAATTTTGCGGCAAAATAAAAATGTAACATAAGAAAATAGGTTTAAATATCTACACAATGCAACCCAAACTTATTTTTCTGAGTTTGTCTATAAATTGTGCATATCAGAATTGTAAAGAACAGTTCTTAAAAAAATGCTTATTATAAGCCACTTTTTAAGTGCTTTATATTAATTTTAACAAATTAAAGTCTATACATTCTATACTCACACTTATGAACTGCTTAGTTCATAAACTATACCATACCAATATAGAGCTGTTTGTGTCTGCATAATATTTTAATTTATCTTTTCAATGTTTTCTTTTCTGATGAATATCCTAACAGTAAAAACATCATCTGAAGGTAAAGATATTTTATGTTATGTATATTTTAGAAAAAGTTTCTTAAATTATGGTTACCATCTCTTGGTATTATTAGTTTCTTTGTTACAAAACCCACAGTAGCATTCTATTCTAAATATGTGTACGTTTTTTATTATTCAAGAGAGGAAACTATTTTCTTTCCAAACATGCTTCTCTTTCATCCCAGTGTCTTCTTCATTACCCAACCTTCATAAGGAATCAATTAGGTAGCCAACAATCATATAGTTGTATAAATTTCTCCTGTTCCAGACTTTCCTCCGAGCATAGAGGAAAGACTAGGGGTCGAAAATGTAGTGGCTGCTTCAGGAAGATCAACCTAGGTCCTAGAGGTACCTTGGGAGCTAGGTAGGGTATGGCATGGTCAGTGCTGACAGTCTGAGCTTGGGCAGAATCCCGAAGATGACTAAGCCCCACTTGGACCATTCTATTCTAAAATACGTGTACATGAAGAAAATAGAACAATGATTAAAATACATAAACAAATGAGCCTGGGCATGGTGGCTCACACCTGGAAGCCCAGCATTTTGGGAGGCTGGTGCAGGCGGATCACAGGAGTACGAATCCAGCCTGGCAAATATGGTGAAACTAGTCTCGACTAAAAATACAAACATTAGCAGGACATAGTGGCATATGCCTGTAATCCCAGCTCCTCGGAAGGCTAAGGCAGGGGAATCGTGTGAAGCTGGAGGGAGAGGTTTCAGTGAGCCAAGATTTTGCCACTTCACTCCAGCCTGGATGACGGAGTGAGACTCCATCTGGAAACAAACAAACACACACATACGCCCCAAAAACTAATGAATAAAAAAAATCTGTATTAGAAAAAGTGCTCACAGGCTAACTCCCATATCTAACAGAAAAAAAAAATCCTTGAAAATGAAAGTTCTGGAAGGGGCAAATAAGAAAACAAATTTAACACCTCACATGTAAACATACTTTAAAGATACTAATTAGAAAATTAGTATCTGTTCTCAGATACTAATAAGTAAGATATTACTTATTATACTATATTACTTATATACTAGTAAGTAAGATATTACTACTAAGTAAGATATTAGCAAAACATACTTTAAAGATACTAATTAGAAAGCACTGGGCCGGGCGCGGTGGCTCACGCCTGTAATCCCAGCACTTTGGGAGGCCGAGGCGGGTGGATCATGAGGTCAGGAGATCGAGACCATCCTGGCTAACATGGTGAAACCCCGTCTCTACTAAAAATACAAAAAATTAGCCGGGCGCGGTGGCGGGCGCCTGTAGTCCCAGCTACTCGGGAGGCTGAGGCAGAAGAATGGCGTGAACCCGGGAAGCGGAGCTTGCAGTGAGCCGAGATTGCGCCACTGCAGTCCGCAGTCCAGCGAGACTCCGTCTCAAAAAAAAAAAAAAAAAAAAGCACTGAAGTGCTCAATTCTATCTTTTTAATAGAACTTGCATTTAAATAGTCATTTCAATAAAATCCTTTACTCTTACAGTAAGAACCAATTATTAAATGTTGATTACCTAGCTCCTGGATGGTTTTCTAAGTATTTCAGAACTGTTGTTTTAGTAATAACCACTTAGCATACTTGTGAGAATTACTGGTTCTACAGGTCTCATTTCAGATGATTGGACCGGGATTTTGAAGGAAAATAGCTAGAAGTATCTGGGTATATATTTTATGACCCACGTAATTATTTGAGGATGCTTGTGAAACTCTGGTCTGACAAATAAGATACAGTAAAACAACAACAACAAAAACAACAAAACCAAAAACAGAACCAAAAAAAAGACCCCAAAAATAAGCCACACGTGAAGAACATCAAGCCAGGAGTCAGGAACAAATACTTTATCTTTTCCTAACTTCAGGATTCTCAATTTGTATGCCCCTATCTTCTTTTTCATTCTTGGTAAATACTACTCCAACTATCCAACACTTCAGAGTACTAATTAACCTGTTAGTTTGAAATTCAGCAAAATATATGAAACCTATTTCTGAACATTTTCTTTAGGATCCTATTTCTAGCTATACACCTGTGTCAGTTATGCTATACATGACTATAAGATAGCAGTATTTAACAAAAATATTTGACCACTGAGGCAAAATTATCTTCTGTAAATGATCCACTGCTACTAAGATTACGTTGACAATTTGGATATTGTACTGACATTTTGAATTTCATATATTCGAGGAAGATTGGAAAGCATCTTCAGATGTCATTGTCTATAATGATAAGAGTTAATGCTCATATTAACTTCCAAATTTTTCTATGTTAAAGCAGGTGTGCAGGTATTGCATGAACAGGTAGGCCACTGAAGCATAACTGTGGTTAAAGCTGTAAAAGTTTTGGCGAAATTGCACATAACAAGATCTCCACAGAAAATTTAGATTTTGGCTCAGCTAGGAGATGTTGAAGAAAATTACATTTCTTATTCTTAATGATTCCCCAGCTGGATCTTAAAGGGAGATAGCATGATATTGTGGAAAGAGGTAGTTTTGTAATTTGAAATTAGACTTTAAGAAAAGATGATGATTTTGAGACTCAAATTTCAGATGTATGAAGTGGGGTCTAAAATATCTAGTACCTGTGTTTGTAGTTATAAAGATCATATAATAACAATTTATTTTATTTGGCTTGTACTTTTCCGTAAAACAAAGACATCATTTAACTGTGTTACTATAGGTTTGTGTGGGCATTTTAAAGGAACATTTCTCTTGTGATAAATAACATAGTAATACTGACAGAGAATGATTCTTACTCCAACATTGACATTGCAGAGCTCCAGCTGTTCTCTAGAGAAACTGGCGTGAATTGAAGAAAAAACAGTGGATGATTGAAGGTAACTTATGAGCCAGTCTTTATTTACTAAGACTATGTAATTCTCAGAGGGGACATACAACCTGTGAAGAGTTGGATATGAATGATGGAGACTCATTGAGAAGCGGCTGCCTCAAGGATCATCCTCTACATTTCTAGCTTGAAATACAGAGTATTTGGTGCTGTGAATTTCTGAAATAGTGGAATACTGTAGGAGGAAACATGTTTTGGGGATGAAATGAAGGTCTGGTTTGGTATGTGGAGATGTAAGGCATGCAGTTGGATATGCCAAGTGTGAAGGTAGAACAAAGATCTGGCCTGAAGTTGGGAATTTCTTAATGGTAAGCATAGAAAGGGTGTTTTAGCCTTGAGAAAACTCAAGAGGATCCATGACTAAAATCTGCACAACTTCAACACCTGTAGATTTAGTAAAGATGCCAACAAAATACACACCAAGTTCGTATTAAAATTAATGAGAAAAGACAAACGACTTAGTGAGAGGCATTCGGGCAACTAGCATTTAGCTAGATATTAGCTAGGAAATTTGGGAAAAAATGAAATGTCTAAAGAATCTTTGATCAGGTTTCCAAATATACAAAATAAAAACCACTTACATGTTAGAAGACAATATCAAAATGATATTATGTTAATGGTACTATTTAATGCTAATAGACAAAAGTGAAAATTATTGTGAATTAAATCAATAGACAATATATTTTCTATCACTGTCTTTTCTTCTCAATTTGTGTGTTGTTTTAATTCACTAAGCAATGACTCCTCTTAATTCCACTACTTTTTATTTAACACTGCATTTTTTTTCATATGTGCAATATTACACTGTCCAATAGAGAGGAAATGCAGAATTTGGGCTGTTATATCAGAAATACCTTAGTTTTTCAGCTTTGAGCTTCTGGAGTGTGGTTAATTTAAATATTCTCATCAGGCCTCGATTTTTCTAATTTCTGTAATCACTTCTCCAAAATAAACAATGTCTGAAACTGATGACTACAGTGAAATTAAAATTATGCTGGCTTTTAAGATAATTATGTTTATGTAAATTTGAGGCTTTCTTTGGGGGGTGTGGGGTGGTGGAGACAAATCTTTGCTCTTGTGACCCAGGCTGTAGTGCAGTGGCATGATCTTGGCTCACTGCAACCTCCGCCTCTCCGGTTCAACCGATTCTCCTGCCTCAGCCTCCCAAATAGCTAGGATTACAGGAACATGCCACCACACCCAGCTAATTTTTGAATATTTAGTAGAGATGGGGTTTCACCATGTTGACCAGGTTGGTCTTGAACTTCTGACATCTGGTAATCCACCAGGCTTGGCCTCCCAAAGTGTGGGGATTACAGGCGTGAGCCACCCCACCTGGCCTTCAAATTATATTTTCATACCCACTCACTTCCACAATTTTTTGGACCCATCTAGACATTTTTAGTGCATTGCTTTAAAGTGAATAAACTGCATAAACTGTGTGGGAGCATATCTTTGGGGTTATCTGCATGTGCTCTTCAGGGGGCGGGGGCCGGAAATGGTATTAGAGTTCTTGAAGAATTTATGAAAGAGAGAATGACAATACTATACAAGGTTTAACCTATTCACAATACTGTATTTACTGAATAAAAACATTACTTTTAAAATTCTACTATTGACTAAATAAATAAAATACATTCTTTCAATCACTCTAAAATATGTGTACATGAAGAGAATAGAACAAGGCTTCAAATACGTAAACAAATAAATGAGGCCGGGCATGGTGGCTCACGATGTAAACCCAGCAGTTTGGCAGGCAGAAGTGGGTGAATCACTTGAGGTCAGGAGTTGGAGACCAGCCTGGCAAATATGGTGAAACCCAGTCTTGATGAAAAATACAAAAATTAGCTGGGCATGGTGGCATGCACCGGTAATCCCAGCTCCTCAGAAGGCTGAGGCAGGGTAATGGCTTGAAGCCAGGAGGCAGAGGTTGAGGTTGAGCCAAGATCCTACCACTTCACTCCAGGCTGGGTGGCAGAGCAATGCTCCTCAAAACACACACAGACACCCCAAAAAAACTAAAAAATGAAAATAAAAATTTTGTACTCATAAACTCACATATCTAACAGAAAAAAAGTACTTTAAAACGAAGTTTCCACAAAAGGCAAATAACAAAACAAATTTATCACCTTACATATAAAATTAAAATAATAAACTGAAGAGAACTATAAGGGAAAAAATTCAAAATTTACAAGTAAGTACTGTAAAAGAAGCTGAAAGTCACTCAAAACTTTTCCGGATTCTATGTCTCTACATAGAATCTATGATCATACAAACATGATCATAAAATTTCCCAGGGGCAGAACAATCAAAATGTATCTTAAAACTCAATAAACACTTCAAGTCTCACATAAGAATTGTAATGGAAAATGGATGCGTCTGCAGTATTTCTATACAAATCTGAACAAACACTATTTCTTTGTCCTCATTGTTTCACTATTCCAAGAAAATAACTTCCACATTAATATTAGGGGATGTGACAAAGCAGATCTTCATCATGATAAGTAACACTCGGTGTCCACACCACTACTCAGGTGGGCCTTAATTCTCAGCCAGGTTTCCTCCCTGGACACACAATGAAGGGCTCATTCATTTTGCCATCTCTTCACATTTCCTCCTCTGTGAGCCCAGTGTGGTTTTCCAGATTCCCTGAGTAGTGGCCTCTCTTGTCTGGTGGGGCAGGGTGGGGCAGCGCAGTGTGAGTGATGATGGCGGAGGGCAGAAAGCATCTCAGGGAAGCCTGGGATCATTGTAACAAAAAATGATGGGCCTGGGACAGCCCATCAGGGAGGACGTAGAGAGGGGCCTTGGGAGGATATCTGCGTGGAGGGTGAGAGGGCCCTGGTTGAGCCCAAACTGAGCCCCAAGTGGTAGCCGGCCTCAGGCCTCAGCCGGTGAGGGATGATGAGACAGCTACCACTTGAGCCTTGCTTCTCACCCACTGACCTTAGACACTTATTCCTCTTAGGCGGCTGAAGGTGCCCCAATCCCAAAATGTGGGTGTTAAAGTTCTTTGATGGCCATTTCTCCGCCAGCCCATGGATGGCGTGGGATCGCTCACTGCAGTCACCTCCCTGAGGCTTGGATTCTCCATGTGGGGCACAACTCCAGGAATCAAAGGTCTCTCAGTCCCCAGCCCTAGACTGTTCACCTGGCCTCCTCTCTGTTCACTCTCTAATGGCCTCCCTCCCTGGAGAAGTACTGCAGGGGATTGAGCTACAGGTTCTGGCTGATGATCTGGGGGCCTGCAGAAGTGGGTACAGGTTAGTTCAGGTCATGGCTCAAAGCCAGTTCCCCAGAGGCCAAGGAATGACCAGCAAGATCCTTTCCCATGATGCCCTACCTGGCGCTCACCTCAGCAATCCTGCCAGAACCTGGGCAGTCATGGTCAGCCAACCAGCTGAAGAAGGTCAGGTAGGAGCTGTACGGCCTGCAGCTGGAGGCTTGACCTTCATGATCCCACAACCACTAGACTGCAGTGGAATGAGACATCCCGTATCCTGCAGAGAGAGGAGTCAGGAAGGTTCATGCCAGACCTACCCTCCCACACACCAGCTCCCCTACCATGCTGGGAGGCGCTCCTTACCGAGGATGCCAAGGCAGTACTCCTGAATGATCACTTCATTGTGGAAGTAGAGACTGTGATAAAAGGAAAACTTCATCCTGCTGCCGGTACCCGGAAGAGTTGCTTTCCTCCCCTTACCTGGCCAAGAAGGAGAAAGAGGACGTACTCAAAGGAGCATTTCATGTAGCTGGGGTGAGGTGACCTGTTAGCTGGGGTGAAGCATGTGTTTCTCCTTCCCAACTCTCTCATTGAGACACCCCCGGGTCCCAGGGGTACCTCAACCTGACCCAGACACCAGACCCCTCCCGAAGACTCAGGCTCCTTAGCCTGACCTGCAAATCCATCACGTACGTAGCTTAGCAGGACTTCATCATCATTTGTGATCCCGGCCAACATCTCGGTGTGCCGCACAATCTGCCTCTGGTCAAGGAGCCGCCGGATGATTGGGTGGGCGTGCAAGGAAACACCCTGCAACTTTGCAAGAGCACGGAGAGTGTGGGGCAGGGCACCTTCCCTTCCAGGTCCTCTGTCTCTGTCTGGCGTGGAGGGCACCATCAGAGCTGTGGTGGTCTTGGTGGTGGGTGGAGGCAGGCCCAGACAACCTGCTCTGACCAGGGACTGGCACTGAAGAAGTGGGCAGGGGGTTGGGGGCGGGGTGTTGTTGTGTGAGGCGACTACTTGCTCGGCGTTTCTGAGCTGCAGGAGGCCCTCCTGTGCTGGGTGCTGGACAGGCTCTGCTGCTGTCTGGGTGTGCGGTCTCTCCTTCTCCTGGTCTCCCTGAGGGGTGCACGTGTCCACCCCAGGCAACCGCTGTGGGTAGAAGTAGCTACGGGGCTGTGCCTGGCTCTCCCCGTGGAGCTCGAGTGGTTTCAAGGGAGCTTATATATACTCAGGGCCTAAACATCTTTGGGTGCAGCGCTGGCAGAGGGAAGAAATTGTGTCTGGGGAGATAGTGCCTGCCTTGCATAGGACAGCAGCCCCGTGCACAGTGACACCGAGTCTTGAGCACCTTGTGTTTCTGGGGTAAGCTTGCTGGACACAGGCAAGGGGAGCAGGGAAGTTCCGTGGCTGGCATGGGCATGCAGACTCCCCTTCCTCCAGGGACTTTCCCGGTGAATCGTATCCTTCAACTTTCTGCTGTTATGATGGGTCCTTGGCGCTGCTATTCTCCCTGGTGAGTGCTGTGCTTGGCTTCCTGTCCCTACCACATGCCCTCAGGGCACATGCAATTAAGCTGCCCTCCTATCTGCATGAGCCTGTTCTCAGTTCCCCTTGTTGTCCCCCATGCCCTGAATCCTGGCTGACCGCCAGTGCCTACCACCTTGTTTCCCCCCACCTCCGCTCCCGGGAGCTCCGCGCCCATCCCCTGCTGCCAACCATCCCGAATTGGCAGCTGCAAGGATATGGCTCTGGCCCAGAAGCCGGGGATGCCCTGTGGCCTGGGACATTCACGTAGCCGAGCTCCAAGTGAAGGACGTCCAGCGAGTCTGTTGCTGGCCGGGGCGTACTGGGGCCAGGGCCAGGCTGTGCCTGCAGGTCCTCCTGCTGTGGCTCCACATTGGCCTTCCTCCTTGGCCACCACCTCCATCTCTGCAATGATGTCATCCCCCACTAGCATGCCTCTCCCCGCAGGGTTGTCTTCCTGCTCTGTGCACAGACCATCCTCTCCTGCACAGCCTCCAGCCTTAACATGGTGCCCTCCTTGAGGCTCCAACAGAGCAAAGCCTGTGCCTCCCACCCCACCCCCCCGGCACCCGTCAACTCTGGGGGCAACTCCAGGAGAGGCCTGCGGGCCTTGCCCTGCTGAGAACCACATCCTACACCTATGTGGAACAGGGTTCCTGGGGGGCCCCACAGGGCCCTTAGCCTGTCACACTCACACTGGGGCTCAGCTACCCAGCAGGGTTAGCTGCGCACGGCAGCCCTGGAGTCGGATGCCAAGGCCCTGGCTTCCAGAGCCCCGCTAGCAGGCACACGGCCACCACTGCACTTGTGAGAGCCTCTGCACCAGCAAAGCAGTGCACACGGATCACTGCATTGGCGACCATGGCGGTAGGCCTCCCGTGTGCCCAGGGCACAGGATGAGAAGTCCTTTGGAATGCCCCTGTGAGTACAGCATCCTCAGGGAGGAACCATGGAACTCGGAGTATGTATTTGCCTAGACCTGACAGAATCCTTGCAGGGTTTCAGCTTCTGGTGCAGATGAATTCCACCTCAGCAACGTACCAGTCGACTTTAGTCCCACGCACCCGCCCTGCCCCAATCCCCCCAAGCCACCGCTGCTGCCCTCGCCCCTGCAGCAGCGCTGGTCCCTCTCTCTCCCCTCTGGATCTGCAATATTCGGTACCATCAGCCTAGCCTGCCTAATGAAGTGAGATGTTTCATGTGTTCCCTGTGGGTTAGTTAATGTCTTGCCACACTCAGGATGCCAGTTAGGGTGTAGGTCTTCCATGCCCACAATTGCAAAGGGCTCACAGTTCGCGTGTGCCTTAATCCACCGCGGCCCGCCACGCGGCACAAGCGTGGTCTCGGAAGAGTTACCGCGAGATGATGGAGCCGCAGGCCTGCTGGGGCGGAGCGGCCTCAGGACACGCCCACAGCCTTTGCAGTAACTGGCTGACGCCCACCGCCTTCGCAATGATTGGCCGCTGGAGGTAGGCGGGATTTCCGGGCACGGCTTCCGGCGTCCTTCCCTCTCAGGGTAGCTCCAGCTGTCCCTCCCGCAGTTGGCCCTGTGGTGTTCCGAAGCCGGTTACGTACGCCTGAGGGCCAGGCGAACCTCAGGCTCTTTGTCCTACTAAAAAGCGCAGGTATTTTCTGTTTCTCTGGACAGCTGGGTCTCTCGGCAAGAATAGAAAGCGAAGGTTTGGGATTTTGTCTATAAAAGGGGATGGGTTTTCTATGTGTGGGTGTTGAATTACGGGAGGAGTCAGTGGGGAAAGAACTCCTCAGTGCTATTAAGAGACTCACTTTCGTTAAACTCATTGATTTTTCCTGAGGATTCTACCTTTAACTGCCTAATGTGTCCGACTAGTTGTGGGAGATGGTGCTAAGCCGCCATTGGTTTTCATGTGCACTTTTTATTAAAGCGGGTTTTCTCTGTGAATGTGGTGATAATTCAGAATACAGGCAATACACTTAACCACTGCGATTAAAAAGTCACACTTTTAGTTAGCACGTGTCGCGTGTCTGATTTGCTTGGAAGAATTATCAAATTTTGACATAAATTGTGTTACTTTAGTGTATGTAGAAATATGGGGCCACAAATAATCTGAGTTTCAGTTTGCCTCTGTAAAGCCTGTGATTGTCTCCTTCGTTGTATGACAGTATTTGAAACGTTTCATGTGTCTTTGGCACCGTAAATAGTTTAAACCGAATAAGTGGGTGTAATCGAGACAAATGGAGTTAGATAGCCGAAAACTGGAACAAAATAGATGCGCTTAAGTTATTCTGTTAACCTGGCACACTGCCTTACTCCTGTAGTCCTAGCATTTTGGGAAGTGGAGGTCGGAGGATGGCTTGAAGTCAGGAGTTTGAGACCAGCCTGGGTAACGTACTGGACTCTTTCATTGCTATTTTCGCATCAGGGACTGGTTTAGTGGAAGTCAGTTTTTCCTCAGACAAAGGTTGCGCAGGGGAAGAAGGCGGCGAGGTGGACAGGTTTGGGAGTGGGGGCTGGCGGCAGGCCTCCGAGGGGCACGTGGTGGGGCGGGTCTTCCGGTAGGAGCAATGTGACAGAGGCCAGGTGGGGCAGTGAGGCTGTCACGGGGACAGGGAGGGCCAGCGAGGGAGTAGGGAGGATGGTTTCCGGATAAAACTGTACCACCTCAGGTCATCCTCAGGCGTTACATTCTCCACAGACAGGTATTGCAGGTCATCCTCCGGCATCACATTCAGGCCACAGATAGGTACGGGTTGAAGGCTAGGGTTTGGGGATCTTTGACCTATTGTATATTTCAAATCACTAAAAGATGGTAAAATATTTAAAATATTCTCCTCCTAGAACATTTTAAGTAGCTTGATTTAATCTCTTATCCAAATATCATGCTGAGTGTGGTGAGTCACCCTTGAAATCCCATCACTTTGGTAGTCCCAAGCCGGCAGAACACTTGAGCCGAAGATTTGGAGACTAGCTTGGGCACTATGGGGAAACCCTTGTCTATTTTTAAAAATACAAAAAATTGCCCAGCTGTGGTAGAAAGCGCCTGTAGTACTAGCTACTTGGGAAGCTGAGATGTAGGAAGATCAGTTGAGGCTGGGTGGAAGAGCCTGCAGTGAGCAGTTCACTTTGGCGACAGGAGACAGACATCTCAAGAAAGAAAATATGCAAAACATCACACCGTACCTCATAAATAGATTCTTTTCAAATAAAATTATTTAAATGGGGACATTCTTCATATTGCAACTGAGGAAAATTACAATAGCTTTTCTTATCTAATTTTTAGAAATGAGATTTTTGTCAGGTACATACTAAAATGCAGCATTTGTCCATGAAGTTAGTGCCCCTTTGCTCTGAGTGTTACAAATTTTACATATATAAAGTAAGAAATACTAAAAAGATGTCAGCCTCAGGAAGGGAATTTTACTTGGGTTTTCAGCACAGTATGTAATAAAATTTTATCTTTTTAGCTTATTTATATCTAAATATAGATAATTTTTTACCATTTACAGCACAATGGTAGAAGCAGATCATCCTGGCAAGCTTTTCATTGGTGGCCTCAATAGAGAAACCAATGAGAAGATGCTTAAAGCAGTATTTGGGAAACATGGTCCCATATCAGAAGGTAACTCTTAAAACCGTGTGTGTGTGTGTGTGTGTGTGTGTGTGTGTGTGTGTGTATTTTCACATGTATATTTCAATAGGTATGTTTAAAATATGTATGTTATATATATATGTTTTGAAAAAATATATTTTTTCAAAGTTCATTGTATACCTACATTAAAATGCCTTATGCATTTTAAACTCTTATTTTGTAGTATCTGTTTGATATTTGGAAAATTCTCATAGTAGTAGGTTAAGGTTCTATGGAAAGGATAACCTACTACTTAGAAAGGAAAATGAGGGAAAGTAAATGTGCTGTGGAGTTCCGAAACAAACTGGAATAAACTAGACTGACTGTAGGGGTGATTGAGTATCGAGAACCATAATAGTGATGTGAAATGCAATTATTTTTTAGCTTGATGTAACCTTTAGATGGTGAGTACCTTGATGAGTCCATTATATGAATGTAAAATGTTTTCATATATTTTAGTTCTTTTGATAAAGGATCGAACCAGCAAATCCAGAGGCTTTGCATTTATTACTTTTGAGAACCCTGCAGATGCTAAGAATGCTGCGAAAGATATGAATGGAACGGTAAGAGTCCCTTATTACTAATATTCTAACTCTGTTCTTCAATTAACAATATTTCTAGGTCTTTTTAATATTGCTAAACTTTTGAAGATAGTAGAATGACATATGAAGCCATCCTCTTTTTTGTGCCATATACGTGCAAGTGTAGTTGGAAGGGTATTGGAATTAACATTATATAAATTAATATTTGGTAACCTTTTTCTATGTTTGTATTTCGATATGAGTGCACATAGATTTTAAAAGGTTTTGAAGAGCTTTAAAACTTATAAGGAACCCTCATGTAAATGAAAGTAATAAGTCAATATTTATTAAATGCTATTAATTGAAGTACATCCAATTCATGGAAATACTTTTAGAGCGTAGACAAACTGGATAGACATCTAGACAGATGCACAAGAAGGAAAGACTCTTTCCTTCTTGAAGAATATATTTTATGAAAATATATTCTTGCGAAAGTGTATTTAAATAAGACCTTTACATTTACGGAAAGGTTAAGTAGTTGAAAATAGAAAATAATATGAGAACATTGAAGTCAGATAACAGAAGAAGTAACTGGCATTCTTGGCTCCATGCTTGCTTTTTCTCCTAAGGACATTTCTTTCCTGTCACCAGAGTGATTTATGTAACATGAATAGCTAATTACTCATTTCCCCAGTGTGTTTGAGGACTTGTTTTGATTGAACCAATGGTCTCTTGTCCTGTTGAGTCTTAAATCTAGAGATTGTGTGTTTACTTAAGCTTTAAACTTCTGTGTAATGATATTAATTATTGAATTCCTTTACATTGTAGTCAAGAGCATTCCATTCTGTGCTCTTTAGTGTTTTTTGCTTTATAACATTATCCCAATCATGCCGGGCATGGTGGCTCATGCGTGTAATCCCAGCGCTTTGGGTGGCCAAGGCGGGCAGATCACAAGGTCAGGAGAAAGAAACCATAATGGCCAACATGGTGAAACCCTGTCGCTACTAAAATACAAAAAAAAAAATTAGCTGCATCTGGTTGTGTGTGCCTGTAGTTCCAGCTAGTCAGTAGGCTGAGGCAGGGGAATCGGTTAAACCCAAGGAGGCAGAGGTTGCAGTGAGCCGAGATCACGCCGATGCACTCCAGCCTGGCAACAGAGCAAGAATCCGTCTCAAAAAAACAAAAAATAAATAAAATAAATAAATAAATAACGTTATCCCAATCTGTTTTTAGGTCCTGTTAGTCTTCACGCTATTCCCAAAGTGCTTTTTTAGACTTCTTGAGAATTATCCTTCCCTGTGTATGCCTCATAAATAAAATTTATGCTTCAAAAACCACTTAGATTTCATAATTTTCTTCCTCATTGCGTATTGTAGGTATTTTCTACTTGCTGTACTATGTATTAATCTATTGATCGTGAAATTGTATATAGTGCATATTTAAGTCTTGCTAGTTGCTTTTCTTTCTGTTACATCTAGCACACTTCCTGTCACATAGCAGAAAGTACATTTTTATTCACCCTTATAAATTAGTATTTCAAGCTGTGGTAGAAACCGAGAGTTGCTTTTGGTTCATGGCTTTGTGGTAGGTATGGAGATAATTTTGACTTCTGTATAGGAATCTATGATAATTTCTTTTTTCCCTCTAGTTTTCAAGCAAAAGGGCAGATAATTTGTGTAAAGTTTTTGTTCGTTTGTTTGTTTTTTAAGATGGAGACTCGCTGTGTGCCCTAGGCTGGATTGCAGTGGGGCCATCTTGGCTTACTGCAACCTCCGCCTCCCGGGTTCAAGCGATTCTCCTGCCTCAGCCTCCCAGTACCAGGGGCTACAGAGGCGCGCCACCACGCCCAGCTAATTTTGTACTTTGAGTAGGGATGGGGTTTCACCCTGTTAGCCAGGGTGAGCTCTATCTCTTCACCTCATGATCCACCCGCCTTGGCCTCCCAAAGTATTGGGATTACCGGTGTGAGCCACCGCGCCCAGCCAACGTTATTTCTAAATTACTTCATCTCACGTATTTTATTGTGTTAAAATAACTATGAATGTTGTATGCACATTAATGTTAAGATGGCCAATAAAGGAGGTTCTTTGAGTTTTCAGGGGGAATTAACAGTTAAGGAATTTTGGCTGACTTCAGAACACTGGGAAGGAAGCAGCCGTGGGCAAATCTGGGGAAAATATTTTGAGCCCAGAAATAACAAAAGAAGTTTCAAGGTAGGAACAACGGGCGATGTGGCTGCAAGCGGTCTTGTTCAGGGATTTAAGTCCTTCCTCCAAATAACAAAAGCCATGTAATTTTTAAATCGCGTTATTAGCTGAACTGTTTTCAAAAATTGCTGTGGCCTGTAGAAAAGATTACAGTGAAAAATGTTATTATGAAATTAATTAGGATAGTTAAGCATTTCTGAGAAATTACCTGAAGTACTATATTAAGATTCGTTTTTTAGGGGCACGTCTAAGGCAATGTAAGAAATGAGTAAGGCAAGAAAACTTAATGAGATCAAACAAGGATCACATTTACAGAAACATTTTTAGAGTCAATATAGAATTGTAAATCATATGGGGACATTTTATGGAAGTGTTAGCAAATCCAACAAGAAACAACTCATAATGAGTAATGTGCCTAATCACTCTGAAAAAGTAAGCTCATTTTTTTTTTAAATGACACGAGTTTCATTGGGACACTGCAACTTTCAAATCAGTGATGTGACTACAAAGATGAAGTGGATTATATATTGTAAAAAACAGATGTGCCACATTCTTCCACAGAATGTGTGATGGGTCAAACTTTTTTTTTATGTTTGAGTTTTTTTTTTTTTTAATGATGGAGAAGTTTTCAAGGAATTTGAATAATAGAATTTGTGTTTGATCCCTTAATGGAAGGCATGTGCTCAGTAACTATCTCAAATTTGGCATTGCGAAAGATGTGTTCATTTTAGAAGAAAAAAAAAGTTTCCTTTTGGGAGAAAATACCTCAAATTGAACTACAGTTGATGTAAAAATGTTTGTAAAATGTGCTTACGTTAAATGTGCCAGTGTTATTGATAGTACCCTTAATACTTCTAGTCTTTGCATGGAAAAGCAATAAAAGTAGAACAAGCCAAGAAACCATCTTTTCAAAGTGGTGGTAGGCGGAGACCACCAGCT
Organism: Homo sapiens; assembly: GCF_000001405.40. Classification (NCBI taxonomy): domain Eukaryota; kingdom Metazoa; phylum Chordata; class Mammalia; order Primates; family Hominidae; genus Homo; species Homo sapiens. The sequence goes on from NC_000024.10 coordinate 22,409,233, forward strand.
TCTTCGAGAAACAGAAGCCCTTCAGGAAGTCTGAGATCTGCAAGAGGAAGCAGTGGAGGAACAAGAGGGTGGCTTCCCTCACATGAAGGGCACCTGGGTAATGTTTTAAAATATAAAGATGGAACCATAGGACTGAAAGAAAATAAGTTTGACGATATTGAAATTTCTTAATTTTTTTCTTTCCTGTATGAAGAGAAAATTAGCTTATTGATAATAAGCAAACTTATTTCTAAGTACTATAAAGGTGTATTATAAGAATGATTGAACTAATATCTAAAATTTGTTTAACAATTATAATAAGTTTGCACTGAAGTAACACACATTTGAAACTGAGTTGTGTTTGTGAATGCTGATTGCCTGTACTCAACCGGTTTTCTGCAGAACTCATTTATATTCATTATACTTTAGAGTTTTCTACTTTAGGGCCCAGAACTTCGTGTCAGTTGTATTATCAAAGTACGATGTAATATTTAAAATTTTCCAACAGGAAGAAGTAACTGAATACTGAAGATTGATTTTGCAGTATTTGTTTTCTTGTGTCTACATGTGGAAACATCTATGCAAATGTATTGCTTTGTAATTTTGATACAGAGAGTTTGTACATTGGCCTGCCGTAAAGCATTTTCAATTTAAGAAATGTAGAACTTTAATTTCTGAAAAGAGTCTGTGACTCTGGAAAGATCTAAAAACCACTGCTTCACAGATATGTATGAATCTTTCTTTGCTGGAGGCTGAGTCACTGAAAATGATATTTATGAGTGATTTACTTAATAGAAATGAGGGGTCCATCTTTACATATAAAAGAAAAACAAACCATATATTTAAAAAAAAGGAAAAAGAAAAAACTATTGGATGGGCTGTGCGAGGTGGCTCACGCCTGTCACCTCAGCACCTGGGGAGTACAGGGGAGGTGGACCACGAGGTCAGGAGTTCCAGACCAGCCTGGCCAACATGGTGAAACCCTGTCTCTCCTAAAGATACAAAAAAATTTGCCTGGGCCTGGTGGCGTGCACCTGTAATCCCAGCTACTCAGGAGGCTGAGGCAGGAGAATCACAGGAACCTGGGAGGCAAAAGCTGCAGTGAGCCAAGGTTATGCCATGGCACTCCAGCCTGCGTGATAGGGCAAGAGTGCATCTGAATAAATAAATAAATAAACCTGTTGGTTAACTTGTATTATCTATTAACCAACCTTCAAAACTCTAACAATTAGCTTGGAGTTTTAATAACCAGACATGTAATTAATTGGAGATTGTTTTCAAGTTGAAATTGCAGTGTTTGCTCCATTTTAAGATGCGTAGCTTCACGGCTGTTTTGCCTCCACTGATCTTGAGGGTGAGCTTCAATTATACTCTGCCACGGACGAGAATGTATACATAAATTCTAACCTGTAACACCACCTGGCAATTGGCATATATCTACGTTTTTGTAGATGTATAAAAATATGTTTATATTACCGAATATGCAATTCTTAAAGACTGTTAAAATTCAGCATAGTCTCATCTGAAAATTAGTGTCTCATAAGGGAATTTTAAGAATTCTATATTGTGTTAACAAATTTTAGAGACAATGTATTTTCCTGATATGTGATTTCTTGGTATTGGAAATATTTGAGTTTCTTTGAATGGAAATTAGTTTATCTTTATGATGTGCTTTGAAAATTTTTCCTCATTACAGAATGATATAAACAGTCATTTATCATTTTTCTTTTAATATTTTTATGTATATTATATTTGGATATTTTAGTGATAGATTTCTGCCCCCGTTCACTCCCCATTTTCCCACATCTCTCCTTCATACCGATATATTATGATACTTGAGTTTCTTTCTAGATTTTCTAAATGAACTTTTAATGCTTGAAGTGTACTAATACCTTGTAGGAATGCTAATTTTATTAGTTTAGACAAAATGTGAATTTGTTATAAAATGTAGAAAATATTTGTAAACAACTAAAACTTAGCCATTTAAGAAACAGTGACGTCAGTTAACTAAAAAGATTTTGTTTGAAATACAGATGATGGTGGATACACTCCTGATCTCAAGATGAGTTATTCTAGGGGACTCATTCCAGTTAAAAGAGGTCCATCTTCAAGAAGTGGAGGTCCTCCTCCGAAAAAATCTGCTCCTTCTGCTGTGGCAAGAAGCAATAGTTGGATGGGAAGCCAAGGTAAATGCTGCCTGACAGAAAGACCGTAGTTTTTGTATGACTAAAAATGAGCCGTTTTACCTGAATGCTTAGCTTTAAGTTCATTGAACAAAAGAGAAGTGACACATACGTGAGCATAATTACTGATTGATAGCTTTTATTATAGTTTCTATCTCACTAGGTACATTTCAGATTTATGTTGAAGAAATACTTGAGCTTCTCATTGCAGATCAAAGAAGTGATTAGAGTGAGGCCAACGTTCCTTTTAATCCTGTGTTGGCTAGAAAATTCCCCTTAATTTTTCTAAAAGTTCCTAGCAGTATTCTTTGATGGTAGGCTTCTTGATCTAATTAATTCTTCCATTTCCTAAGTCCCCTGGTGTCCCATTCTAAAAATTGCTTGTTCGGTGACTTTGCTGGGTTGGAGTCTTGCTCTTACTAGGTGAGAGTGCACTATGTGAGATGACGGCTTACTGTAGCCTCAAATTTGTGAGATGACGGCTTACTATAGCCTCAAATTCCTGGGCTCAAGCAATTCTGCTGTTTCAGCCTCCCGAGTTTGTGCAACTACAGGCATGCAGCAGCACACCTAGCTACATTTTTTTCCCTATGTTTTTGTAGAGAGAGGATCTGACTACATTGTCAAAACTGATGTTAAAGCCCGGGGCTCAAGCGGTCCAGCTGCCTCAGCCTTCCACACTCACTCACAGTGTGAGCCGCTAAGCCTGGCCATCCAGCTTCTGAGACCTCAGTAATGCGTATGTGCAAGGCATACTCACTGCGTGCATGAAGATTCAAAAGAACTACAAGAGCATTTAGCAGACAAGGAGTCATTGGGCTTAAATATGATTTAAAAATAAATTTAAGGCTCGAGAGGTAGACACGTAGGAGTCCAAAATTCTTAAATTAAGTGGATATCACAGAAATGCAGAGTTGTGAAATATAGGTGTATGTAAATCAGTAATTGAGATTGTACCGGGATGTTTAAACATTAACACAAGATCCTTAGTGTAAGATTTGAAATTATTTGAGGAGAGAATTTAGAACTAAGCAACATGAGGTGAGCGGTAGGGTTGAATGCAAGTAATACTTTTGAGAAGAATTGTAAGACTGCAGACTGAACAGAAGAAAATAAGACAATAAATAAAAGTTCTTAGCAAGGAAGTTTAAGCAGAGCAAATTAAAATTCTTTCTTAGTCCTCCATCCGCATATGGAGGAAGTTAAAAACTGCCATTTTCAATTTTACATTTCATACGTAGAGTATCGGTGAAGGGAGGTATTTATTGGCTTCAGGATACCCAAGCCAACACATTTCCATTGGAAAATTAGCCAGTGAAGGTATCATATGTGAAACACTGACCTCTAAGGAATAGCAAGTGAAGAATATATTAGAGGAGAAACTTTCTATTTTGAAACAGCAACAATGTTGTAATGACCCCTTGCATAGCATTGCTTTCTTTGCAGTAAAAGCAAATCTTGACCATCATTAGAAAATCTTCACTAATACATTTTAATTTGTCAACATTTAAGATAGAGCCAACCAGCTAAAGAACTTTTATGTAAACATTTAGCATATAGTCATTTAAAGGTAGCTGTATTTATGTGTGTGTGAGATGGACTGAATGATATTGGAAAATCTACCTTCTTTGGCTGAGAAAGGACAATGTATGTAAACTTTAAAATCAGTGAAGAGTTTGATGGTTTTACGTGTTTTCCCTGTGTCACTCACAGTCATCAGTAATTTATATGGAAAGGAAAATAATAACTAAGTAGTTATTAACCATTACAAATGAACTTTTACCTAAGCATTAATGTTTGCCTTCAGCTTCATTAGAAGAACTGGCCTTGTGGGAGCCATGGGATTATCCAAAGCCATGAGAAATATTCACAGTGTCATGTCTGTCTAGTAATTTAGGAAACAAAGAATGGAGTCATAGAAGAAATAATTTTAAAAAGTTGTTTGAGAGAAGAGAAAATAGCGTTTCAGATTTGGTGTTCTTTACATAATGTTCCATCATTTGAATGTTAAAGGTCCCATGTCACAAAGAAGAGAGAATTATGGAGTTCCTCCACGCAGAGCGACAATATCTTCCTGGAGAAATGATCGCATGTCAACAAGACATGATGGTTATGCAACTAACGATGGGTAAAGGAAAAATTAAAAAGCACAGTTGATTTTTTTTTCCTGTGGTGATGAAATTCACATAACAAAATTAAATATTATAAGGTGAACAGTTAAGTGGTGTTTGATACATTCTGTGCCATGCAACAACTACCTCCATCGAGTTCCAGAACATTTTCATCACTCCAAATTAAAACTCCTACTACCAGTTAAGCAGTCCCTCCCGTTTTCTCCTTTTCCTCAGCTGCTAGATAACACCAGTCAGTGTTCTGCC